>NC_000014.9:50823834-51126864 GCF_000001405.40 Homo sapiens
TTTTCAAAATAAGTTGAGAGTGTTATATAAACATCAAAGCCTCAGAAAAGAAACACCAAGTTGTTATGCAAAGCCACAGGAGTTAAGAATTTAGACAAGGCCAACACTTCGCTAACAAGATTCACTTAGAGTCCACCAGTTAATTGTCAACTAAGATCTGCTGAGAATCCCCAAGGTGCTCCAGGATTTTCAGTGTTGCGGTAGCTCTTAGTCTCACTCTGAGTTTTACAGTCCCCTGGGCTGTTATCTGACCGACCTCATAAAAGCAAGACTCTTCTTTTGCTTGATTTTGCATATATGTTTAAAAACTCAAAAGCGAAAGAATTCTAACACTTCCCTTTTTAAAAATTATTTTTAAGGGGCGGGGATTTGTCCATCTTAAACCAATGAAAGAGAGGAATAAAACACTGATGTACTGAGAAGCCCTGATCTTATCCACGGTGTCGAATTTGATATACTATCATGCCCCACTCTTTGGGAGGTCATTGGATTTTCACTAAATCAAACCTCTTTCATTTTATGGCAGCTTTCTTTTCTTTATCTCTTTATTTCATCTCCTTCCTTCTCAAAACACTGTGCTTGACTGAAGGGGAGACAAGCACCACCCCTGTGGAACAAATGCTCACGCTGAAACATCCAGGAGATGTTACGCATGGTGACAAGTTGTCAGTGCTCATCTGGCACAGAAGGCATTTTTACTGGTTGATATTATTTCCCAAATGTTCATCAGTAATTTCATGTGCAAGAATTTTTTTCTCCCCACTTGGCAGAAAGTTCTTTAATGGTAAGATCCACGCTCCTATTTCTTTTATATCTTCCCCCAAATGCATACTACAGTCAGTCTGTTCTTCAAGCCAGGGATTTGGTAAATATCATGGATTGACTTCCTGTATGGATCACTCCTTGAGAGGAAACGTACCCTAAATGAGGTCTACAGAAATGGGCATATGAAAATTTTGGAATGCCCATCTCATCCACCTACACACCTCCACTTCCCCCATCCCACCCTTTCTCAAAGGCATTTTCAGCCTCCTAAGCAAGAAGTAGAAAGCCAACACCAACTGCCAATCTGTAACATGCAGCGCTGTCTGAAGTTTAATTCAATAGGCTAGTAATTAAGTAAATGGATTCACAAACTTCGACTGCATTGTCTTGCTATGGGATGAAACTTTGGAGGAGAATCTATACTAAAACCTTTCTCAAGTCCCCTCGATTACAGCATGAGAATAACAATATCCATCTGGAAGGTTTGTTCTGAGAGTTAAATGTGGCAAGCAAGCGAGAGTGGCTAATTCCAGAGAAAGCTGATACAAGAGGGAATTTAAGATAACCAAAAGAATACCTGCAGCTACAAAGGAGTGGTAAACTGAAGAGGAGGTAACAAGTGAATTATCTACAGATCTACCTCCAAAGAAGCAAAGCAGGAGATGTGAAATGCTATAGAACAGACTGAGAATGGGCAGGGAGTGTACTATGTATATAAACATCATTATATAACTAAATGATAATGGCAGCAGGTAATGTTCAGAGCTTCCTCTATCTTTAAAAGCAGGTTATTGATAAATTTAATGTCAAATAAAAGCAGAAAGCTGCACTGTAACTGGGAATTACTTCTGAACATTTACTATGAGTCTGGCCTAAACTAAGTACTTTATGTATATCATCTCATTTAATCCTCCCAAATCTTAGAAGTGGATCTTCTCATTTTCCCACGCAAGATGTAGAAATTGGGGCTTGGCAAAATTAAGCCACTGTCCAAGGAGACAGCATTAATCTCCTTGAACAAAATGGGGGTGGAGCCAAGATTTGCACTCTAGTGTGACACTGAATTATATTATCCCTCAATCCTACACATGCACACAGAACACATGAATGAGACCTCTGAAATGATGCCATTGGCAAACCACTTATCTCCACCTTTATGTGTTAGCCAGTTGAACAGTACTAAGCAGTAGAAATCCCCACACAACACTCCATGGCCACAAACTTTTCCAAATTGGAATTGAGAAGCAGAGTTCCTTCCTTCCTACCTCCCTTGATCCATTTATTGAATAATTATAGCCTACAAGGCACCAGGGATATACAGATAGAATACACATTCCCTTTTTTTTCTAAAGCAGCTTTGGGATTTAGGGCATGAAAGAAAGAAATTCTTATATAAAAATGATCATGAAGTGTCCCATGTCTTCAATAATGGGCATTGCCCAGGAATTGGTAATTCGTAAATGACTTCCCCTGAATAAACACTTAAGTATGTATAATCTGTGCAATCCAGTGCTTTTCAGGGTCAGATCCTAACTGGTACCCACCAGAGGCAGGAGTCTTACTCAGAGATTAAGAAAGTTACATTTTGAGCGAGAAATTCTACTTCAAATTGCAAAGAAGAGCTCCAGTGTTACGAAGCCTGCCATAATAAACCTGGGCCTCTCCTCACCATCTACCTTTCCAGTCAAATTGTCAGAAGGCTTTATGACTCTTTCGGAATGAAAGAACCAGTATGGGCAATATTTTGGAGTTCTAACTGGGGATGGTTAAATAAGAAGCAGATGCACAGAACCATTAATCAAAACATTTACCACTCAATAACCACCCATAATGACAATTATTCTGAGCATTTTCCTTCCAAATAACTCAAAATAAGGCTGCCAAAATGCTGCCGACTCTGACAGTGGTGTTCATTACCCCAGCTGATGAAATCACAGTGCCAAATAGGACTGCAAACTAAATAGGTGGAGGTGTGGCTAGAATCATGAGTGGACATGTGGATTTATGAACTTTTCAGTGTTCAACCAAGGTACAGAAAGGAGCTTGTAACAATGACACCCCAGCTAAAGGGGACGTCTGTTCTGGGCCAGAGGGAGTGAAAAAGGGACAAAGTCTGGCGAGTGAAAAGGGGACAAAGTCTGGCAAGTGAAAACCAAGTAATAAATATGCACAATGCTAGAGCCCCTAGCCCAGGCCTTTTATTTCGCATCCAGATGGTTCAGCAGCTGAAGAGCTCTGCGGAATGTCTGCATGCCCCTCTCGGCTCAGCTGCTTTCCTTGAGAGGGCATCATAATAGATGCTTTTGGACCTGTGTGCAGACATAGCTGTTGGGGGTCCACAGACTAGGCAGTGACCACCAGTGACTCATTTACTTACTCTACAGCTGACGTGATGAACACCGACAAACCCCACTTGGGCAAAGCTCTCCATTTATGCCTTTAGCTTTCACCATTTGGCAAGTCGGAGCCTAATAACGCCAATGATCAAATTAAAGTGCTCTTTTTCTTCTTTCTTTTCTGCAAATACTTTAATTGGCTGCACAGATTTTCAGGCTCACCATATTGGACTACTTTCAGTATAAAAGGAAAGAGTGACAAGGATAAATTCAAGTTTAGTAAAAGCTCAATAGAAAAAGCAGTTGCAGCCATTTACGAGTTTATATAGGAGAATACTTCCGCCAAAAACCAGTGCTGCTTAGCAGCAAACTGATTACTGTCAGAATGCCTCCTCTCTGCTCAGTGTCTCACTTCTAGCTGGATACCAAAAGCACAACAATATCACTGTGAATGAAATCATGATACAAAAATATAACACGAAAGCTTAAATGCACAGGAAGAAAGTCACATTAAATACATTTGAAAAAATGGCTGGGAGCGGGGGCTCATGCCTGTAATCATAGCACTTTGGGAGGCTGAGGCAGGTGGATCACAAGGTCAGGAGATCGGGGCCATCCTGGCTAACACGTTGAAACCCTGTCTCTACTAAAAATACAAAAAAAAAAAAAAAAATAGCTAGGTGTGGTGGCGCACACCTGTAATCCCAGCTACTCGGGAGGCTGAGGCAGAAGTGTTGCTTGAACCTGGGAGGCAGAGGTTGCAGTGTGCCGAGATCATGCCATTGCACTCCAGCCCAGGAGAGAGCGAGAGACTCCGTATCAAAAAAAAAAAAAAAAAGAAAGAAAAAGAAAAATAACAACCTTTGTCAACTACACTATAATATTTAACTAAGGGAATCCTATCAGCGTTTATTCGAAAATGTAAGCAACCTTTATTATTTTACTATCCTGAAGGATGTAATAAACCCATGCTTTTGTTCAACCTAATAACTGGTAGATTACCCAATCAAGTAGTTAACTCAGGTTAGCTACAGGAAAAAAAAAACAAAAAACAAAAAACACAACAACAAAAAAACGCCATTAGCCTGGCACAATGTGCATTCAGTAACCTGTAATCAACTACTAAGTAAATTACAGAAGCAGAAAACAGAGCTGCATGTTTGTTACAAAAAAAAAAAAAAAGGAGAAAGCTTATAACAACTTCCACTTCTTAAGCCATATTGACTCACATTAATTTAGGATGCCTGAGGCTATGAGTATGGTACCCTGAGGTGTAAGTGAAGGTGATCTTCTCTTCTCACGTCTATGAACAATATTTTCCCAACTTTGTTTTTAAAGTGAGAATTAGGGTATAGATAGATGCTTTGTAATTTTTCCATCCAAAAGCTTGAATAAATGGTTAATTGCTGACTTAAATTGCAATAAAGAAGTGTCCTAATTTCAAACAAGGATGCTCACTTTCAGAATCTCATAATCTTTTCAAAATTCTATTTTATTCATAAATAGGATAAAAATCTTTTTGCAAGCTTCACTAAGTCTCTCCATAAGCCCCTGCCCAACAGATGCAAGTTCAATAGCTAGAATTCAAACCAGATAATTTATTGGCTTACAAATGAATTGGCATCTATAAAAATAAGCCTTCTAAAAAGGCTTCACGCTGTTTAAATCCTTCTAAAATGCTCTGGCTAAGCTTGCCCACCCTTTATCAATGTAAGACTGATAAAATGCATTTTCATTATCAACATAAAATGGAAGCATCAAGATAGTTGAAATGTTAGTTTAGAAAGTCATTTGCAGTGACATTTAAAACAATTTATTTGAACATTTGACTCATGATAAGAATACTGCCTATTACATTAAGATTGGCTGTTCAGAATTCACTGGAGCCCTATTCTCCCCCTCTGTGACAGTTAACATCTTTTGATATTAAGGGTCATTACACATCTAAAATGAAAAAGAAATAAGAAAAAAGAACCCCACGCCATTCTGAGCAAGTGCCTATTAAAATGACTGATCCTTGACATTTTAATGCAGACTGTATGATGGCTTCCTCTCTATTGCCCCCTGTGAAGCCTTTCCCTGTATTGGTAATAACTTTGCCGATGTCCAACCCTGTGGAACATTCATCCTACCTTTTCCCCACTCTGCAGAATGCTTCCCTCTAAAGAATCACCAGAGAACAGGGAAAATAAACAAATCTGCAAACAAATTCCCGGGCAGTTCACATCACCTCCCAAAGGACACTGACAATAGCTGAAGAGACCACAACACACAAACTCGTTTTTCAGCCAGCCTGTAATGTTCCTCCTATACACACTCTGGAAATCCTCAGCTCCCTTCAACTCCGGAGCAAGAGCCACCAATATTCCAGGTCAGCCACCTATATAATATGCTCACCACGAGAGAAGACTCAAGGTAAAATTAAACTGACAGAAAAAAGGAATTTTCCTTGTTAGATCATCAAGCCTCCGGAATCATGCAAACATGTGTGTATGTTATGGTGTTTACGGGGACCTAACTGAGAAACGTCGTGGTTCCAGGGGCTTCCCTCATGTGTCAGGATGGACTTTATCAGGATTCTCATCCTACAAAGCTACCATGTCAGTCACAAAAGACAACTACGCAATCTGTTTCGATGTAATAAATTCAGGAGTTGAGCTGTATGGCAAGCCCATCTTAGAAGTCCTCAACACCAGGAGAGGATCTGTCCTAGTTAGGAGCAGAAAGCAGATCTCATAATATCCAAGTTGTCTGGAAACATGATATATGGTAGGGCAGTCTTTCCAGCTCCCATTTTGTTGGTGCCTTCACCTCGGGTTGTCAGGGCTGGGGTTAGGGAAATTGCCTCTTTCCGTCTCTATCTCTTTTAACTTCGCAGCGAGAGCTGGAAGCAGTGACTGTTCCCATCACCTAGTGTCCTTCTGTCAGGGGCCGCTTCGGTAGCTACAGAAGCCTAGCCGCTGGAAGCTTCCTTCCCCGACACTCCATACCTCCATGCCACACCTTTTAGGCAATAACCAAATGTCATTTTGTTCTTTCCCCTTCTCCTGGGCATTATACTGGGAAACTGTTTACGCGCATCGACCCCGCACACCTCCAAAAATCTCCACTTTCCGGGCTCCAAGCAGCTCTCCGCTACTCAGACAGCCCAGGCTAACACCTCGGATTTCCCCATGCAGTTTCCTCTGCAGCGTCTCAATCACAAGGCTGTACGGGCGGCACATGCCAACGGAACCACCACCCCTTCTGCTCCCTCGGGGACTCAAGCCTGCTCTCGGTCAAAGCACAGAAGCGGCTTTCAGCTCCGGGCAGGCGGCCGGGGCGTCGGGGGTACTGGAAGTGCCCAAACCCAGCGGTGCTGCCGCGCGGGGAAGCGGAGGTGCGGCCGCAGGACAAGCGCGCCTCCCAAGTCCCTGGCCACCTGCGATGCGTCCTCAACTCGCCTGCCCATCGCCACTACCAGAAACCTCAGACAGCCCATTGTGTGGGCAGGCAGCGCGCTCCCCCGGCCCCGCCGCCCTCGCCTACCTTCTGTCGGTCTCTCCGGAGCGCCCGCACAGCCGGCAGCCCGCCTCCAGCGCTCTGCAAAGCGAAGGAGGACGCTTTGTTAGGGCTGGAGAAACGGGACAATACTTCGCAGCCGGCGCAGCGGTTCCGGGCGGGCGTCCTTCAAAAGGACGCGAATGGGGACCCGCGTGAGCGTCATTTCCATATGTAAGGGGCCAGCTCTTACAAAAGCGCGGCTCTCGGGGGCCGCGGGCTGCAGCGCGCATCCTCCCCGCCCCCGCCGGCCCGCCCCCGCCCGCGCAGCCCGCGCCTCCGGGACCGGCCCCTCCTCCCGCCTCCGAAGCAGCCCCGTCCCCGCCTCGTCCTCCCGCCCGGCCGCTGCTTCCTCCCGGCCCGCAGGGATTGCGCCCCGCTGGCCCCGGACCCCAAATGGGAAGCCCCCGAGTGATCCGGTGCCCAGTTCGCTCCGGGCTCTCAGGGCCTCGCCGACGGCGCGGGGGCAGCGCGAGGCCTCCGTGCACCCCCAGGCCGTGGGTCCGGGTCCCCGGGGTTGCGCCACTTACTGCGTCCCGGGGCTCAGGCGCCCGGCGCCGCCGCGGGAACCATGGCCGCTGGCGCACTCCGGGCTTGGCGGCGGCAGCGGGACGGCCGCGCCCAGCGCGCTCGGCTCCCGGCTCGGCCGCGGCCACCCGGAGCTCTGGACGCCGGGGAGGAAGGGCCGGGCCCGCGCGGGGAGGAGGAGTCAGGGCGACGCCGGCCCCGGCGCGGCTCCTCCTCTGCGGCCCGCGCGGCTCAGGCAGCGGAGGGAGGAGCGGGCGGCGCCGCCTGAGCCCTCGCAGACGCGCCCTCCCGCTCCGAGCGCCCGCCTCCGAGATCTGAAGTTAGAAACGCCGGGGCTCCGGGTGCGGGTGTAGGAGGCTGGCGCCCCGAGGTCGCCACCGAGCTGGGGCTGGCGCTGCCACCCTCGCCCCTTGCCTGTCCGCCTCCCTTTCTTTCCCAACACGCCTACACTCACCCGCACCGCGGACACTCGGGCCGCAGCGTCTTCGCGCAGAGGAAGGGCCCCCGCCTTCAGCAAGCGGGACTTTAAGGGGGTGATTTCCCAGCCCTCGGGTGTCGATTGGCCATCAACATTGGAAAGGGTGTTCAGGAGGCAGAAGGGCTGTAGAAGTGACTCGGAACCCTGTAGAGCGAGCGCGACCCTCCTGCCGGGTCTACACTGGCTTCCGCACCTGCCCACCACGTCCTCACAGGCTCCCGCCCCTGTGCAGCCTTCTCCGGGTGAAGCTAACCCTCGGTCGCAAGCCACACAGGACGAAAACTCCTTGGAGTTGGTGGTTCCCAGCCCAACAGTTGCTCGATATTAATCGCCTCCTACCTACTACCCCAGAGTCTGCGTTCTCACTCCCCCATCCCTACACTTCTGATCTCATTGCAGTCAAATAGGATCCCAAGTCCAGGCCATGGTTCTTTTTGAGCTGCAGGGTTAAATGTGTTGCCCTTGAAGGATCCGCCTGATGGATTACAACCCACAAGTCTGGTTATTTTAGCAGGAAACTGGTGATTCCTTTTCTACCGAGAAAGCAAGCAACAGACAAGAGGAAACCAGCATTCCTTGAGAATCCAGTGCGCTAGAAACTCGACAGAAATTATCTTATCTAATTCTCACATCACTCTTAGGAGGCAGACATTATTTTGCAGATGAGGAAAATGGATCTCCCAGAAGTCAAAGAGCTTCCTCAGGATCACACAGCAGGAACTCCACAGAACTGAGATTCAAAAGCAGATCACATATGTGGCAAAATTGCATAGAACTGAATATACACTCACAAATGAGAGCACGTGAAACTCATGAAATTTGAATAAGACATTTGGACTACACTAATGTCCATTTACTGATTGTAATATTGTTCTACAGTTATGCAAAATGTTACCATTGAGAAAAATTAAGTGAAGCGTCTATAGGGAATCTCTCTATTATTCCTTACAACTTCAAGCGAATTTACAGTTACCTCAAAAAATTTTTTTAAAAATTTTAAACATCTCAGTCTTATTCAAAAGCCCAGGCTCTCTTCTTTCAACACGGTATATAAGCGTGCCTGCAGAATAAGAGAGATTTATGCTCCTCTCTCCTTTTTAAACAGTCTTGAATAAGTACACATACACACACAAACACACACTCATACACTGTATGCATGGTTGTTCAGTCATCCAGTAATATGATACAACACACACACACACACACGCAGTTCATTAAGAGGATAGCTAACCTGTTACCAGAATACTTACATAGAGGTCATCTTGTAAGACAGACAATAATGCTCACTGGGCACTAAAACAGCCAACAGTCTTGGAAGGTAAGAATGAAGAGGTGTCTTTCTTGTTTCACCTAATCTCTGCCATGGAAGCCTCATCCTACTGGTTACCTCTCCAAGCATCGCTTTTTAACCTGCAAGAATCCTTAAGGATGATATTGATCATTAGTTTAAAACAGTGATTCCTGGGGGTCAGGGGATATTGGAAGTGGCATTCACTCCCTGTGCAGGAAGATCAGAATTGCTGGGGGTTGTGTAATTTGAAAAACACAAGATGCGCTTTCTTGAGAGGAGTAAGTGGGGTGGAGTTAGCCCTGGGACTGGGAACTGGGATCACCTCCAGCCTTGCTACAAAGGAGGGAAAGCATGGAGCATGGTTACCGCGTGGTGTGGGTTGGCAAGAGCAACTCTACCAAGAAAGATGATTTATTTAACACAATGGGCCTGCAGTTTGGTTTGCACTGAGCACATGGTTAGTCTTAGTCCAAACTGGAGTCATGGGAAAAAAAAGCAGAGACTTCCTTTAGAGCCCATTACTTGATCTTTTCTCTGTTAAACACAAAATAACAGCAGAAGTAGCAACCAGGCTCCAGTTCTACATTATAACCAATATAAGAGAGAAAAGAAGAAATGTAAATATTTATTCAGAGTTATCACCCTTTACAAACAAAACTTCACTCTTATCTGTTGCAGCTTATCTGACTCTGATTTTTACTCTCACTTTACAAAGAACCTTGTTCAAGGACCTAGGATCCTTGAAGTATTTGTACGTGAAGTTTTTGAAGGGTTTTCTGCCATATTTCACAGTACGGAACTGGCTTTCTCAGATGGTTAAAGCTCTAAAACGTTAACTAAAGAATAATCCAGGGAAGAGAAAGTTACTCTTTGTTTCTTTTCTTTCTTTTTATTTATTTATTTATTTATTTTTTGAGATGGAGTCTTACTGTGTCGCCCAGGCTGGAGTGCAGTGGTGCAATCTTGTCTCACTGAAACCTCCACCTCCTGGCCTCCTGCGTTCAAGCGATTCTTCTGACTCATCCTCCCAAGTAGCTGGGATTACAGATGTGCACAACCACATCTGGCTAATTTTTGAATTTTTAGTAGAGACAAGGTTTCACCATGTTGGTCAAGCTGGTCTTGAATTCCTGACCTCAAGTGATCCTGCCTCGGCCTCCCAAAGTGCTGGGATTACAGGCGTGAGCCACCACGCCTGGCCTACTCTTTGTTTCTTCTTGAAGTAATTTTGAAATTATCAGTTTAGAGTCAAGACGACAAATGAGAGAGAGAGAGAAAAAGAGAGAGAAAAAGTCAGGCTTTGTAAATTTCCTGGAACCTGAAAAGTTATTTTTTTTTTTCTTAGCCAAAAAAAGGCTCTAACCAAACATAGTCTACCCTCTCCCAACTCACAGTTGGGTATAAACTATTTTTTATTCACAGAATAGTCAAACAGCCTGTCACTCATGTAGCAACTCCTGGCTCCTTCTAAACTTCTTTAATCGATATCTTTCTTATTTCTGTGACCATTTGAACTCAGCAGGACAGTTTTCAGGCAAGTTGCAGAGCTGTGTCAAAGACAGCCAGATTGTTAAAGTAGATGATCAGTTATAGTTTGGCCCAGGAACTCACTCGGTGAAAGAAAGGGACATCAATGATCTCCCCAAGGCCCTAAGGAAAATGAATGAGGAAAGGAAAAAGGGAGAAATTTGAGTTCCAGACATACAAGTCAGGGACTTAAGAGTTCCAGCAGCAAAATGTTGGTGGTTAAGAACCCAGGAAGAAAGAGGAAAAGTATAGGAAAGGGAAGGGAAGGTGACAGAAGGCAAACTGATTTACACTTTTGCCCCTGGGGGACACCTATTAGAAATTAGGATTCTCTATTCATTTTCCTTATGAAGAAAATGAAAGAAGAGGAAACCAGGATTCCATACAATTTATTTTTTTAAAGTAAGCATTGATTGCCTACCCTGTGCCTAATACTGTCCTGAAAGTCACACAATGTTCAAAATAAACATCAGGCTGGGCATGGTGGCTCACACCTGTAATCCCAACATTTCTGGGGGCTAAGGTGGGTGGATGGCTTGAGCTCAGGAGTTCAAGACCAGCCTGGGCAACACAGTGAGACCCCCCTTCTCTACTCCTCTTTTTTTATTAGCCAGGCTGGGTAGCACGTGCCTCTGGTCCCAACTTCTCAGGAGACTGACATAGGAGCATCGATTGAGCCCAGGAGGTCAAGGCTGCAGTGAACAACGATTACACCACTGCACTTTAGCCTGGTGACAGAGTGAGAACCTGTCTCAAACAAAACAAAATGAAGTAACAATCAACCTTGGTTCTTACCCTTGAGGAATGCATCATTCTCTTTTGGGAAGGTAAAAATATGCACTCATGAGACAGTAAAGGAGTGATGTTAGGTGGCATTGGACTCTAATTACATTCTCCAGTTGGGGGACATACACACGCTACAGCATGGGAAGAAGAGAGCAATGATTTCCCTAAAACGTGGCTTCCATTTGATCATTCTGACCATTGCTTTTCACTTCAGGTCCTAGATCTTTTTCCTGACATTCAAGGTCCTTCCTGATCAATGCAAAGGTATGTATCCTCAGTGTCTGCAGGAAACCTACCCTCCCTCCACTCTGCTCATGTGGACCTTCTAATCTTCCCTCTGCTGCTCTTTCAGCCCAGATCATCAGTCCTCATGTGTATTGAATGCCTTGTCTCTCTGTTCATTGTTTGGCGCAGCAACTGAAGCATAGCAGGAAGTGGTTATTGCACATGTGTCTTTTGGATCCCATGGGCTGAGCACTTAGGTACTTTCCAAATACTTGGCATTCACGTGGAGAAGAGATGTTGCATATGTATACATGGGATGGGTGGGTGGGGGGTTGATCTTTACTTTTGGAATTATCCCTTTTCATGTGGCTGGATGCTGGCAATGGTCTACTGTTTTAAAGACTGCAAGTGCCAAAGGACTGCCACTGTAGCTTCATTTGAAGGGGGGAGGAAATGAAATGTTACTTTAAGAAACATTGGCGTTTGCACCCTCATTCACTCTTCTTTTAAATTTTATTTTTATTTATTTTTTTCATTTTTGGGGGTGGAGTCTTACTCTGTCACCCAGGCGGGAGAGCAGTGGTGGCATAATCTCAGCTCCTCCACTGCAACCTCTGCCTCCCAGGTTCGAGCAATTCTCCTGCCTCAGCCTACCAAGTAGCTGGGATTACAAGCACACGCCACCACACACAGCTAATTTTTGTATTTTTAGTAGAGATGGGGTTTCGCCATGTTGGCTAGGTTGGTCTTGAACTCCTGACCTCAGCTGATCAGCCCATGTCGGCCTCCCAAAGTGCTGGGATTACAGGAGTGAACCACCACGCCTGGCCCCTCCCTCATACGCTCTTAAACACTTAACAAATATGACATGAAATCTTTACTTTTTTGTTAGAATAGTTTTGAATGGAAAATTAAACATTTTTCCCCAAGCAAGACTACTTTGAATTCTCTAGAGTTTGATGTGCACACAAAAGAAATGGCAACCCAGAACCATACATTTTAAAACATTTCTGTTCAGTAGAAATATAATGTGAGCCACACATGTAGTTCAAAATTTTCTAGCAGCCACATTTAAGAAACATGTAAAATTAATTTTTAGATTTTATGTAACCCAATATACCCCAAAATATGATCACTTCAACATGTAATCAACATAAAAAGTAGTAATGGGATATTTTACATTTGTTTTTGTTCTAAGCCTTTGAAACCTGGTGTGTGCTTGGCACTTGCAGCACATCTCAGTTCAGACCAGCCACACGGGGCTACTGGCTGCCACAAACGCAGTGTCAGAACAAGAAGAGGATTCGGAATCTGTCCAGCCCAACTCCATTATGGTTAAAGGAAAGCTGTGTTCAGGAAGGTCTGCTGCCCCGCTCAGGATCACACAGTGGATGCATGACAGCCTTAGGCCTGACCTGTCCACCTCAGCACTCGCCTACTGAGAGGGCTCATGGCTGACTCAGACAGCTGCCATGGAATGAAACCCAGTGTTTACTAACATTTTTAAACAATCACCATCCTCTAAGTCATTGGCCCCTCAAAATATGGTTAGACATACAATTTCTAAAGAAAATAGCCCAATATATACTATTTTGTTTTCTTTTTTCCCTTTCTTTCTTTGTTTCTTTTCTTCTTTCTTTATCTTTCTTTCTTTCTTTTTTTTTTTTTTGAAACAGAATCTCATTCTGTTGCCTAGGCTGGAGTGCAGCAGTGCAATCTCGGCTCACTGCAACCTCCGCCTCCCAGTTTCAAGCGATTCTCCTGCCTCAGCCTCCAAAGTAGCTGGGACTACCTCGCCCAGCTAATTGTCGTTGTTGTTGTTGTTGTTGTTGAGACGGAGTTTCACTCTTATTGCCCGGGCTGGAATGCAATGGCGCAATCTTGTCTCACCGCAACCTCTGCCTCCTGCGTTCAAGCGATTCTCCTGCCTCAGCCTCCCATAATTTTTGTATTTTTAGGTACAGACAGGGTTTCACCATGTTGGCCAGACTGGTCTCAAACTCGACCTCAAGTGATCCGCCCACCCCAACCTCCAAAAGTGCTGAGATTACAGGCGTGAGCCACCGCACCTGGCCCCAGTATATACTATTTTAATACTTAGAAATGACAACCCCGTAGGCCGTTTGTTAAAGCACACCCCACCCGTTTTTGACTCAGCTGTATTGGCATCTGAAGGGTACCAGCAGAGGGAGGGTTGGAGGCCAAGAAGGCAGTAGCTGCTGGGCCTTGCCCGTCCTCCAGGAATGCGTGGAAGGAGTGCTTCTCCGTCCTCCATCCTCCATCCCACCCACATCAGCTCCTGCCAGCATCCCAAGGACCCAAGCTGTCTGCCATGATTAGTATCAAAGGCCTTAAAATAACTGAGTGACCTTTTTTTTCCACTCTACACACTTTGTAGTGCTTTATATTCTGAATCAAGCCAAAGCCAAAATCCAAGAAAAGTGACCATTTCAAAAACAGAAAATGAGCCCACTAGGAAGAGAGCATTGCTTTCAATAATGAGAACATTTGGGAGTAAACTGAATAATGAGGACATCTTTGCACCTGGACTGATGAGAAAACGATTAGATAGGGCATTACAAAAAGCAACATAAAGATCTTTGATTTGCATTTGTTGTCAACTGTGAGAGAATGGGTATAATTCTCTAAAGACGTAGTTTAGACCTCTTTGTACTAAAATATAAAGTCAAAGTGATGATAAATCTTATGGCAGTGGGCTCTGTGAGTCATGTTTCACTCTACATAAAATGTCTTAGAGGCTGAAGTGCTGGGGCTATCCTGATACCCAAATGCCATACTCAGACTTAAATAAAAATGTATTTTGTCACTTGATTTTTGATGTCCCCTTCTCACACATCATGCAGCCTATCTCTGGGTCCCTCAATGTGCAAACAAATAATATAGAAGGAGACAAGGTCAGCAGAGAGAAAAGTAGTGTTTATTTAGGTGTATCTGGTCACAGGTCAAGATCAAGAACCAGCCAAACTGTGTGTGTGTAAGATAGGTAGGCAAGTGTGCTGCTGGAAAGCTTCTGTTTGTCCCTTCAGATCCTCTCCCTACTCTTCTCCACCTGCTGTGTGCCCCAAGAGGCTAACCCTAGATGTACTACATTAACAGGCTCCCTCAAGCCCTAGTTCCCATTATGTTCAGCTGATGGGGTAGCGCTGACAAGATTGGAGGCAAGATGGAGCATAAGGTTGGTGCTAACTCCTTGCAGGGTCTCTGCAGGCTGGCTGCAACCTGTAAAGTCACAGCTCCTGTCTCACAGCCTCTCCACACATTTCTGTCACCAGCTTGCAAAGCCACACTCTCCTTTTACCAGTGAGGCCTAGAGTTGGCAATGGCACATCCTGGTCCTAGCTTCCAGGTGGGCACTTATCCTTGTCTCTCTGAACCCAGTCCACACCTTTGGAAATAGTCCCTTTATTACTACTCTTTCTCCAAATACCTACTTTGACTTTATCCACTATTTCCTTCTGAGACTTTGATTGATAAAGTAGGCACGCATATGTTCCTTGTTCTAGAAAGAATTTCTGTTTTCTTTATTAGCAGGATACTCGAACTTTTCCATTGCCCAGAATCATCACAGGTCAGTTTCCCAGAAGCAGATCCCAAGACGAGAATTTGTACATGAGTTATATGAAAGATGTGTTACAGGAGAGACCTCCAAGGGGGTATGTGGGGAGGCAGGAGCAACACAGGGAAAGAAGGAGGGAAAAAGCCAAGTGCAAGTGTTATTCAGGCAGAGTCCCAGTCTCAGCCTATTGCTGACTGGAGCTCTGGAGCATATATTACACCTCAGAATTTTCCCAGACTTGATTCGGGGGAGCTGGGCTTTCAATTTCCTGTACCAGTGACTCATTGGCTGTGGGCATCTCAGGGCCACAGTAAGCTCCCAGGCACTTTCAGTTCTCTGTGCAAACAGGTGAAATTCAGTAGTTCAAGGGCAACCCTCTGAAGATAGTTGCAGAAGCTAATCATTAGAAAGCAAAATACACTGAAGCTGGGGTGTGGGCACACAGAACCAGCAAAAGAGATTCAAGGTCATCCAGGCAGAGCACCATCAATTTATGCCTCACATGTATCTCCTGGAATTTGAAAGTATCTAGGGAGGGGAGATACACTGAGTATCAGTTGACTATCAATTAATTATCAATTAACAACAGAATTATTGGAAGACAGGAAAGAGTTATCTCCGATGCTAAGGGAACGCACCCTTTGAAAAAGCACTGCATATTAATCAAATGGTATTTGCTTCCAATGGACTCAGTTAATATACTTTTAGTAAAAATCAAATCAGGGTCCATAGGCTTTTTAAAAGGCAGAGGCATCTGTTGGAATCTTAGCTACCAGATGCAGGTATGTTCCATGGTATGTGTGCATGTGGTTGGTGGTGGTGGTTGCGGGGAGAGAGGGTATCAACACTTGCCATTTTCCTCTGAAGCTTCTAACACTTGGAAATTTGTCACAGAAGATTTTCTCATCTGCAGTTCAAATACTTCTCAGCAGGAATTTAGCTGAAGTTGAAATCACCATCTGGCATCTCATATTGAACCAGGTTCTTTGTGTGCCAAGAGCTTCTTCTTTTGGCAATGACGTTGACTGTGATCTTTCAAAAATGTTTCTTGGGTTGGCATTCTTGACTGAACAGAACAAGCAGCCTGTCTTGGAATTTAGGAAGAGATGTGCTGAGCAAGTTTTTGTCCCAGGAATAAAAGTGCGAGGTGAAAAGTTGAAGATTTGAGGTTTTGAATCTCCAGAATTCACGTTTTATTGTCGTTGACCTAAAACCAGCTAGGGAAAAAAAATCCTGCAAAACGATTAGTAGAAGCAAAATGTTGCACAAGGAATATTCCATTTGAATCAATAAATCCTATTTAAGCAATTTCCAGGTGCAAAGTGATATCCTGCCTGCTGTAGGGACATGAGGATGACTAAGATGCAGTCTTTGCTCTTAAGTACTTCAGCATCCACTGGCTGGAGGCAGGGGATGACAGTGCATGATTAGGTGGATACAAGGCAGACTATACTAAGAAGCATAGCTGACATCGTCAGCCTCCTCCCAGGTACTCTGGGATGTCTTTTACCATTTCTGTGTGTTCTTCCATCCACTCTGAAGTGCTTTTGCTGCCATTGGCCTGCACCTGCGACTCTCTTTTGGTGGCTGCCCTTGGGCTGCTGTGTACAAATGCATGCAGAGAGCAAGAAGTGCTTGGGAACTGAATCTCTAGCTAGTGACTGCTCAGTGTGGGAGAAAGCAAGCTCAGCTCCCTTGTCTTAGAGAAGGACATCAATTAATGTCCAGAGTTCCCCTATGGAATTGAGCTGGGCTACTCGCCTTGGGACTTTCACCAAATTTCTCACCCTTGCTTGGTCTCTTTCTCTTCCCTGTCTTACTTCCCTCATTCACTTGCCAGACTCTTTGGGGAGCATTCCCTTAACAAAACCCTTCCCTACAAATCCTCCTCTCATGAACTGCTTCTGGGAACCCAATAAGGGGCACAATAGGAATCTGAACAGAATGCTATGGGAGCACAGAAAGGAGGGATTAGTTCTGCCTGGAGAACAAGGAAGTTTACGTAAAAGGAGAGAGCATTTGAGCAAGGCCTTGAGACGTAATTTGGAATTTGCCAGACAGATAGAATTAAGAAATGTCATGATAAATCTGGGGGAAAATACGTTTATGAAGGAATAATCAAGGTAATGATGACGAGTGATAGGAGATGAGGTTGCTAGAGTTGGTTGGGATGAACTGAAGAAGAGTCTTCAATGCCATTAAAGAGTTTGACTTTTAAAATCTAAAAAAATGGCAATAGTAAGCCATTGTAGGTTTTTGAGCAGGGGAGAAATATGATAAATCTTTTGGGAAAATAATTGAACAAAAATACAAAAGATGGAGAATATACAAAAGATGTGTTGGAGAATAAGAGACAAATAGTGGAAGCCAGTTTGAGGGTCATTGCAATATTCTAAGAGGGGATGATGAAGGCCTGACTTAGAGTCCTTGACATGAGAATGAAAAGAAAATGGCAGCTCCAGAGATTGAACAATTGTACTTGGCAGCTAACCGGATATATGAGGCAATAACGTGAGAAGTCAAATGTGGCTGAGGTGTTGGTCTGGATCACAGTGGATAATGGTGCCATCAACCAAGAGAGAAGACAGGAGGAGAAAGTCAGGCTGAAGAAAAGTCAATGAATTCATTTTTGAAAAAAAAAAAAAAAAATCCCCAATGACTCAAATACATTTGAATGGAATCAAAGTAATCTGAGAATGAAGAACAAACAAAAAAAGTCAGAATATTTGGATACTCATGAAGTTCTTGTTCAATTGTAGAACAAAAGCCTGGGCACAGTGGCTCAGGCCTGTAATCCCAGCACTTTGGGAGGCTGAGGCAGGAGGATTGCTTAAGCCAGGAGTTTGAGTCCAGCCTGAGCAACGTAGTGAGACCTCATCTCTACAGGAAAAAAAAAAAGCCAGGTGTGGTGGTGCACACCTGTGGTCCCAGCTACTTGGGAGGCTGAGGTGGGAGGATCCTGTGAGTCTGGGAGGTTGAGGCTGCAGTGAGCAGAACTGTGCCACTGCACTCCAGCCTGGGTGACAAAATGAGATGCTGACTCTTAAAAAAAACATTAGAACAAAAAGATCCTTTTAAAAATTAGCTTTCTAAGGCCGGGCACGGTGGCTCACGACTGTAATCCTAGCACTTTGGGAGGCCAAGGCAGGCGGATCACGAGGTCAGGAGATCGAGACCATCCTGGCTAACATGGTGAAACCCCGTCTCTACTAAAAATACAAAAAAATTAGCCGGGCACAGTGGTGGGCACCTATAGTCCCAGCTACTCGGGAGGCTGAGGCAGGAGAATGGCGTGAACCCGGAAGGTGGAGCTTGCAGTCAGCCGAGATTGCGCCACTGCACTCCAGCCTGGGTGACAGAGTGAGACTCCGTCTCAAAAAAAAAAAAAAAAAAAAAAAAAAGCTTTCTAGACAGGAATCAAAACGACGAAATTAACAACAGAAACCTGGACATCCTATAAGAATAGGAACACTTAGAATTCCGAATCCAATGCTTCAGTTTCATCATGATTGTACTTTGCTTATTGAAAGTAGAGTGAGGAGTCTCTACGGTCTAAGGATTGAATCTAAAATGTTAAATCTGTATGGCTGTTTGAAGCCATCTTTGAAAGCAGAGTCCTATGACAATAGTGCTGAAATCAAGAAGAAAAAATAGTGCTTTTAGTGTTTACAGACTATTATCTGTGTAATGTGACCAGTTTTTGTAGAGGGGCTTTGGAGTAATAGTCCCATCAATGGACAGTGGTCATTTCCCAGCCTTTAATTATTTCTGTTCATTTGCTTATGGCTATGGCTCTGCATTGATTTTTCTTTCTTCTTTTTGAGACAGTCTTTTATTTTTATTTTTATTTTTTGAGACAGAGTCTCTGTCACCCAGGCTGGAGTGCAGTGGCACAATCTCAGCTCACTGCAACCTCCGCCTCCCGGGTTCAAGTGATTCTCCTGCCTCAGCCTCCTGAGTAGCTGGGGTTACAGGCGTGCACCACCATGCCTGGCTAATTTTTGTATTTGTAGTAGAGACAGGGTTTCACCATTTTGGCCAGGCTGGTCTTGAACTCCTGACCTCAAGTGATCTGCCCGCCTTGGCCTCCCAAAGTGCTGAGATTACAGGCATGAACCACCGCACCCAGCCTGCACTGATTTTTACAAAAATCAATTTGCCCATGTGAGAATTGGCATCCCTGCCTTGCCTTGACATTTTAAGCAGCACACAATTAGAAGAAAAAGCACAAGTCCAAATTGTTAAAAAATGTTTTAGTTTGAGGAAAAGTCTACTTCATACAAGACACATTGTTTCAAAAGCCAAATGAATTAGGGCAGCAGAGAGGACTTGCTACTCTGTAACAATGTTACATTTAAATTCTCTTTGAGAACACTTAATGCTTAGAGCCTCTACCACTTCCTCCTATCCTAGGCAAGAGGTAGATTTAAGAAGTCAAGTTATGCATGAAAATAATGGAGGAAGAGAAGGTAAGAGAAATAGAAAGCAAGAGAAAGAGGTCATTGCTTGTGTTTATTCGTTCAATCACTTCTTGCTGCCCTTCTTTCTTTCATCCTTCCCCCTGTCTCTCCCTTCCTCTCCTACTTCCAGGAATGATTGAATACATACTGTGTGCCAGGGACTGTACTGGAAGCTAGAGATACCACACTAAACAAGTTAAACATACACGATCTCTACTCTCATAGAATGTAAGTCTATCATACTTGATTTCAGATTCTATGTGTAAATAAAAGATTATCACTTTTTCTTCACCCTTGTTCTCTCTCTCCCCTTCCTATTGTATATTAAAGCATATTGGGTTCACCCATTTGTTGGGCAAATGTCCTAAACATAACCCAATTAGGCTGCCTTCATCTGAAATCCAACTCTCCCACTTAATAGTTATGTACGTTTGGTCAAGGACTTGTTGACTTTCCATCTCTTCATTTATAAAACATACTTAATAATAACACATGCCTCATAGGATGTTGTGAATATTAAAGAGTCAATTCATTTAGAATTTAGAATGGGCTCTTGGACACAGTGAGTTATCAATTGATTTTAGCCACTACTGTTTTATATTATGCACAGGAATAAAAAGATGAAACAGATTATATTTTCAAGGAGCTTACAGTCTTGCAGGTGGAGACAGACAGGTACACAGATAAAGGCAATAAAGCATGGTAAGTGTGATGGGTGAAATGATGAAGAATGTAGACTCTAGTCAGGGGGCCACAGAGAAGGGAGTGGTGAATTCTTTTGGTCAACTCTTTTGAGACGGATGTAATATCAACCCAAAGTAGTTTCTTATTTCCCTGACCCTTTGGTAAATGATCCTTCCCTATTAAATGCCTGTTTTGACTGCTTTATTTGTCCATAATTGTTCCACTGTAAATTAATTACGTAAGCACAAATGAAGGCTTTTCACTAATGGACATTGTGGTCCCTCTTTATTTACACTCTGAAAAAAGGACCTTCCCATAATTGGTGAAATAAGGTTACATTTGCCTGATTCTTATGCTCAGCGCCATATTTCTTATAGAAAACAGAGTTGCTCCTACAAAGGGAATACAGGTCTTTTCTTACCCCAGAAGGTAGTCAAGGTAGTCTTATTCCTTTTGCCAATGACTGGCTAAGTCATGGACATATGATTTCATTGCAGCTAATGGGACCCAAAAGGAAGTAAGCTGGGGTTCTGAGAAGGATTTTCTCAAAACTGCAAGAGTAGTTTTGTGATGAGTCACGTGATTAACTGTGATGAGTTTTGGGATGAGACCCTGGAATAAGTGCTGGACACAGTGCCTGAATCAGACTGTGGAAATATTAATGTATTTTATTTTTACTTATTTATTTATTTATTTATTTATTTTAGAGACATGGTCTCACTCTGTTGCCCAGGCTGCAGTGCAGTGGCACTATCACAGCTCACTGCAGCCTTGAATCCTGGGCTCCAGCCATCCTCCCACCTCGGCCTCCCAAAGTGCTGGAATTATGGGCATGAGCCACCACTCCTGGCCTAATTTTTAAATTAAAAACAAAAAAAAAACAAAACAAAACAATATGAGACTAATGGAGGAAACGCTACTACCCTTCTCTGGATATCGCTGGTCTACCCGTGATGCCCGGCACTGCTGCAACCATCTTGGAACTATGAAGGGAGATATTGCCGGCATCTTAAGGATGGTAAAGTAGAAAGATGGAAGTAAAGTGCATCCCTGAAGGCATCTTTGAGATGCCAAATTTACCTCCTTGGGCCTTGATCCACCTCCAGACTTTTTGTTGTGTGAGAAAATAACCCCTCAATTATTTAAGCCACTTTTAGATGGGTTTTTTGCTTTCAGTCAAATCTTTCCTACAGAAGCCTGTATTATTGTCTCCAAATATTTGGGGCACTTCCCTGCAGGAAGATTGTACATACTCTCCCTTTTAAGCCCAGGCCTGGCCATGTGACTTGTTCTGACCAATAAAACATGAGTAGTGTGATGGGCCATTTCCAGGTAAAAGCTTCAAGAGTCAATATGTGGTTTGACGTGCTTCCTTTCCCCTGACCCTGTGATCGGGGAAGCATGCTGAGGTGGAATCTCCTTTAGCCTTGTTTCTCTATGACTATGATAAGCAGGGCTTTCTTGTCCCTCCCACAACGGACAAGTGGAATGGACAAGAAATAAACTTGATCATTGTTGCTGCTGAAATGTGTTGTTCTTGTTATCACAGATAAATGCAGTCTATATTGACTAGGAGACATCCTAAAATTTGTAGTACTAAAAACAATGAAGTGAAGGCAAGAGCTTGAGATGCAGGACCTTAACCCTGAGTTGCCAGGAAACTGATTGGGAGCAGTATATGTCAACGACTGAACAGATATTGGAAAGGACAGACTCATCTCTACCCACGCCATACACTTCCTGGTTAGTGAAATGAGCCTTGGAACAGTAAGTAATTTAATCCAAATTATGCTTTGAAAATGGCTTCACTTCAATGCATTATTCAGAGTAAATTAATCACAACTTATTAAGTGTCTCTTCAGTATCTCTGACAGTCACCTCATCACTTTGCCCCACTAACTTTTTTTTTTTTTTAATATAATGACCTTTCTATGCATTACCTTTACAACCCACTCAACGGACACCTACCTAGGGGCTTTTGGTAATGGCTTAGTGATCACGTGCACAAATATTAAATGAGGGTGATGTGTCAGTCGTTGGGACAAGAGAATGATGATGATGAGATAGATAGCTAATATTTATATAGCACTTGTTGTATACCAGGTTTTATTCTAAACACCTTGCATATAGTAATTCCCTTAGTCCTCACCTATAATGAGGCTGGCATTATGATTATCTCTCTTTTATGGATGAGGAAACAGAGGCACAGAAATATTAAATAGCTTGCCCGAGGTAATGCGACTAAAATGTAGTGACACTCGGATTCCACTCCAGGCAATTTGGCTCCAGAGTTGTGTTCTAACTCTGATGATTAACCAAGCGGGGAGAGGGTTGTTCTTGGGGCAGCAGTTCTTGGAGAAACAGTTCTCTGTGGGGCCAGAAGTTAACAGTCTCATTGAGCTCCACCTGACTTGAATCCTAGCTGGGTGTTGTCTCACAATTTGCAAAACATGTCTATGAACTGTTTTCCTCAGCCATAGGCTGATGCTACTAATAGTTCTGTTCTCTGAGAGTGGCGAACAGTTAAGTAAATGAATCATGTAAAAGTCCCAGTATTGAGCTGGGCCCTGATTACTGTCGACTCCATGTTACTGGGGCTGCTGGAGGTTTACGGAGTAGACCCTCAGAGGTGCAGAAGTCTTGGGCATGCAAAGAGTCATGCACAAGTATGAAAAGAATTTCTCTAGGAGCCTGTAGGAGGGTATGAATCATAAGGCCTGGGAACAGTTAGCTGGAGAGTTACTTCTGGGCTTTGCAGACACAGCAGTGACTGAGATGCACTTGGTGCCCTGGAACGGATGGCTGGGTAAGCCATTTGGACCAACTGTGATTTAAAAAGGGTAGGCCAGGTGCGGTGGCTCATGCCTGCAGT
Organism: Homo sapiens; assembly: GCF_000001405.40. Taxonomy (NCBI): domain Eukaryota; kingdom Metazoa; phylum Chordata; class Mammalia; order Primates; family Hominidae; genus Homo; species Homo sapiens. Next base: position 50,846,904 of record NC_000014.9, read on the forward strand.
CCCAGCATTTTGGGAGGTCAAGGCAGTTGGATCACAAGGTCAGGAGTTCAAAACCAGCCTGGCCAACATGGCGAAACCCCGTCTCTACTAAAAATACAAAAAATTAGCTGGACATTGTGTCGCGCTCCTGTAATCCCAGCTACTCGGGATGCTGAGGCAGGGGAATCGCTTGAACCCGGGAGGTTGCAGTGAGTCAAGATTGCACCATTGCACTGTAGCCTGGGTGACAGGGTGAGACTCCATATGAAAAAAAAAAAAAAAGAAAAAAAAAGAAAAAATTAGCTGGGCATGGTGAAGAGCACCTGTAGTCCCAGCTACTTGGGAGTCTGAGGCAGGAGAATCTCTTGAATCCAGGAGATGGAGGTTGCAATGAGCAGAGATCGTGCCACCGCACTCCAGCCTGGGCGACAGTGAGACTCTGTATCAAAAAAAAAAAAAAAGGGTTGGGAGAATTTTTCTGAGGCACAAGATGGGTATGTGGATGTACATATGAGTAGGGAAGTGAGGGAAAGGGGCTTGGATCTAAAGTTGTTTCAGAAAAGCTTTGGAAATGTAGCTCAAGAGAGATAACATTTAGGGAAACTGAAATGATCTACCAGCAAGTCGTATAGGTTGTATCTCTAAAATATATTTTAAATCTGAACACTTCTCACCATCCCCACGGTGAGCACTGCTAGCACCTTCCCTAAGGTCGCCATAGTGTCTCCCTAGGCGCCTGTGTTAGTCTCCTAACGGTCTCCCTGCTTCCATTCTTGTCCCTTCCTTTACAGCAAAAAGTCAAACTGTTTTTTCTCTACTCACACTCAACACAGAACACTTCTGGTCACAATGATATGTGAATTTTTCCCCACCAACAACCAATTCTCCAAATACCAGCTGAGTGTCCTACAATTCAGGTCAATTCTGCCACTAACTGGAGTTAGTGCAGATCTCCAAGTTCCCTATGGCACAAATCCACAAGACTGCCCCCCACTTCAGATGCCAATTGCAAGTCATAGGTTGCCAAGTTCTGCACAACTTGGCTGCAAATCAGAGGCTCCAGTGACCCCCTTCTGGGGTTCAATAATTTGCAAGAACAGCTCACAGAATCCAGGAAAACAGCTTACTTACCATTGTCTATTTATTACAAAGGATATTTTAAAGGATAAAATGAGCAGCCAGATGAAGACTTACATGGGCAAAGTTCAGAAGCGTCCTGAGTGCAGGAGCTTCTATCCCTGTGGAGCTGGGGTGCGTTACCTTCTCGGTAAGTGGATGGGTTCACCCACCTGGAAACTTGCCCAACCTCTTAGTTCAAGGATTTTTATGGAGGATTCATCATGAAGGCATGATGGATTGCTAACTCAATCTCCATCCCTTCTCCCATTCCTAGAGTCTAAAGGGTAGGGCTGAAAGTTGCAAGCATCTAATCATGGCTTAGACCTTCCAGTGACCAGCCCCCATGTAGAGGCCACCAAGAGTCACTTCATTAGAACAGAAGACTGTCCTGTTACCCAGGAAATTCCAAGGGATCCAAATGATTAGGAACTCTGTGTCAGGAAATTACAAGGGTCTTAGAAGCTCTGTGCCAGGAACTGAGAGCAGAAAATGTGTGTGTGTGTGTGTGTGTGTGTGTGTGTGTGTGTGTGTGTGTGTACCTATATTATTATTTATTCTTTTTTGTAAACCTGAGATCTTGCTATGTGGCTCAGGCTGGACTTCTGGGCTCAAGCGATCCTCCCTCTCAGCCTCATGAGTAGCTGGGACTACAAGCATGTGCCACCATGCCTGGATCAAATACATGTATTTTTATTATGTACACTGCCTCTTCCATTTGCCTCATGGTAGACAGAGTGATCTTTTAAAAATGCAGCCAGTTCTTGTGGCTTCTTCTCCTTAGAATAAAACCCTAATTCCTTGCTACATAATCTGGCCCTGCCTCACTCCTGGATCTCATCTCTCACTAGCCCCACTCCTGCCTTTTCCCCACACTCTAGTCCCAAGCTCCTTCCTGCTTTAGGGTTTCTGTATTCTCTGGTCCTTCCTTTGCCTGGAATACTCTGCCCATGCATCCCCCCACTACCACCCTCAGCTCTTTGCAAGGCTAGCTTCTTCCCCCACTCTGGTCTTGATCCAGATACCACCTTTTCCAATTTCCTGACCACCTTGTCCCCTTTCTCTCCACAACTCGCTCTCGGCCACTAGCCAACCCATTGGCAGATTTTGTTTTCTTCATAGCACTCATCACTATCTGAAATTGTCTTTGTTCATTTGCTTGTTTATGAGTTTGTTTCTGGTCTTCCCTATTTGACTAAATGGCCTTTGTTTGCCTGATTCATGGCTGTATCCGTCACCTAGAAAAGTTCCCAAATGCATAGAGGCTTCATAAATCAAGAAATAAGTAATCCAGGCTGGGTGTGGTGGTTCACACCTATAATCCCAGCACTTTGGGCGGCCAAGGTGGGTGGATCACCTGAGGTCAGGAGTTTGAGACCAGCCTGGCTGACATGGTGAAACCCCGTTTCTACTAAAAAAAAAAAAAATACAAAAATTAACCAGGTGTGGTGGCACGTGCCTGTAATTCCATCTACTCAGGAGGCTGAGGCATGAGAATCACTTGAACCCAGGAGGTGGAGGTTGCAGTGAGCCAAGACTGTACCGCTTCACTCCAGCCTGGGTGACAGAGCAAGACTCTGGAAAAAAAAAAAAAAAAAAGAAGGCCGGGTGCAGTGGCTCATGCCTGTAATCCCAGCACTTTAGGAGGCCGAGGTGGGGGGATCACGAGGTCAAGAGATCGAGACCATCCTGGCTAACACGGTGAAACCCTTCTCTACTAAAAATACAAAAAATTAGCTGGGCATGGTGGCGGGCGCCTGTAGTCCTAGCTACTCGGGAGGCTGAGGCAGAAGAATTGCTTGAACCCGGAAGGTGGAGGTTGCAGTGAGCCAAGATTGGGCGACTGCACTCCAGCCTGGGCAACAGAAAGAGACCCTATCTTAAAAAAAAAAAAAAGAAGTAAGTAATTTACATTTAATTTCCATCAGTAATATATTTCAAACAGGTTACTTACATGTCCCAGTGGAAAAGAGATAAAGGAGAAAAAATAATTTTATTTACATGTAATTGAATATTGATGCATTTTTTGGATAGTGCCAATAGAACAGTGATATTTGAACACAGTTTTATGAGGTTAATCTACCCCTAGAAAACCTGAAATTACATATGGCTCAAAATAAATAAGTTTTTCATAGAAAAGTAAAACCCAGGAGCCACTATTGATAGGTTCCTATGTTAAAATACTATGAAAATATAAAATTAAATATTATGAAAATGTAAAATGTAAGCTACAATGTTTCTATAATAAAGAACTTCTAGTTAGTAAGGACAGAGAATACAATGTCAAAATCTAGCTATATATGTATATAGAAGTATATATATACACATCATCAAGTATGTATGTATACAACGATAATATACAATTGTACATGCAATGGTATATACAGCATTGTATACATACATACTTACTAAGTTTTTTGAAAATTTCAATGGTACAGAGTGTTTATTTGGAGTCCAGTAATATATTAACAATATGTGAGCATTAGTTGCATTTGCTGATTTGTCTTTTAATTCAGCATTTTTATATTTTAAGATTCTTAATGGAGGATCCTCTGGGATATACTCATTTTCTAGTTCACATATGACTAAATGTGGTCATATTTGCTGATTGTGTAAAGAAATAAATATTAATTCTGACTGGTTTTGAAATAAGAACCCTTGGGGCACCTCTTCTTCCTTCCATTTTTAGATACCTCTGTTATAGGCTTTAACACTTGGGTGGAAGTGTTTTTAAAGGAGCTTATGAAGATTTGGAAAAGATTTTATTTTTAATATCCCAGATTGCATCCTCTGCATTGGGTTGGTTTTGTTACATGTGCTCCATCTGTCTCAGAGATATGAAAACTCAGTAGAGGAAAAATGGAAAGGGCAAAATTGTTTGCCTTGTTTTATAAAATTTCTGAAAATTATTTCATATGTAAGCTCTAGTGCATGGATTCCTTCACTTCTAACTTCCACAACACTACCCAGGTGCCTGTCAATCTGCCAAACGAGGTGCATTGGCTCCAGGCGCTTGTGCCTTTCAAAGCAGGGAAAGGGGATATTGCTTAGTTGTCTCCTGGTTGGAAAGTTCACAGGATGGAAAGCCTTTTACCCAGCCACTACTTTGAAAGAGATCAGTAAGGCTTCTTATCACTTCAGGTGAATTTAATGAAATGCACATATTAGTTCTTTTATTATGAATTTCCTCAAAGGAGAATATAATCAATTTACTTGCAGGCTACAGTTGATTTGGGATTTATGATCTCTTTCTTCAATGTTTCAAGCTAAGTACTGGATTTTTTAAAATATGAAAAAAAATTTCTCTCCCTATCCCAGCTATACCTGGCAGTGAAAAAAGTTGAAATTTTGCTTCTCACTAGACATTGCATGTAATTTCAACCTCCTATTATCTTTTTTTTTTTTAAGTGACCGGAGAACAAAAAACTACTAATGTTTTTTGTTTCTCTGAAAATCAGCTGGTTACATCTAATTGGAGCATTTCAATGGATTGCGTGTCTGGGAGATTTAAGTGCTTTTTTCTCACCCTACCATTATTCACCATTATATTTATGTATTTATTGAGTGTCTTGTAGCCTTGCAATGTGAACATCTGGAGACTAAAGATCTTCTATGATGTATGTAGCACTGAATAAGATATGGATTCTTCAGTAATATCTCAAAAGGGACTTTAATCTGGAGCTATAAAATTCAAACTTTTTTGGTATGTGTTGAATTGCAAATGATTCTTTGAACAGAATCAACCTTCAACAAGCCTAACTCACAATCCCCAACTTTATGAACCTACCAAATTGAGGTGATGTTACCATCTTGGTTTGTTAATTTTAGGAGGATTGCTATTTTAGATTTTTTTTTTATTTTTTATTTTTTAGACTGAGTTTCACTCTGTCGCTCAGGCTGGAGTGCGGTGGCACGATCTCAGCTCACTGCAACCTCCACCTCCCAGGTTCAAGCGATTCTCCTCCCTCAGCCTCTTGAGTAGCTGGGATTACACGTGCCTGCCACCAAGCATGGCTAATTTTTGTATTTTTTAGTAGAGATGGGGTTTCACCATGTTGGCCAGGCTGGTCTCGAACTCCTGACCTCAAGTGATCCACCTGCCTTGGCCTCCCAAAGTGCTGTGATTACAGGACTTGAGCCACCATGCCTGGCCTAGAATTACTATAAACAGAGTATTTTCAATCAAAAGTAGATTGTTGGAGAAGGTGACATTTAAAGCTGGCGTTACAGTTTGTAGGTTTTACAAATCATGGCTCTAGCTTACAAATGTACACATTAGTGCCTATTCCACATAATATCAGATTTTCTCTTGTCCTGTGACTCATCTTAGAGCTCTACTCACTTGTCATCAATATCTCCTATCCTGTTACAAGACCTGGTCATCACCTATAATTGCTTCTCCTCTGAAATCTTGAACTTTGAAATTCCACTCTGTCCTCAACCCCATACCCTTTCCCTCCCCTACACCTTCATCCTGCCAAGTTTCAGTCTTTTTTTTTTTTTTTTTTTTTTTTTTTTGAGACAGAGTCTCGCTCTGTTGCCCAGGCTGGAGTGCAGTGATGCAATCTCGGCTCACTGCAACCTCTGCCTCCTAGGTTCAAGCAATTCTCATGCCTCAGCCTCCTGAGTAGCTGGGATTACAGGTGCATGCCACCATGCCCAGCTAGTTTTTGTATTTTTAGTAGAGACTGGGTTTCACCGTATTGGTCAGGCTGGTCTCGAACTCCTGATCTCAAGTGATCCACCTGCCTCAGCCTCCCAAAGTGCTGGGATTACAAGTGTGAGCCACTGTGCCCGACCAAGCTTCAGTCTTAACAAAGCATCTGACCTTCAGCCTTCCCATTGAATGACCTCCAGAACTCTTGGCTTGAAGGACAGTTCTTTGACTTGCTGGCACAGCCCACCAACAAATTCTCAATCTTGGATCCACCTACCCACCTGCTTTCCTTGGCTCTTTATATTACTGGAAAAAAAAATTACATAATTATACAGTCAGGTGCTCATATAGATTTTTAATTTCAAACCTCAACTGAACAGTCAAGATCATCTGAAAGTTTTTGATCATCCTTAGTTGGCTTTCTGTACAACCTGCCTGCTCTGAAACATGTGGGACTATGAATCACTGGCAGTTATGACAGAGCTAACTAGCTTCTTTTCTTGTTTGTGTTTTTTTGAGACGGAGTCTCACTCTTTCGCCCAGGCCGGAGTGCGCTGGCGCTATCTCGGCTCACTGCAAGCTCCTCCTCCTGGGTTCACGCCATTCTCCTGCCTCAGCCTCCCGAGTAGCTGGGACTACAGGCACCCGCCACCGCGTCAGGCTAATGTTTTGTATTTTTTTAGTAGTGACGGGGTTTCACCGTGTTAGGCAGGATGGTCTCAATCTCCTGACCTCGTGATCCGCCCGCCTTGGCCTCCCAAAGTGCTGGGATTACAGGCGTGAGCCATCGCGCCCGGCCGCTAACTATCTTCTTAAAAAGTATTTTCTCCCTGGATTTCATGTGAACCAGACTGTTCACATTTTTTGGTGTGTGTTCTCCCTCTCTTATTTTTATTTTCTTTTGCCGTTTTCAGGAAGTAAATAGGTTACTTTCTGGGAGGAGAAGTAAAGCGTTTAAGGGAATCACGGCTGGGTGCGGTGGCTCACACTTCTAATCCCAGCACTTTGGGAGGCTGAGGTAGGCGGATGGATTGAGCCCAGGAGTTTGAGACCAGCCTGGGCAATATGGTGAAACCCTGTCTCTGCAAAAAAATAAAATAAAATAAATATATATATATATAATATATATAATATATAAACATATATATAAATATATATATATACACACACACACACACATATATATATAGCCAGACATGATGGCGTGCCTCCTCAGGAGGCTGAGGTGGGAGGATCACCAAAGCCCAGGGAGGTAGAGGCTGCAGTGAGCCCTGATGGTGCCAATGGACTCCAGCCTGGGTGACAGAGTGAGACTGTCTCTAAGAATAAGAAGGAGGAGGAGGAGGAGGAGGAGGGAGGAAGAAAGAATCACAAAAGATTCACTACATACCTATGATGTGCCAAGCACTGTTGTAGGTGTTGGTGATTCAGCAGTGAACAAAACAAACAGCTCTGTCCTCATAGTCTATATTTTAGTAACAAGGGATAGATGATAGGCAAATCAGTAAAATGTGTGCTATGGTAGAAGGTCATAGGTAAGAATGTAGAGTCCTGGAATGGTGGTGGAGGCTGTGGGGCTGCTATGGAAAGTGTATGAGGTGCTAGCTTAAGCCAAGCTGCCTGGGTTCAAATTCCAGGTCCAACACTTACTACATGTGTGACCCTGGGCAAGTTAGCTGGCTTTCTCTATCTATAAAATGATGATTATCATAACACCAACATCTTAGGGTTGTTATAAGGATTAAATAACTTAATAACATACAAAGCATTTCCCTTTGTAGGTGCTATGTAACTGTCAGCTACCTCATTTTAAGCAGTGGTTTCACTGTGGCCAACACATCCATAACCGGTGTCCTAGAGGCAGAGGTGGATTCACTGTGAAGGTAGAGTCCTCAGGTGCCATGCCCCTTCCAGGTGTCTGAGAGGGGCCCTCACACTGTGTTCATGCGGTGCTTTAGTCAAGTTTGCAAAAGTAAGATATTTTAACCACAACTGGTTAAGATGCCATCTGTTTCCTTATGTTAGTGGCACTGAGGTGGCCATGGGCATTTGGGGATCCAGCTAACAGGAAGTTGAGTTGGAGACACACTTAGTTTGGGTTTAGTGTGGGAATGTCCATGTGGTTTGTTCACTTCCCTGCCGATTTCGGTTACAGCTGGTCATGCTTGTGTGGAAGCAGCTCCTAGGACTCCGGGGTCCACTGTGCTGCAGGGCAGGACACGGTGATGCTAATGTGTCCCACAGAGCCTAGCAGCAGAGGCATGTGGGTAGGGAGGAAAACCAGGCTCAAAATGTGCAGAGCGAGAAGTTAGTCTCTGGAAAATTCTGATAATTCTCTGGCATATAAAATTGTAAGTGGGCGGGGCATGGTGGCTCGCTCCTGTAATCCCAGCACTTTGGGAGGCCAAGGCAGGTGGATTGCTTGAGGCCAGGAATTCAAGACCAGCTTGAGCAACATAGTGAGACCCTGTCTCTACAAAAGCATTAAAAAATTAGCTAGGCATGGTGGCCTGCACCTACAGTTTTAGCTACTCAGGAGGCTGACGTGGGAGGACTGCCTGAGCCCAAGTTTGAGGATGCAGTGAGCCATTATTGTGCCACTGCCCTACAGGCTGGGTGACAGAGTGAGATGCCTACAAAAACAAACGAACAAACAAAAAACCCAAAAAATAATACATAATAAAAATAAAATAAAATTGTAATAGGAGGATTTGGTTCTCAGGGCACAGTCGAAACAGAAGGCTTTCCCTCTCAGGAACATATTAGAGAATGCAGCATTTATGATTATAAATGCATGGTTATGGGCTAAATGTTTGTGCTCTCCCCCAACCCCCGCTTCGTATGTTGAAGCCCTAACCCCCAGTGTGATGGTATTTGGAGACAGGGCCTTTGGGAAGTGACTTTGTTTAGATGAGGCCATGAGAGTTGGATCCTCATATGAAAAATCAGACAGCCTCCTCTCTCTCTCCCCTCCATGTGAATATATAAGCAAGAAGGTACCTGTCTACAAGCCAGCTAGGGAGCCCTGACCAAAACTCCACCCTGATCTTGAACTTTCAGCCTTTAGAACTGTGGGAAATAAACTTCTGTTGTTTAAGCCACCTAGTGTATGGTATTTTGCTATAGCAGCCTGAGCTAAGACACATTTTTTCTTTCTTAATGGGAATCACGTGAGATAGAAGTACAGCATTTCTACAAGTAGCAAGAAGGTCTGTGTGTGAAGTTGCAAGCTGGGACTACAGGCATCATCTTGCTGTGTTGCCCAGGCTGGTCTTGAGCTCTTGGGCTCAAGTAATCCTCCTGCCTTGGCCTCCCAAAGTGCTGGGGTTACAGGTGTGAGCTGCCACACCTGGCATAACATCATTTTTAAGTAGTGATGAACATAAATGATATTTGAAAATATCTGCAACAGCCGGGCACAGTGGCTCATGCCTATAATCCCAGCACTTTGGGAGGCCTAGGCGGGCGGATCACGAGGTCAGGAGATCCAGACCATCCTGGCTAACACAGTGAAACCCCATCTCTACTAAAAATACAAAAAAAAAAAAAAATTAGCCGGGCGTGGTGGCGGGTGCCTGTAGTCCCAGCTACTTGGGAGGCTGAGGCAGGAGAATGGCATGAACCCAGGAGGTGGAGCTTGCAGTGAGCCGAGTTCGTGCCACTGCACTCCAGCCTAGGTTACAGAGCAAGACTCTGTCTCAAAAAAAAAAAAAAAAAAAAAAAAAAAAGAAAGAAAGAAAGAAAAAAAGAAAATATCTGCAACAACTGAAATGTGAGGTGGAAATATGGTGTGGAAAATCTGTGATTCTATTGACAACAAAGTCATAGATATTGCTAACATTACTATAGTCATTTTCTTAACATTAGTAATTGAAGAAGATGATAAACTTTAGTAGGAGGGAAGTGAAAATAAAGATACAATGCTTTTCCTACACAAGTGTACAGACCCCTGAGCTCTGGCCAGGTGAACAACACCTGTTGTAAAGTGATCCCTGGCACTCACCTCCTCTTTTCCATTCCTCCTGCCACTGACCTAATTAGAGTCCCATCTCCACATGGACTCACCACAGCCACCCAAACTGAGTCCTCCCCTTTCTCCTAAGCCTGCTGTTATTCCAGTGTTCCCTGCGTACCTGAGAGGAGCTGCTGCCACCCACTCATCTATGCCAGAAGCTGAGCATCAGGCCTCCCTCTCCACATCCTATTTAGATGGAGTCCTGACTCCTCAACGGAGCTCAGGTTTGCCACCCTCTCCACCCACCTCCAGTGCCTGCCTTCTTCGTTAGGTGACTACAACAGCCTCCACACTGCTGTCCTCGCCTGGCCTCACCAATCCTTCTTGCAAAGGCACAGACCTATTTAGAACCCGGGTTGGATCAGGGTGCATGGCTGTTTTCATCCTCCTGGCTGTCTTCAGGATGAAATTCAGGCTCCTCAGTGTGGTGTGGCTTTCTGTCCACCTTTCCAACCCAGCTCCTGCAACTCTGTGTTCCAGCCACCCCTACTTTCTTGAGTTATCCAAACTGCAGGATGATCAAGGGGTTAAAAGTGGGGGCTCGAGAGCCAGCGTGCCTTAGTTCAAATCCCAGCTCCATCAGTCACCGACTGGATGGCCTTGGTAACGTCCCTCGGCTCCTCTGTGCCTTAGGGACCTCAGCTTCAGAATGGGAGTGATGAGAGCAATGGCTGTGCAGGGCTGTGGGGATGCAGTGATATACCACATGAGAACCATGCAGGGCAGGGCCGTGATGTATAGAAAAGCTTAGCACGGGGGCCTTGCTATGAAATCCTGTTTCCCTGGGGAAATAGCCTTTCTCTTGGTCTCTGCTCATCTAATGAGTCCTTTAAGCTGCAGGCATCTCCCCATCCTGAGAACCTTCTCTGACCTGGGCTGGGCTGAGCTGGGCTGGCTGCTCTGGACTTCATTGCCCACCTGCCCAACACCACAGGCTCATCACTTACCTGTGTCCTGCATTGAACATGTAGTCCTCCAGGCAGGGAATGTGGCACCCTCATTCATAACCCAGGTGCTGCCTAGAGCCAGAAATTTACTTCTCACAGTTTTGGAGATTGGGAAGTCCAAGATCAAGGTTCCGGCAGATGTGCCTGGTGAGGGCCTGCTTTCTCATAGATGGAGCCTTCTCTCTGTGTCCTCACGTGGTGGAAGGGGCAAACGAGCTTTCTCCTGCCTCTTTTATAAGGGCACTAACCCCATTCATGAGGGACCTAATCACCTTCTAATACCATCACCTCTGGGGTTAGGCTTTCAGCATATGAATTTTGGGCAGACACAAACACTCAGACCATAGCAGAGGCTGAATGGAGAGAGAGAATACAAATCAAAGGACAAAAGTTCTAATGAAGATAAAGAACAGCTAGTTCTCTTCCCCTCTCTGGACAATTTGCTTTTCAGAGTATTGTAAATACGTGGACTTATCTTACTGTTTCTCTGAGTGGTCCTGTCTGTACTGAGTCCTTTCCTGGCCAATGCTTGGGCCTGACAGCATCAGATTTCTGAAAAAGAGAGGAAAAAAAAGTCATGGGAGAAGGGGGGCTGGGCAGAGGAAGGAAGCTCTCAGCCTCCTCCTCAAAAATAGGTCTCCAAGGACACTATAGCCATTTCAAACTCTTTTAGCTAAAGGGACCACAGCTGTGGGAGCAAGAACTTATATATATATACATATAAAAAAATAAAAATATATATATATTATTTTTATTTTAGTATTTTGGAGACGGAGTCTCGCTTTGTTGCCCAGGCTGGAGTGCAGTGGCACGAGCTCAGCTCACTGCAACCTCTGCCTCCTGGGTTCATGCAATTCTCCTGTCTCAGCCTCCTCAGTAGCAGGGACTACAGGTGTGTGCCACCATGCCCGGCTAATTTTTTGTATTTTAGTTTCACCGTGTTACTCAGGATGGTCTGGATCTCCTGACTTCATGATCCACCTGCCTTGGCCTCCCAAAGTGCTGGGATTACAGGTGTGAGCCACCGCGCCTGGCCCAACTTAAGTATATTTTTAAGAACAGAAAAAACCCACTTGCTGTGCTGAGTCCTGGCTGAGGCATGTCCAACATAGCAATAGTCCTGACTTTAGTTAGAGCTGTCCTCTTTCCTTTATTTTTTACATTACAAAATAATTCATTTCCATCCTGGCATGGTGGCTTGCACCTGTAGTCCCAGCTACTGGGGAGGCCAAGGTGGAAGGATCAGTTGAGCCCAGGAATTCTAAGTGACAAAGAGCTATGACTGCACCACTGCACTTCAGCCTGGGCAACAGAGTGAGACCCCCATCTTTAAAAAAATAAAAGTTGCACAATTAAAGAAATAAATACAATAAATTCATTTCTTGGGAAAAGATTAAACAATACAAAAGTGTGGAAAATAAAAAGCAAAACTGTATAAATAAAAAGCCTTATTTCCCTGATCCTAGTCCCCAGAGATAGTCCCTGTCTCAGTGTGGATTTTAAATACGCATATGGAGGGTCAAAGTTACAAATCCAATATGGCATCGGAAATGTAAAATTATGCCTAGACTTGTCTAGAGAGTCGAGCTGGATGGAAATGCTACAATAAATGCACATTTCTTTTGTAGTGGAAGAAATAAGCTATCTAGAATACAATACATACAAGGAACTCTTTTGATCAGGGAGGGCCTGAGGTTCAGGAGTGGCTGTGCAGTTTGACTCCTGGCTCTGAGCTTTCTCACTGGCTACTCAACAGGTCACTGCCAGGTAGTGTCCCACACCCAGACAGAGGGGTAACCAACCACCCAGTGCAATGAGGCTGCCCATCCTGGGGGAGCTGGATTGTTTGGTTTTAAAATGCCTGGGCTGGAAGTGCATGCTGGGATGGGGGGAAGCAAGCTGACCCGGGGCTGAGCAGGAAGGGCCCAGGAGCCTGCCTGGGAGCTCACCCCTCCCCAACCCTTCTCTTTAAAGCCACCATCATTCTTCCAACTTGTCAAGCCACACCAAGGCCAAGGGAAGCACAGCACCGGTAGGCTAGGGCTTTGGAAAGCAGAGGCAACAGCTGTGCGAGGGGAAAGCTCCGGGCAGGAGGCAGCCCTGGCTGAGTCTAAAAATAAAACCCGGCCTGACAGCCTGACAAAGGGGCTCTTGTCAGGCGCAGCAAGAGGGGCTGTCCTGGCCGCCCTTGTGAGGCTGTTCTGGGGCCATGTGGGGAATCCCTCCCTTTCTGCCTTTGGGGTGTCATTCTCCAACGGCCTCTTCAGGTGGACCAGGCTGTCCTCAGTAAACAAGCCGCCTCAGCTGGGGGTTTAAAGATGGATCGGCCGCGCCACTGCACTCCAGCCTGGGCGACATAGCGAGTATCCGTCTCAAAAAAAAAAAAAAAAAAAAAAAAAAAAAAGATGGATCGGCTGTGGTACCTTTGTGTACAGACTCTCCTGTCTGCAGTGAAAGTGAAACCGGGTACACGCCCATCTTGCTCTTCAGAGATGGGCGATCTGCCTGTGCCATACTAGAACAGCAGCTCCAGATAGGCAGGGATGAAACACATCCGTCTTTGGGAAGGAAGAAGGAGTGCCGCTGTGTTTCCCCATTTTATAAAAAGGAGCCCTTGGAACCGATTTGCTCTCAAGATGTTGTCAGCTCCAGGCCAAAGTGGGCTCCCCACAAAGGCAGTCCTTTTACTCTCTGCACCGCACAGAGCTCGTTTTCTGAGCCTGTGGGGTGGGAATATCCCGCCTGTGCTCCCCGGGTTTCAACTCGGCTGGTCAGGAGGAAGTTTCTCAGCTTTAAAATGATCAAATTCCTCAACGGATTGAAAAAAAAATGTCAATAGAAAAAGCAAAAACATCAGGGAAATTAGAAAATTAAGCACTAATGAGGAGCAGGAAACATCTGCTAGAAGGAATTCCTCTAGTATTTAATTTTAAAGGTTTTAAAAATGTGTATCTTTTTGGTGTAAATAATTTTAAAACAGAGCTAGCCGGCATCTCAATCTCTAGATTCAAACTTTCTGGCTCCAAGGTGTCACCATTGTTTGTGCTGCTCATCAGCTCACTGCTGCCCCCGCGTGTCTGATCTAAAAATCACAACACAGAGCTTGTTATCAATTTTATGCTTTGCAAATAAATGGAGAAAAGTCCCACCCACCCCCGCCCCCAACCTATTAGCTCCCATGACAACAAACGGTATAGAATGAAAGCAATGTTTTAGCTTGTTAGTGACAGCTGCATAACCCAGGTGAATTTTCAACAAGTCTTTCATTCGAGAAGATATCATTAGATTACTTTTTTTTTTTTTTTTTGCAATTCATTGAGCCTTTGCTGAAAGGATAAATTTAATTCTTAGAGGGAGTGGTTATGGTTATATTAGTGATGTAAGTCTTACTAATGATATCCTCTTCCTGAGAAACTACATGAGTTACTTATTGACCTGCATTAGAGTTTATTTTATAACATTACATAAAAACCCTACATTTAAGATGATTGAAAGTTTGCTTTCAATCACAAAGAGTCTGTGATGTGAGAGAATTTCTGACATAAGGCTCAAACATTAACCAAAGGGCAGCTTCTTTGTGTTCACCTGGTACCTTTGTCTGTAGTGAGCAGATTGGATCACTGTTTTGATGTGAAACTAGTCTGCCTCTGTGATTTCTACTGAGGACCAATTTTTCCTATTTCTTGCTCATCTATGTAGTTTATCTGAGCCACTTTTTGCTTTATAAAAACTGGGACCACACAGAATATCATGCTGCTCTAGAGGCAATTTGGAAAGTGCCTTCCATCCTGAATAGATCAGGGGGACTGCTTCTTTATGCAGAAAGGACACAGTCCCCTCTTCAACATTACCTGTATGGAAGAAATGGCCACTTGTTCCCAATACTCACACCAGAATCTTCCTATATATACTTTAGTGAGACTTCCCAAAGTCATCCACTAAAACCTGAATGCCATTTATGGATCTTAATGATCTTTCACTGTTCAATCTAAAAACAGCTCTGGAAGAGAGGGCTGAGGCTTTACCTCCTACCAAAGCAATCAAACAAGTCTGGTTAAAGTCAGTGCCCACATAGGGCCTATGGGGGCAGATTCTTTTAGATCCAACCCCAGTGTACTCCCAAAGGAAAGCTGTGAAGGGCATGGTCTGAATGGGCAGCTGATATTACTGTAAGAAGAGCACTTGGTAGAATGTTCATCATGTCTTGGAATTTTTTCAGTCACCTGTGTGAGGTTCCTGTGAACTAGGTTAAGACCAGCTTTACCACTCTGCAAGGTAAGGCAGAGATTATGGGTCACAAAATGAGATACAAGTTCAGTATTTCTTGGCTATTGACATTGCTCTGACCAAGTCTTCCCTGTGTTTCTAGTAACATTCCAGGTTCAGCACATCTACAGACATTTAACCCTAAGAGGCAAGGTGCCTATCAATGTCTGGAAAGGCAGCTGACAACCTTGGCAGCAGGGACTTGAGAATTTCTACATAGGAGGAGTGCTGAGGTGACTGGAGAGAATGCCTTGAGGTTGCATTTGCATTCAAGCACACTGTTTTCTATTGTGTATTTATTACGGGCGGCTCTGAGGGTCGCTGTTGGAGCTGCCCATTGGAACTGTCATTGAAGAGAATTCAGTTGGTCATTCTTTCAGTTTTTCAAACAATAGGCTCATTCTAAATATAGAAACATGGTGTGAAGAGTTTATTCAGCCTAAGTTGAAGTCTGTTCAACAGACCAGGGGATCTATGGTTGTGTAACAGTTTTAGAAATCTGAGTAGGGAGACGCCTGCAATGCCTGCAAGTCTTCAGGCTTGTCAGTTCAGCCTGGAGAGGTCCCCTTCTCTAAGTACTCTCAGGAGGGAAGAAGCAGAGGTCCTGGAGTCCAAGCCTGCCTTAACCTTGTGTCTTTACCTTTGCCACTGACCCCTGCCATGTCCATTCTCCTGACCACCATCCAGTTGGGACCATGCTACTTAATTGCTGTATGTGTGTCTGTAGAGGAGTGGAGGTGACTGAGGACCTAGTGGGAGTTATTGAAGCTATAGAATAAATACAGCACATCTTCTTGGAATGTTGATTTTACTCAAAGCTTAGGAACATGTACAGTTTTATTAAAATAAATGACAATATATCATAGAGTGTGAATTTGTTGGGATTAAATTCGGCTATAAGTAACAGAAAAATCCAAAGTAACAGTGGCTTAAGAAAATGGACATTTCTGTTTTCCTCATACTGACAAGTTTGAGAGGGCTGGTATGGCCATCCACAGGGTCAAAGACACAGCTCCTCTGTCTTGTTGTTTTGCCTTGAGTAGCTTCCATACTCAAAGATATCTCCTGGGACAAGATAGCTGCCAGAGAAGGAGCCTTTAAATTTGTGTTCCAGACAGCAGGAAGGAGGAAAGGATTTACCTTTAGGGAGGCTTCTGAGAAGTCATATATATCACTTCCTTTATGTCACATGGCTACAACTATTTGCAAGAGAGAGTTGGAGAAGTGGTCTTTATTGGAGGCAGGTGTTTGCTACCTGAAATTTCATAGTCCTATGGCTGTAAAAGAAGGGAAATGAATGTTGGGGTAATTTAAACAAAGTCTCAGGTGATGCTGGTGCAGCTGATCCAAGGACCATACTTTGAATAGCAAGGAACATGATCTTGCATGATCTGGCTCCTGGCTATTTCTCCAATCTTATCTCCTTTCTCTCCCCCTGTCAGTACCAATGCTTCAGCCACACCAGCTTTTTTGATGGGTCTTGATTACTTCCAGCTTGTACCCTACCTGGGAGTCCTTGAACTTGCTATTACTTCTAGCTGGAACCCCACTCTTTTTTTCCTTTTTCTTCTTCTTCTTTTTTTTTTTTTTGATGGAGTCTAGCTCTCTCGCCAGGCTGGAGTGTAGTGGCGCGATCTTGGCCCGCTGCATCCTCTGCCTCCCAGGTTCAAGCGATTCTCCTGCCTCAGCCTCCTGAGTAGCTGGGACTACAGGCACGCCCCACCACGCGCAGCTAATTTTCTGTATTTTTAGTAGAGACGGGGTTTCACCGTGTTAGCCAGGATGGTCTCGTCTCGATCTCCTGACCTTGTGATCCGCCCGCCTCGGCCTCCCAAAGTGCTGAAATTACAGGCGGGAGCCACCGCGTCCGGCCGGAACTCCACTCTTAAATCTTGTCATTAAGATCTCAGATAGGCCGGGCGCGGTGGCTCACACCTGTAGTCCCAGCACTTTGGCAGGCTGAGGCGGGCAGATCACAAGGTCAGGAGATCGAGACGAGACCATCCTGGCTAACACGGTGAAACCCCGTCTCTACTAAAAATACAGAAAATTAGCCGGGCGTGGTGTCGGGCGCCTGTAGTCCCAGCTACTCCGGAGGCTGAGGCAGGAGAATGTCATGAACCCGGGAGGCTGAGCTTGCAGTGAGCCGAGATCGCGCCACTACACTCCAGCCTGGGAGACACAGCGAGACTCTGTCTCAAAAAAAATCTCGGATAAAGTAGTTTTTGTATTATCTGATTTGGTTTTGATAGCACTAATCTGAATTTATATTATTTATTTGCATGATTGCTTTTTGTCTTCCCCCTCTAAAATGTCAGCATAATGAGAGGAGGAAAATTATTTGTCTTGGTCAACTTTGAATCTCCAACACTTAGAAGAGTATTTAGCTCATGTGCTCAATATATGTTTATAGAATAAATGAGCAATAATAAATAGTCTCCCTAATGATAATATTAGTTCCTGAGTTCAGGGGCCATGACTTATATTTTCCCTTTCCTCTACAAGGCTTCATGTGCTGGGCTATGTACAGCTGGCATTTGATGAATGCTTGCTGAGTGGGGATTGCACAAGAGAAGGACTACCTGTTTAATCTCTAGATGGGTCAGGGGTGGGGTGGGGTGGAATCACACCTTTACACATGACATGACAACTATGCTAAGCATAGAACTTGCCTCTGGGTGGGGGAGGTGAAAACAGGGCAGCAGACCCCAGACCAGGCCAGCTTAGTGCACCTTTCAGCCCTTTCACTTGCCCTGGTTTCTTTCCTGTTATCCTGCAGTTCAGAATTGTATAGGTGCAAACTAGAGAGTGCCACAGGGGCCTATGGAGAATGTATGTGATGGAGTTTCATGGACTGGCTGCAGTACAGATTCAAGTTTTTCCATTATTTACAAAATACGTATTTAGCACCTGCTTTGTGCCAGACATTATGCTAGGTGCTGGAGATACACACAGCCTGCATGTGTGAAATTTTGTTCTAAACTTAACAAGTAACACCAAACACAAAAAAGATTCCTGATTTAGATAGTGCAAGACTATAGAATTGCATGTGAAACACTGTAGCCCTTCTGCTGAAAAATTGTTTAAGTGGTCACCTCGCAAAGCTACCCAACACTCACCTCCGGATTAATGAGCTGATATTTGCTAAGTAACTTGTGATTGCTGGGTTGGGAGGACTCCTTTGGGAGTTCTCATCCTCTTTGACACTTAGCAGGCAGGAGAAGGAAGAACATTATCCACCCCCACTCTCACCCACTCCTTTGTCTCTCGCTCTGCAAGGAAGGGTATGAGTCTCCTGCTGGTATCAATTTTTAATTGCTTTTGGTAGGCGGTGAAGTAGAACAGGATAACTGCATGGACTCCTAGGTACATTTGTGTATCTATTCGTATTTATTAGTAATTAAACTTCTATGTTGGTCTATAAGCCATAATGTTGATGATTGTCTTTGTAAATGAATGCATGCAAATACGCCCAGGAGCCTGACAAAGAGAGTATCAAATACACTCATTAATAAATAATACCAATACTGTGCATTTGTAGGCTGAATTTTTTTTTAACTTCAAATAAGAGCTTTCATATCTATGATCTCATCTCACGCTACATATGATTATTTTAAAACTCCTCTCTAGGGGCAGGTTGTTCCTTGCATGCTAAGCCAGGCCATGTGAAGATAATGAAGTCCCGCCTCGGGCTACCGGACACCGTTTGTACCATCAGGCCATCCTGTCCAAGTCTCCTGGGGTCTTTGCCTGCTTGTTTAAACACTGAAGGCCAAGATGAAAAAGTACACTAATTTCAAGCTGTGCTGGGAGCACATATACACTCGGACATGAGCAGGGGAACTGAGGAAATGAAGCTGCTTTCAGGACCATCCTCGGAGATTCTCTAAACGATGAGGAACAGATTAATTCAAACTGATGGCAGGGATTCAGAAAGCCCAGAATTACAGACCCGTCATCTTTTAGGACTGAAAACCAGTTCCTGTTTACTTTATCTACAGCTATGACTTTTTTCCTGTCTTCACAATTTCTTCATGTGCGCTTGCATTAACGGGAAGATATTTTTACATCATCTTGCTTATCTTTTATAATAGCTTTTCCTGTTGAACTTCAATAGGCTAAAAATTCAGTGTCATTATTTATCCTAAGACTGAAGAACTGCACATCTTGGAAAAGCCCTTACTCTGAATTTATTAGAGGGGCATTTAAAAAAATAAAGAGAAGTCAAGAAAATAAAATAATCTCTGATTGGGAGGCTCTCCCTGCCTCTCTGCCTCCATAATCCTAAACCAGCTGCGGTGTTCCCAGATCACAAACATTTAGGCTTGTGTCCACTGTAAAGGTTGCTTCAGAATTTTCTACCTGGATGTCTGTATATCCAGATATGAAATGACTGGACACTGTAGGTGGTGATAAATTCTTCCACCCTGATTACTCATGAAGCAGAAATAATTAGTGCCTACCTAACCTGTGAATAACTATTTGAATTCTGCTATTTTCAAGGGTAAGTGGAAGAACTAGTAACCCAGTTTATAACTACCAGTTGGCCCGATCACCTTTGCCTCAAAGACCTGCCCCTTGGGATGCTGTGATAGGTTTAGTTTTTGCCAAGTACCAGTGCTATTTGATAGTCTCACCTTGCCTGCTCTTTTGTATAAGTGTAGCCCATGCTGTGCATTGCACGCAGTGGGTACTTAATAAATACTGAATGAATGCAGCTTATCATCCATCATTTGGTCTGTTTCGGTCTCAGTTTCCTCTATGTAAAGTGAGATTATTAGCAAATGAGTGCTTATGTATTTTCCAGCTTTAACATTCTATGGGATCTCTGGATAGCCATTTTAAATTACCTCGTATCTCCAAGGCTGTTTCTAAGCAACACAGTAATACTTCCCTGGAATCCTTGCCTGACCTCTTCAGCCCACACAGGTGTGTCTCACTGGGCCTTCTTATTATCTGGTGGTACTCCTCAGGTTGTTATTTAGCTTTTCATATATGTAGGTCCTTCCCTTGCAATTAGAGTGTAGGCTTCCAAAGCTAGATACTATATAAAATATACAAATAAAGACATATCACCCGAAGGCTTAATCTTAATGTTTTCTAGAGGGAATACTGGGCTTCAGAAAACAGAAGAATCAAGATAAATGTCAAGTTTGTGGTTAGGGAAACTTGGTGTATGATGATCCTGTTCTTCAAGATAGGGAATTCTGCAAGTGGTACAGGTTTGGAGAAGGAAGGAGAGCAGATGACTTTAGTGAAGTGCCACATTCTATACCTTTTTCTGGGAGACTTTCAAAGATCATTAAACAAGAAAAGATTTTGAGATATGGAATCTTGGCCAAATGAACATATTATTACTGTGTTTAGCCCAGAGCTTCCCAAATGATTAAACATAGTGTTGATCTAAAGAAAGAAACTGAGGCAAAATTAATATAGGGAGCGAGTTTATTTGGGCCAAGGTTGAGGAGTGCAGCCTGGGACACAAAGGAAGTGTGAAGGACGAATAAGGAGAGGGGGCAGTTACAAAGGTTGTTTGCAGGGGATTCTCATTGGTTCACAGAAGTAACATTGATTAGTGATTAGCTATACATTGTTGAACTCTAAGGTATGAGTTACGGTGTCCAGCATATGGGATTGTTAGGTTAATTTATGGCTGCTTAACATCACTCAGCGTAGAGCCCACATAGCAAGAAGAGATTACTTAGCTCAAGGGAGGAGTGAGAGGTGACTGCTGTCACATTTCAATGCCTCACTGGGCCAGATAATTCAAAGGGGCTCATACTTCTCAGATAAAAAGTTTCCTTTCTTTCCCAATAGCTTTTAAAATTTTTATTATTTTTTTTTATTGAAACTGAGTCTTGCCCTGTCACCCAGGCTAGAGTACAGTGGCATAATCTCGGCTCACTGCAACCTCTGCCTCCTGGGTTCTGGCAGTTCTCCCACCTCAGCCTCCTGAGTAGCTGGAATTACAGGCATGTGCCACCATGCCTGGCCAATTTTTTTATTTTTAGTAGAGATGGGGTTTTGCCATGTTGGCCAGGCTGGTCTTGAACTCCTGACCTCAAGTGATCTGCCCACCTCGGCCTCCCAAAATGCTGGGATTACAGGTGTGAGCCACCACGCCTGGCCTCTTTCCCAATAGATTTGGAAATCCTGGTGTATACAACACAAGAAGAGAAGCAGAGCTAGGAAGGAACCCTGAGAACAGCTAACTTTTAAGGAATGGCTGGAGGAATTTGGAAAGTAATACCCAGAGAGGTAGGAGGGAGTTGTAACTGCTGGGGTTTAATCCCAGCTCAGTTCTTCCATAGATATTTAGGAAAACCAAATCTCGTGTTTTACTGTAGAAGAGCAAGGACCCTATGAGCCATGTCTGGGAATGTGGAGAGCTCTTTGGAAGAAACGGTGTACCCAATGTACTCAAGCACTTCCAGTTTCAACTGAAAGGGGCCCATGACATTGTCATTTTCTCTTCTCAAAGAAACCACCCCTTTAGCTAAAAGGAAACCCGTATTAATACTCTCAATTCTAAGCACATGAGAATAATCCAACAGCTACTCTTGAAGCTATAATGAATTGTCTTAAAATTAGATCTAATATAGAGGAAGACAATCTAAAACTAACAACATAGAAAAATAAATATTCTGAGTGAGTTAGTTACATCATTCTTTCCCTATCGTCTGGGACTGGACTCAAACTTCCCTTTAATGGTTTATTTCAATCTCAACAATATTAGATTAAAAAAAATTCCTACCTGTGCACGGAAAGCTGAGAAAGGGTAAAAAAGGTACATGGTGCTTATGTTGGTGGGATTGTATAATGGGGTAGCCACTTTGGAAAACAATTTGGCAGTTCCTCAAAAAATTAAACATAGAGTTACCTATATGACCTAGCAATTTCACTCCTAGTTGTACAATAAAGAGATATGAAAACGTAAGTCCACACAAAAACTTGTATGCAAATATTTATAACAACATTATTTACAATAGACAAAAGGTAGAAACAACCCAAATGTCCACCAACTGATGAGTGGATAAGCACAATGTGGTATATCCATACAAAAAAATATTATTCAGCCACCAAAACGAATGAAGTATTCACTGAGATAGCACATGGATGAACCTTGAAAACACTATACTGAGTTAAAGAAGCCAGACACAAAATGCAACATATTGTTTAATTCATTTATATGAAATGTCCAGAATAGGCAAATGCACAGAGCCAGAAAGTAGATTAGTGATTGCTTAGGGCAGGTGAAGGGAGGAATGGTGAGTGCTAATGGGTATAGGATTTCTCTGGGGGGCTGTGATAAAAATGTTCTAAAGTTATTGTAAATAATAGTGATAGATGCACAACTCTGAGAATATACTAAAATTACTGAGTTGTATACTTTAAAATAGTGAATTTATAGTGTGTGAATTTTATGTCTCATAATGCTTTATTTAAAATAAAAGAAAACACAAGGGGGATGCATACTTTCTTTTCAAGATATCTAGGTCTTCAACACCCAACTGCCTTATTACCAGCAGTTTACCTTCACAGCTGTACAGCAGCTGAGAGGTGGTCAGTCTTATTCCCCATTCCCTGTTTTTCCAGAATAATTTTAGGTGGTCAAATTAATCTGTCTCCAATCAAGATTTATTTTTCTGCTAGTGCAAATAACATTCAACTGTTGGTTTCTGATGTATTTGTACCATCAGCTTTGTCTTAACATTTATACAACATGACATAGGACATGTTCATTTATATAGTTTATCTGTACATTTCTTAGGTCACTTTTCAAAAGTCAGGTTTGTTGAGGTATAATTCATATTCAGTCAAATTCACCTGTGAGTTATATGCATTGGTGGATATTTATAGTAACCACCACCACACTTGAGATGTTGACTATTCCCATCACTCTAAAATGTCCCTTCGCACCCCTTTGTAGTCAACCTCCCCTCCCCACCTCCAGCCCCTGCTATCCCCTGATTTAATCTCTACCCTTAAGACACTTTTCATTTCCTGTTCTGTGTTCTCATGGTTCATCCTGAAATGAATCTCTACCAGCTGGGATCCTGATTTGTATCCCTACGGTGCCCAATGTGGTACCTGGTACCTAAAAGGTGCTCAGTAAATGGGTGCTGAATAAATGAATGCATATTTTGTTTTTCAGGTTCTATCAAATCATATGGGAGACTTTGTTCCCTGATTTCCAGGATGTGCCATTTGAAAGGGGCTATTTATACTGGGAAAGACCTTCTTGCAGAGTCTTATGCAACCTTTCAAAAAATGGGCCATAGTGATTTCCAATTTCAGAGATTTTTGCTGAGCATTTCAAACATATCCCTAGACTTGGGGCTTACAACTTTGTTCATCCAGCAAGTAGATGGAAATATCCTCTCTCAACCTGAGCAAGTAGATGGAAATAGACTCTGGGACCATATGCAGCTGTTCTTCTCTCCTCCAAGCTCTCCTCCCCATCTTTGATCCCTCCATCTCCACTTGGCATGGCCCCAGAGTCCCATCCAGAGCTTCCCTGAACAAGTTCTGGGAGATTCCAGACCACGTTTATGAAGAACTCCAAGGGTAGAGCCGACATCTGCTTGAAGCTTTCTCATCATGCAGGTTGTGGCTCTGTGAAAACCCACCTGCTGCTGGCTCATCAGTCAGGCTTGGATCCCATTGGTCCTTTCTGAGCTAATTCCTCTTCTATCTTGATGTGTGTGAATCAGAAACTGAACATTCCAGCCAGGTGTGGTGACAGAGACCTGTAATCCCAGCACTTTGGGAGGCCGAAGTGGGAGAATTGCTTGAGGCCAGGAGTTTGATAGCAGCCTGGGCAACATAGTGAGATCTCATCTCTATACACACAAGCGTGCGTGCGCGCGCGCACCAGGCATAGTGGTGCATGCTTGTAGTCCCAGCTACTTGGGAGGCTGGAGTGGAAGGATTGCTTGAGTCCAGGAGTTCAAGTGAGTTCAAGTACAGTGAGCTATGATTGCACCACTGCACTCCAGCCTCAGTGACAGGGTAAGACCATGACAAGAAAGAAAGAAAGAAAGAAAGAAAGAAAGAAAGAAAGAAAGAAAGAAAGAAAGAAAGAAAGAAAGAAAGAAAGAGAAAGAAAGAAAGAAAGAAAGAAAGAAAGAAAGAAAGAAAGAAAGGAAGGAAGGAAAGAGAAAGAAACAAAGAAAACAAACATTCCCAGAGCAAGTATAAGAGTATTAACAGGCAGTGAACAAAATCCCCCTTTGCCCTGACAGTTCCATGAAATGAGCTAGTACTCAAAGAAAACTTCCCTTTCTTGAAAAGTGTGGGTATTTTCCCCCAGACCATCTTACTATCCTCAAGCAGATGGGTTTCCACGCACTTTCTGGTGCTGACAGCCCCCTGCTGTGCCCTCTGAACACAGACACTACAAAAAACCCATTTCACCTCTTAAGATTTGCACCTTGCCTCCAAGATGAAGCCTTGATGCTGGCATCCGAATGTATCCAAATAAAACCTAATTCCCTTTCTTCCTCCTTTGTCCCCACACATGCAGGCCGTGGCTTCCCTAGAGTAGCTCTGGTAGACAGTTCCTGCTCCTAGGAGACAGTTGCACAATGTAAACCTGCACCAAGATGTAAACCTGTACCAAGGTCAAAGTTTCAAGGTGTGAACTCCTTGGTACAATGATGAGGTTCTGCTACATGCTGCTACGTAAACAAAATACCGAAAAGGTCTTAATTTTTTGCTACATGGAGTAATTGTGTTCATAACCCCACGTGGACAGACAAATCATTAGTAAATCAAAGGGAGCCAAAGAAATTCTTTCTATAGTAAGGGTGACAGGGTGGGGGGCTGTGAGGATTTTGGGGGTGGATGGGGAATTGGAGACAAGGAGGCTTCAGAAAAAGAGAAAAAGAAAAAAGTGAGGTTTAAGTAGAGGAAAGCTTATATTCTTCATGAAAATCAAAAGCTGTGGCGGTCAAACTTTTGTGTTAGTAGTACCATGGTGAAAACATATTTTACTGCGTTGCGCGCGCCTCACACCCACACACACACAGAAGTATAATGGAAATCAATTTAAAATAAAATGTAGCATAGCTAGCTATAAGCTTAGGACATCTGTGTGTGTGTGTGTGGCCGCGAACAGCCTGACCCGGGCGGAGCGCACCCTCGGGCCGCGTCTCCCCCGCCGTACCAGCCTGCCTGACCGCGCGGAGGAGGAGGGCGGGCGCGGTGCCGCCGGGGCGGGAAGGTCGCGGGCGGCTGCTCCGGACTGCAGCTCCCGCGGCGGTGGCGGCGTATCGGGACACGGCGCGGGATGGACGCGCAGGACTGCCAGGCGGCCGCATCGCCCGAGCCGCCCGGGCCCCCAGCCCGTAGCTGCGTGGCCGCCTGGTGGGACATGGTCGACCGCAACCTGCGGTGAGTACCGCCCGGTCCACCCCTGGCCGGGCCCCGACGGCTCAGGCTGCGCGGGGATGGGGCAGGGGGCCAGGGCGCGGCCGAGGCCGCAATCCCCTCTGCTGGCCCGGGCCCAAGGCCCAGCATTGTGGCTTCCGGGGGACCTCGGCGGCCCCCTGAGAACTCTAGGGCTCTTTGGTTGCCCTTGCTATCCTCAGCCTCAATCCCAACCTGGACCAGCGAGACTCTCAGGTTTGGTATTTCAGGAAGTTATAACTTTTGGGGGCTTCTGAAATACAGATGCCAGGGAGATGGTTGAATTCCTACACCAATCTCTATTATCTGACCATTTTGCTAACATACAAGATGGATCTGAATGACATTAGTAATAGTGACAATAGTAATATATGTTGTAATCTTGGACGGGATCCTCTTAGGTCAAGGGCCTATCTGTGTAGGTGGAAAAGAATCAGAAAATCCGTGCCTAGTTCCCTGAGTGTGAACTCCCTGGCATGTATTTAAAGAAAACACCTCCAGTATGCTAAAGATGTACATAGTGTGTTGAAACCATAACTTGGCATTACCTGTGCCAAGTTCTTATGTTGTTTAAGTCTGAAATGTATCAGTGGGTGTTTCGGGTTTTGTTTCTGTTTTCTTCCTCCCATGGATCCTCGGTTTAAACAGTAATCTTAAATTACCTGAATCCACCTGCAACATATTGTCAGTCTTGTTTGCACTGAAGCCAGGTATTGGTTGGAGATCGTGGACCCAGGACACGTGGGTATTTCATTTAGTTTTGTTGGTGTGGGAAGGTATTGGCATTTTTACTTCCCTCTTTCTATTCCTTTTGTTTAATTTGTGCTGATTAGAAAATATCCAAAAATTACATCCAGACACAGGAGACCTCACTTTGGAGTGCCCAGAGTGATGATGACAAACGGGGATCTTTTCTCTCTCTCTCTCTCTTTTTTTTTTCTTTTTTGAGACAAGGGTTTCACTCTGTTGCCCAGGCTGGAGTGCAGTGGCACAATCTTGGCTCATTCCCAGGGCTCCAGCGATCCTCCCGTCTCAGCCTCCCCAGTAGCTGGGACTACAGGCACCTGCCACCACACTGAGCTGATTTTTGTATTTTGTGTAGATATGGGTTTTCACTACATTGTTCAGGTTGGTCTCAAACTCCTGGAGCTCACAGATTCCACCTGCCTTGGCACCCCAAAGTGTTGGGATTACAGGTGTGAGCCACTGCACCTGGTCTCTTTTCTCTTCTATTCCTTTTTATTCTCATTGCAGACAGCAGAGTGCTGGCAGCTCTGCAGGGGCCCAGTCACCTAGAACCCATGCCTCCCAGCTCTGGGTTGGATCTGAACACGTGGCAGAATGTCCTGATTGCACTTGTCAAACTGCATATTAACAGGACTTCTCTCCCAGATGTGGTGATTCTGGGAACGTTGACATCTAATGTTTTTCACTTTGATGGTCTCTGTGGAATTGATGGCTGATTATTTAACATTTATTTGGCAGTAAAGGGCATTTATTAGGCAGAGAATCAAAGTTGCACATCATACTCATAGAGAATAACCCACTTTGTTGATAATGGAGTGGGAGATAGGGAGTTGGGGACCATCTATTACTTGCCTTACTAATTAGTGAAAAAAGTCTCAAGAGACACTTCCTGAAAGAACAAAATACTAGCGTATGTCTTCATCTGAGCAGAAGATTATTGGCTACCATAAGATGTGCTGAGGCTGAGGCCCAGACCCATTTCCACTATCCCAAGTCCTCTTTGATTCTTGGAGCCGGGTTCACTTAGGTGAGCAAACCTTCATGGAGGGCTTGCCATGCCCCTGGCCCTGATCATGGCACTGGAACTAGTGGGATGTGTTGTGAGACCCAAGAACATTTCATCATATGATTTTTTCAGTGGCTATTTTTTAATGCCTTGGGAATCTAGTTATTTATTTTACAAAAATTTTTATCAAATCCAGTTGCTGCTTAAGGTGGGTGGGCCAAGGAGAGTAAGTCTCCACTTTACAACTGGTTTTCTTTAAATTAGAAAAATGAGGCCAGGCATTGTGGCTCACATCTGTAATCCCAGCACTTTGGGAAGCCAAGGCGGGCAGATCATGAGGTCAGGAGATGGAGACCATCCTGGCTAACACAGTGAAACCCTGTCTCTACTAAAAATACAAAAAATTAGCCAGGCGTGGTGGCACATGCCCGTAGTCCCAGCTACTCCGGAGGCTGAGGCAGGAGAATTGCTTGAACCTGGGAGGCGGAGGTTGGAGTGAGCCGAGATCGCACCACTGCACTCCAGCCTGGGTGACAGAGCGAGACTCCGTCTCAAAAAAAAATAATAATAAAAAAAGAAAAATGGAAAATGTGCTCCAGAAGGAAGTTGGGGGAAACCAAAGGTTTATTTTCCTCCTCATTTCCCCCATTCCACCCCAAGTCATTACAATCCTAGATAGTGCTCAGAAAATGTGCAGGAGTAGGCTGATAAATGTGTTCATTCTTTCCACAGCGTTGGTTCTTTATTATCTATTGGATAGTATTCTAGTCTTGGTCACACAGCAGTAAATAAAACAGACAAAATCCTTGCTCTGTGGAGCACACATTGATTCATTTGCAATTGTAAGTAAAAAAAAGAAAATGAAGTCCTTCCTCTTTCCTCTGAAGCTACCAATAAATGTTGCTTCCTTCTCCCTTACAAAATAAATGCACTCTCTTTCTATTTTCAACCTATGCGTCAATATTTACTGAGCTCAGCCCTGGGCTAGACAGAGGGAAATGTAAAGGAAGCATTCTATGCCATGTTGTTCTTGTTGTCTGTGGCCTGATAGAGTGGAGAAGACAGGGCTAATAATGGGAAAGCCATCACAGAACAATTCAAGGCCAGCTGAGGCCCCGTTATTATTTGTGGGAGGAAAGACAAGAGAGGAGAGGTCACCATGGAATGATCTCTCCAGGAGACTTTGACAAAAAAGAGATACTTCCATGGGTGTGAAGGAAGAGGGGATTTGGTTGGGAGGATGTCTCCCGGTGCTTGGTGACAAACACATGTCGACTGAGTGAATTGGCACACAGGTTGAAGGTACCTGTCTTAATATTTGAAATAGTAAATGTAGTTAGATTTGGGCTTCCCAAAGTTGGTTTGCAGAAACCTCTGAGCATGAGTGATTCACCCTGTAGCAGCTCAGACTCCACCAGCTTTCACCAGTAAGAATCATCCAGTTAGGTTCTGAGTCCCCTGTGGGACGCTGTGTGGTTACAGCTGCAGCTGATCAAAGGGCAAGTGAAAGAACACCAAAGCACCAAGGTGGCCGTTTGATGTGGCTGGCCGTTAGCGGGGATTGGGCTGAAACTGCATCCTCTGCTCAAATAAGGTCTATTAGCCACTGGTGACTTTTGATCCCTTACTGATCTAGGGGAAGTCAAATTGACAACCCCTTAGTTAAAAGAAGCTGCTTTGCATTATTGATGCTCTGAGGATCTGGTCACTCTGTTCTCTTCCCGCAGTGCATCTCAGAAAAGTGCCTCGAGCTATTTGAGAGAAGGACTGTGTATGAATTATTCCTTAAAAAACAGACACACATTTCCCTCTACTGCCTCTGCTTCCCAAGCAGACCTTCAAAACATAGCTTAGCGGGAGACTACCCTGCCTACCTTCAAAAGACAGCTTAGCTGGAGACTAACAGGCAGGGTGGAGGTGAGTGAGGGGAGCTTAGAAGGAAGCCAGCAGGAGCCAGCAGCTGGAAGGAGGCACAGTTCAGCCTTGGGTTCAGTTCTGTCCATTTGGGCTTGATCTGTGGCTCAAAGTGGCTTCTCTGGGTTTTGATTTCTTATCTCTAAAATCAGAACAACAATGTCCTCTCCTTCCTGCCGCCTTCATGGCAGGGGTGGTGGGGTGCTATTTTAAAGTATTATGAAACAATCATTTTCATTTCTTTCTTGCTGATTTTATGAGTAGGCAATTGCCAGCGTATGATGTATTCAAAAATCTATCCATTACCCTTAGCCCACATATCTTTTCCACTTCTTGCAGAACTGCTGGAAATTCATCAGAGATTCATTATCTTCTCTCTTCGTGCCTCTTCCAAACACATATAAGTGCTCTGATTTTTAAGTCATTAACACTTCAGGGGGAATTAATTTTTTTAGAGGTCTTTCTTTGATGACTTTGTTATCAGAGGGCTCCTGAGAATACAGGAGCAGGAAGGAGGAAAGAAGAAAGGACGGGACCCTGCTGAGAGGGCTAAGGTGCAGAAGGAGATCTTAAAACAAGATTGTCTATGAGCAGAATTTTGCCAGAGGCCAGCTTTGTTCCTGGGGTTCATTTCTGCTTACATGGATGTCACCAAGACTGTGACATCCTGGAGATCATTATAAGACTATGGGATCAGACAGACCTGGGTATGTGTGGCTCTGCCATTCATTGACTTGTGACCTTGGAAAGATTACTTAACTTTCCAGTCTCATTTGCAAAGCAAAGGTAATAATTATCTTCCAAAAATGCCTCTGGTCTAGCATAGAAATCAGGGCAGGGGAGACAATTTATCAAAAATGCTTTCCAGCCCCTCAACCTTACCATTTGATTATATTAAACAGTTTTAACAATGATCTCTTACAACATGGAAAGGGACTTACTTAATGGATAATGTGGGCAAAAACTGGAAGCAGGAGGTGATGACATTGACCTCCTGTATCCCTCACCTCTCTAAGACCCTCACAAGAGAGGTGGCTTGAGACAGAGGTGTCCTTAGTGACCCCTCATGGACAAATCGTCACTTGTGTGCTGACAGCTCCTGATTGGGTGGTTTGTGTCACAGGGAACAATAGCGTAGGCAAGATGTGCATGCGCCCATCCCACTCCCTGACCAGGCTCCAGCCCTGTGCCTCATGGGTCCATCTCTTCCAGGGATCTCATCTCAGAAGTGGGGTCTCCTAACACTGGCTCATTTCTTCCTAAGATAAGTCCAGAATATAGAGGATCTAGGGATTATTCCCTCACTGCCTGAGACTAATGATAAGAATAGCTAACACATATAGTGCAGAATTGTGATATAATTAAAAACTGCAGCAACTGTTAAACTGTCTGAATCCTGTTTACTGGTGACTTTGGGGTCCAGCCTCAGCCTTCTATGGGGCTACAGTAAGGGACCAAACCTGGCTGTGGTGCGAACATATCCCTTCCCTTCCTGTCCCTGCCATGTCCTGGCTTTTTCAGCTACTGGTTGGGGCCCTGCCCTATTACTTTCCTTACCTGGTTTCCCCTTAGTCCCAGTCTTGGCCTGCCGTGTAGATAATTCCTTGTCATTGTGTAAAAGATTTTGCTTAAATGCCATCTGACCCAGAATTCCCAGTGTTAGTCTCTGAAATTTGGGGGCGGATCACCTGAGGTCAGGAGTTCGAGACCAGCCTGGCCAACATGGTGAAACCCTGTCTCTACTAAAAATACAAAAATTAGCCAGGCATGGTGGTGGGTGCCTGTAATGCCAGCTACTTGGGAGGCTCAGGCAGGAGAATTGCTTGATCCCGGGAGGCAGAGGTTGCAGTGAGCTGAGAACATGCCATTGCACTCCAGCCTGGGCAACAAGAGCAGAACTCTGTCCAAAAAAAAACAAAGAAAAAGAAAAAAACAAACCAAGACAAATGGATTAATTTCGAAAACCTTGTGTGTTTCCCAATACCTTGCAGATATTTTCCACACTCCTGTTCAATGCTCGGAAGAAAAATTGCTGCTCTGTATGACAGCTTTACTAGTAAATCCTTAAAAGAACACGTTTTCCTTCCTCTGATAGACATGCTAATTTATTTTAATTTTTGTAAGTATGGACCTTCCATAAATTTTCCTATATAATTTTTCCCAAATAAAGACCTCAGTACCCTTAAAGTTGTGACGTAGTGAAAAGACATGTCAGCTGTAAAATTGTGGTTAGACTGAAATGGTCTGAAACTTATTTAATATTGACTTTGAAGTCTAGCAGGAATCCTTGCAAACTGTTGGGAGTAAAGAGAGATGCATGGCCTTGTGGGTGGGGGTTCCATTCACAGTCCTTCTAGTTCTTACCTGCTTGCCTCCTGGTAAGCAGGTAGTTCTGGACATTTCTTGCCTTTTGGCTGATGATTAGGTTTCACCGAAGTAGCAGAATACTTATTATTTTCTTCTAGGCCTTTTTACCTTCTTAGGGGAATGGTCTCCACTGCTTTTAAAAAGCTGGAGACAAGGATAAGGATTGAATAACTCTGTTTCTCTATTATGAGCCATGACACTGATGCTATTTTAAAATCTAGCTTTTAGGTTTTTGTTTTTTGCCCCTCCTCTGCAGGCTAGTCCTAGCTGATAAAATAAAATACTCTGCTAGGAGTTTAGTGTAGTAGCTTGCAACTTAGAAGCCTGTTAACCTGTGTAGGCTAATTCCTTTCTTTGATTGTGATTAAAAGGCATGGAATTTGATTCTTGAAGTTGATAATGATTTTTACTTTCCAGTCAAAGCCCCATTTCTTGTGGATTTAAAGAAACCAGAGTTAAAGATTCCTCACACAGTGAACTTCTACCTGAGAGTTGAACCTGGGGTGATGCTAGGGATCTGGTGAGTGCACGGATGGGACACCGGGTTGCTTGATGGGGCAGGTGTTCCTGTTAGGACTCAGAGGAGCAGTGCTGTGTTACCTGCCCACGGAGAGGTCGGTGCTCCTGGAGGTACCTGGAGGCTGTTTCCTACACCTTCCTCTTCTGTTGATTTGCTTGATTTTCCTAAGAATTTTGCTTTGGAGTATAGACATTTAGGTGTTGCCCTTGGCTTCTGGCCTCACCCATCCCTTCTGCCTTATTCCATACCACCCTTGCCTTCATGCCCTTAACTCCAGACACACTGTCCTCCTAGGACATGCTCTGCCTTCAAGGCTTCCTTCTATTTCTCAGCTCCCTGCCTTCCCTCTTGCCTTGCTAACTGTCTACTCATCTATTGGATCTTACTTTAATTGGTAATTTTCAGAAAAGCCTTTCCTCACTGCCCGTTTTAGGTATGTGCTGTCATGGCCATCTGTGCTTGTCCCTTTTGACAATTATTCCCATTGTCATGAAATAAATGTTTGTGTGATGATTTGGTTAATATTTGTCTTCCTTACAAGACTATAGCTTCAGCAGGTGATAGACTTTGTTGGTGGGTTTTCATTGCTTAGCACAATGTTTGGCACATAAAGGGCATTCAGTAAATATGTCAGATGAGGTCATGAACAGTCTATTGTCTTACAATGCTAACCTTAACATTTCTTCTGTTTAGTTGTAATACTCATTCTTGGCTGCCAAGTTTCCAGTGACCTGTTTTCTATTTCATCTCCCTGAGTTCAAACCTTTGATCATAAAATGTTTAGGACAAACCCATAACTTCTTCCTACTCTTCAGGGTACAGTTCACCCAAATGTGTTGGAATTTAGAAATCTTTTTATTTTTTGCTTTTGCCCCACTGGTCCTTGGTTTGGTGAGTCAGCTATCTCATCAAGATCAGCTCATCCAGCAGGCAGCAGTGCCTATATTCGGAGTACAGAGGCCCTGGGGATGATGGCAGACTTTCTGTCCTTAAGTGATGGAGAGGACAGAAGATTTGTCACCCTTAGCCAGTTCTCCACATCCCATGGTGACATGTCATATGGCAGTGTTTGCATTTGCAGCATTCACTGGTTTAACAAAGTGGAGAAACTGGAACTCACACAGATGTTTAAAATCACAAGGTTTCTTGGTTTCTGGAGCAAAATAGTTTAGTGTTTTAGTTCTTTTCTCTTACATAAACTGGTTTCTCTTTAAATTATTTCCTACTTATCTCTTCGGCCGAACTCATGGCAGATGGTAAACATCTATTATCTTTTACTTGTTTCCCTTTTTAAAAAAAACAATTTCAATGGGCTGTACCTAAGAACTGCAGTCTTGGAAAATTAACAGGTGCAGAAGTCAGAAGAACGAAAACAGTAAGTCGTTAAAAGGCATTGTCTCTGTGCATGGGGACATGGGGTAGGGCAGTTGTGGTTCTCGTCATAAGACTTTTTGTGGTGTTAGATTTTTATTTTTGCCATGTGCATATATTAGTCGGATAAAAAATTAAAATATATGTATATATATCATAAGGAGACTTTCGGCCTTTGGAAAGGATGGAGAATTCCTCTTTCTACATTTGTTTAAACCTCCCTTGCTCTTCAGGCACACAGTCCCCAGCTGCCGGGGGGAAGATGCCAAGGGGAAGGACTGTTGCTGGTATGAAGCAGCCCTTCGTGATGGGAACCCAATTATTGTTTATCTTCATGGCAGTGCAGAACACAGGTCAGTGGCTCTGCTTACATATTTTTTTTTCAGGAGATTGAGAGCATTTCAGCCCCATGGGGGAATGAAGGACAGGGCTCTGTTTTTAACTCTGTAGGCATGCCTTCACATATTTCTTCTCCTTTGTTGAAATCTGAGGGTGTTCTGGCAATAAGCTTCACTTAAAAAGATTATTCTATATGTAGAATAATGTGGATCCCTAACTGAGGAGAAAAGAATAACTCTTCCAAAAGTTGGATGTTGATTTCAAAGAAAGTGATGATTCCTTTGCTCCCGAAGAGTGTCTGAAATGATGGATTGAACCCATGAATGACAGGAAAGGGAACAGGCACGCATTATGGGGGAAAGGAAGAGCCATTTCCAGATCAGAGATTTTTCAGAACACTACAGTGGAGAGTCCTTTATTTAGCTTTAATGTTATTAGCTGAAAATATGACTCCTTAAGAGAGGTCACACGGAATTCTGACCACAGGTACTGGGGACCGTCTGACTAATTCTAGAATATTCATACCTCAGCCCATTCTCTGTAGTCCCAACCTCGCTCTGTAACAAAGAACGTCTCCCAGGAGTCTGGCTCCCCTTCGATGTGCTGTCAGAGCCTTTTTGGGCCTGTATGATTATGTTGGGTGACGATCATCGGCTGTGACTGTGCCCCTGAAGCTTGGGGCAGGGGCGATGTGCCTCAGAAACACACAGATCTCCACCATCTTGGGAGGAGCACCTGCCTGTGACTCCCTTCCTCCCTGTCTTTTTCTGGCAGGTGACTCGCCTTTCTCAAGACTCGCCTTTTCTCAAGGGGCTTTTTTGATGTGTCCATTTTAGAGCCACATTTGCTGAAATTTCCTGTGAAACCCAGCATTTTTTTTTTTTTTACATTTCCCCTTCTCCTAGTTATTTATTCCTCCAACCTGAAAGAGAAAGGCGTGAGATCAGATACCAGCAGCACGAGAGTGATTTTTATTGAATTTGTTATCATCGTTCCTAATTCTTGCTTTTTTTTTTTTTTTTTAAACTTCCTTCACAGGGCAGCTTCGCACAGACTGAAGCTGGTAAAGGTATGTCTGAAGAGGCCTCAAAGCACCCATTTCATAAGTCTGTTTGATATGTCATAAGATTTTCCTCAGGCCCTCCGCGTGGTTGTTTTTTGAGAGGTCTCCAGGGTACTGGTCAGGGTGGGTTGTGGTGTCTGGGGCTCAAAGTCCCACCGGTGGACTTCTGCTCCTACACTGATCAAAACAGAACCGAGCTTCTCTAGGTCCCAAAGTACCTTCGTGAACTTAATAACCTCATTGCCAAATGGAGGTGAAGACATTTTTATTTGCTTTCTCTGAGGGCTGGGGGATGGGTTGAGAGAGGTTTTTTTTGTTGTCGTTGTTGTGGTTGTTGTTTTTTGAGATTCTGTTGCCCAGGCTGGAGTGCAGTGGCATGATCTCCACTTACTGCAACCTTCACCTCCCAGGCTCAAGCGATTCTCCTGCCTCAGCCTCCCGAGTAGCTGGGATTACAGGCACCAACCACCACGCCCGGCTAATTTTGTATTTTTTAGTAGAGACAGGGTTTCACCATGTTGGCCAGGCTGGTCTTGAACTCGTGATCTCAGGTGATCCACCCACCTCCGCCTCCCAAAGTGCTGGGATTACAGGCGCGAACCACCTCACCCGGCTGACGTTTTTATTTGCTTTCTCTGAGGGCTGGGGGATGGGTTGAGAGAGTATTATTAAGGTGCAAAATGGTCACTCCTTTTAAAAGAATCAACCTTTTTAATTTCTAGTGGTTATAGGCTAAAGACACAGAATGTCTGCTTTTTTTTTTTTTTTTTTTTTGAGACGGAGTCTCGCTCTGTTGCCCAGGCTGGAGTGCAGTGGTGCTATCTCGGCTCACTGCAAACTCCGCCTCCTGGGTTCATGCCATTCTTCTGCCTCAGCCTCCCAAGTAGCTGGGATTACAGGCACCTGCCACCACGCCCGGCTAATTTTGTTTTTGTATTTTTAGTAGAGACAGGGTTTCACCGTGTTAGCCAGGATGGTCTCGATCTCCTGACCTCGTGATCCGCCTACCTTGGCCTCCCAGAGTGCTGGGATTACAGGCATGAGCCACCGCGCCCACCCAGAATGTCTGCTTTTAAAAGGCATTCAAGGCTGGGTGCAGTGGTTCACGCTTGCAGTACCAACACTTTGGAAGGCTGAGACCTGGAGTTCAAGACCAGGGTCTCAACTTAATGAGACCCTGTCTCTACAAATAATTTTAAAATTAGCTGGATGTGGTGGTACTTGCCTGCAATTCCAGCTACTCAGGAGGCTGAGGTGAGAGGATTGCTTGAGCCTGGGAGTTTGAGGCTGCAATAAGCTAGGATTGTGCCACCACACTGCAGCCTGAATGACAGAGTGAGGAGACCCTGACTCAAAAAAAAAAAAAAAAGTCATTGAAACCCTGGCTTCAGCCCATGTAAGGCTTTGTAGAGTAGCATGGTGGCCACACTTGCTCTCCTCACTCCCTGCTGCATGACTCTGGTTTGTTGGGACAGCCCCTGTGTTTCCAGGTATGCAGAAGATGGCAGGCTTTCCACTTAGCCATATCTGCCTCAGAACTGGTTGAACAAGCTGCCTGTTTATCCTCTTCCACCCTCTGGTTAGGTAATCTCCGCTGCTGGTGACCGGCTGGTGACCACAGGGACTTGGTCTCTCCTCCCACATGCTGGCTCCCACCTTGGAGTTCTTTCCTGATCAAACAATATTAGTGGGGCCCAGAATCCTGGCAGTACCAGTATCTCCAGTGCTTTCTTCATCCTCTCTTCCCTGTGCAGACAGGAAGCTCCTCTCCTGTCCCCTCCCCTCATCCCCTCATCACTGCCTTCTCAGAGCCAATGCTTGTAGAGTGGCAGGGGGCTGGGTGCAGTGTTGCCCAGGAGTACCATGTTTATTCATTTTTAGGTTTGCTTTCCCCTCTGCACCCTGCCCTTTGCATTCCCCACGTGGAACGTGGTAAAGCTAATGTCCGTGAGAATGTGCGTGCTTTTCCCCTCCCACTCAGAGCTGTCTCAATGTTCCCAGAAAGGAGAAGAGCTGTAGGTGTGAAATGCTGCCAGGTGATCCTTGTGGTAGTTAGGACGGGTGGGGAAGGAGAGTGGCTGGTATGGCAGGACTTTGCCCCCAGGCAGATCGTGGGCATCAAGTGCCAGTGCCATCATTGCCCAACAGGACCAAACTTCCTTAGCCCTTCCTTTCCTCCTCTGGATAGGTGATTTCTTTAAAAAAATAAATTTTCATTATTAAATTTTCATTCATTCATGTATTCATCACTGCAACAGACTAATACAGCTATTTTCATTTATTTGCATTCCCACCTAGTTTTTACTTCTCCTTATAAAAGGCTTTTGTTACTATGATTGTATCTATATATACGTTTAGGTTGTGCTCTTTTACTTCCCACTATTTTATAGACATTCTTCCATGTTTTCACAGTCATCATAGTTAGCCAGTTTAAAAGGTTGTGTCATTCTCCATTGTATTTATAAGCAATTGTTTACTTAACTGTTACACTGCTATTGGATATAAGATTTTTCCTCCCTGCATTTGCTTTAACTAATATTGTTTCAGAAAACTATAAGCATCTAGATTTTTCTTCTTTCATGTCTTTTTCCTAGAAATGAATTCTTAAGAGTAGGGTTTGTTGCAGTTGTGGTTCTTGGGTTGTATTGCCTAGTGGTCCTTCAACACGTGCTGCAACACACATGCATATTCCCATTTTCCTGGATGCTTAGCCGCTTGGCTAACTTTCTTGGAGGGAATGTAACAGATATGTAAAAGGTATATTTAGCTCCTTGTTATTAGTTTAATTTGTATTTACAAGTTCCTAATGAGGTTTTGCCACCCGGATATAAAATGCAGTGGGAGGAAGCGCAGTATTTGGACAGGGGCAGACCCAGGAGTGAATCTTCGTTCTAGTTCTAGCCAGTTGGGTGATGTTAAATAAGTTACTTAAGCTCCACAAGGCTCAGTTTATCCGTAAAATGGGGATAATATCTACTTTACAGTACAGTTGTGAGGATTAAATAAAGTTTCAAAAGTGCCTGCACAGTAAAATTTTGTCCTTTTTTATCTCTCTTTTCTTTATCTATGATTGTATTTCTTCTTTTTTTTTTTTTTTTTTTTTTTTTTTTTTTTGAGACAGAGTCTCTGTTGCCCAGGCTGGAGTGCAGTGGTGTGATCTTGGTTGCTCACTGCAACCTTAGCTTCCTAGGTTCAAGCGATTCTCCTGCCTCAGCCTCC
Source organism: Homo sapiens (assembly GCF_000001405.40). Taxonomy (NCBI): domain Eukaryota; kingdom Metazoa; phylum Chordata; class Mammalia; order Primates; family Hominidae; genus Homo; species Homo sapiens. The sequence continues at coordinate 50,884,840 of NC_000014.9, forward strand.
TGAGTCCTGGGATTACAGGTGTGCACCACCACACCCAACAATCATTGTATTTCATTTCATGAAAAATTATGTTTTCATTATTCATATTTAATATAAATAGCTTCCCCTTTTTGATTGCTTCTACTACAACTCTGTGTAGAGTTCTTATTCTCAAGGAATTTTTAAAAAGAGACATTTATAGACCTAAAGGCGACTATTATTGTTTCTCACTTTTCAGAATAATATTTACATATGTAAATGTTAAATAACTTGGCCAAGGTCACACAGCAGGTAAGTGGCAGAGCCAGCGTGAGACCCCGGGTGTCTGACCCTGCTCAGCCTTCCTGCTCTCCGTCTCTCCCACTGAGCCTCGCCTTCTCAAGTTGGAAGTCAAACACCAGATTTCAAAAATACATCTTTCCCCACCTGTTAAACTTGTGTGTATGCTTTGAACATACAGATACCTAGAGCATCCTAGAGATGTTTCTGACAGTGCAACAAACTTTCTTTTTAATCTTCATCGAATATAAAATAGCTGTTTTTCTATTAAAACAGCTGAGTTTTAATAGCTCAGAGTTTCTGACAGTGCAACAAACTCTCTTTTAAATATCTTCATCGAATACAAAATAATAGCTGTTTTTCTAGGTTCTGCAGTTAAAAAAAATACTAATGAACAAGTTAAAATTACCTTTGAAAGAGCCCTCCTTGTGATGTGATATGGATGGATATAGGGAGGAGAAGCCTTTTCTGTTTTCATCTTCTAATTAAAGTGATAACAGCTCCTTTGTTACCTAGGTGCTGAGTGATGGTGGCTTTCATGTCTTGTCTGTTGACTACAGAGGTATGTGTTAAGAACGGTGTACAAAGATGTTTCAGTAACCAGGGGGCCTCTGATGACCCCTCATTTTGAAGGCAGTGATACTGTGTTTGCCTTTTCTTGCTGCCAGGATTTGGGGACTCTACAGGTAAGCCCACAGAGGAGGGACTGACTACGGATGCCATTTGTGTCTATGAGTGGACCAAGGCAAGAAGTGGCATCACTCCCGTGTGTCTCTGGGGCCACTCTCTGGGTACAGGGTAAGTGAGATCTGCAAATGTGTCCTTAGGCAGGTCCTTGAGGCTTTAGTGTCCTATCAAAGGCAGCAGCCAGTAGTGGAGGGAGCACCGAGCCAGAAGACAGGGACTCTTTGCTGATCATTTTCACACACTAGAAGTGGCTGAAGATCTTGCCATCTTACCATGCTATTTGTAAAACAACAGAAGGTCCCTTCAGCTCTACGGTTATCTATTACATTGAAGTCCAAGTCTTTCTGAGGGTTTTAAAGGAAAGGATCCTTGGCCAGGCGGGGTAGCTCACACCTGTAATTCTAGCACTTTGGGAGGCTGAGGTGGGCAGATCACTTGAGGCCAGGAGTTCGAGACTAGCCTGGCCAACATGGCCAAACCCCATCTTTACTAAAAATACCAAAAATTAGCTGGGCTTGGTGGTGCGTGCCTGTAATCCCAGCTACTCAGGAAGCTGAGGCAGGAGAATCACTTGAGCCCAGGGAGGTAGAGGTTGCAGTGAGCCGAGATTGTACCACTGCACTCCAGCCTGGGTGACAGAGTGAGGCTCTGTCTCCAAAAAAAAAAAAAAAAAAGAAAGAAAGAAAGAAAATGACCCCCTTAGTATAGGGCCTGTGGAACCCTTTTAAATAGCGTGCAAATTTTGTGTCTATATGCATTTTTCTAACCAGAGAGCCCAGAGCTTTTATCAGATGCTCATACCAGAAGTTGCATTTTGTACTGTTATTGCTTAACACATGTACTAATTTTCATTGCTTTACAGAGTTGCAACAAATGCTGCAAAAGTGCTAGAAGAAAAAGGTAATATAAAATGCTTAAGTGGTATAATTTCCCATCTTCAGATGGGAAAGTAAAAACAGTCAAGAGACTATTGTGTACACTTTGAACATATAGACACCAAAAGCATCCCAACTTTAGATGGTTTCTGGCAGTGCAACAGGCTTTCTTTTTGATCTCCCTTTAATATAAAACAAGAGCTGTTTTTTCAGATTCTGCAGTTAAAAATAAATATGAAGGAACAAGTTAAAATCACCTTGAAAGAGTCCTCCTTGGCCGATGTGGTGGCTCACGCCTGTAATCCCAGCACTTTGGGAGGCTGAGGTGGGTGGATCACGAGGTCAGGAGTTCGAGACCAGCCTGGCCAAGATGGTGAAACCCTGTCTCTACTAAAAATACAAAAATTTGCCAGGCACAGTGGTGGGTGCCTGTAATCCCAGCTACTTGGGAGGTTGAGGCAGGAGAATTGCTTGAACCCAGGAGGTGGAGGTTGCAGTAAGCCGAGATTGCCACTGCATTCTAGCCTGGGCGACAGAGCAAGAGTCTGTCTCAAAAAAAAAAAAAAAAAAGAGTCCTCCTAGTGATATCATATTAATTTAAATTACAGGATAAAAAAATACTGTATCATTAAATGATACACAGAACTGGCTTTCTGCAGCCCTTCTTAGTAATATTTATGTCAGGGTTTCTCAAAGTGATCTAACTGTTAGTATCAGAATCTTCGACCCTAGCTGATTTGAAGAATTAGAATCTCTGTGAACAGGGTCATTTAAAAAAAATTAAAATTAGAATTTACTCCTTATATAGAGATGCTATATAAATGCAAATATTCATTACCCTAATGCCATACAATTTAAACATTTACATTACAATTATCTGCTTTTGTGTGTGTGTGTTTTGCTCATCTTTGTATGGCTATTTTTGATTAAGGGCTACACATGGCTTATGGAAAATCATAGAAATGATTTGAGGTTTGAACTGATATTATCTTCTTCCAGATATAATTTACTCTTCTCCTGAAAGGCAGTTATGGTAGGGACAGATCACCTTAATCTAATTAGAGATTGAGCTGATCTGAAGCTGGTCTTCAGTCTTTATGATGGCTGGCCTATTTCTAGTTCACATTACTCCTAGACTGTAGTTCTTTGAGATCACAACCAAAAGCCTGAGAAATGTACTAGGGTCCTCTTTTTTGTCAGATCCTGAACTCTAATTTCTGTCATTTGGATTAGGTCAGAATGCTGAAAGTTTTGTCTCGTTTCTGATTCTCTCAGCCACCACTATTGCTTTCAACTGAGTTGAGGGAAAAGGCAGCTCAAACTCTCTGGACTTCTCTCTTTTGGTATTGGTTCTGTAGTTTCTCACTGACCACTAGCCCCCATATCCTTTCAAACATATATGTATACATACCTTAACCAACCACATCTTTTCTAATTGTTCTTAGAGTCAGTGTTGACCAAAACAACCTAGTCAGCCTCTGGCACATTCTTAGCAACGGACTGCATGGACTGCAGAAAACCGTCTTCCTGTAGTACTTTGCTTTCTTTCTTTTTTTTTTTTTTGTGGCGGAGTCTTGCTCTGTCGCCAGGCTGGAGTGCAGTGGCGCAATCTCGGCTCACTGCAACCTCTGCCTCCCGGGTTCAAGCGATTCTTCTGCCTCAGCCTCTCGAGTAGCTGGGACTACAGGCGTGCACCACCATGCCTGGCTGATTTTTGTATTTTTAGTAGAGATGGGGTTTCACCATGTTGGCCAGGATGGTCTCCATCTCCTGACCTCGTGATCCGCCTGCCGTGGCCTCCCAAAATGCTAGTATTACAGGTGTGAGCCACCGTGCCTGGCCTTGCTTTCTTGTTGTCCAAGCCATGATGACCTGGTTGTGTTCTTAGAAGAAGGTAGTGGTTTTCAGTTATCATCATGTGCACAGAAACCTCTTGGGGAGGGGAGGGTGGAAGCGTGTTAAAATGCACATTCTCAGCCCTCACCCTGGAGAATCTGACTCATAAATATGAGGTGGGGTCCAGGAATTTGCATTATTAATAACCTTCACAAATAATTTTGATGCACGTAGCTCATGTACAAGATCTTGAATACCCCTTATCTAGGAAAGATGGTATTTGAATAGGGGAGTTACTGATTTCTTTCTTTCTTTCTTTCATTTCAAGGATGCCCAGTTGATGCTATTGTCTTGGAAGCTCCATTTACCAACATGTGGGTTGCAAGTATCAATTATCCCTTGTTAAAGGTGAGACTCTGATTCATCTTTACAAGGGATCAAAGTAGGCTATTTTGATACAGTGTAGGCTATTTCTACACATGTATGTTTATTAACAGTCTTCCTTTTCTTAAGTAGTTTTATATGTTTTTAAGTTATTCTAATCTGAGACAGTTTATTAACCAGTTACCACAAAAGGGAACCCATGGCTGTCGGATTTGATATTTCCTTCACTTTCTTCTAAGGATATCTGTTTTATAATTTTGTAGTAGATAGACTTGCCTTAAGTTTATTATTTATTTTTATTTTCTTCTTAAAAGTGAAAACAAACGTTTCATACATCATTTTTGAGCCCTATGAATGTCATTTGAATATCTTTCATAACTTTATCGTAAGAAAGTTTCTAGAGAATTTAAGAAAGCTGCCAAATACTTTTACACAGTATGCCAGATGAAGACAAACTTTCTAAGAAAATAAGTACAAAGGCCGGGAGTGGTGGCTCCCACCTATAATCCCAGCACTTGGGGAGGCTGAGGTGGCTGGATCACAAGGTCAAGAGATCGAGACCATCCTGGCCAACATGGTGAAACCCCGTCTCTACTAAAAATACAAAAATTAGCTGGGTGTGGCGGCACGCACCTGTAGTCCCAGCTACTCAGGAGGCTGAGGCAGGAGAGTCGCTTGAACCCGGGAGGCAGAGGTTGCAGTGAGCTGAGATCACGCCACTACACTCCAGCCTGGCGACAGAGTGAGACTTCGTCTCAAAGAAAGAAAAAAAAATCTATTGTGTAGACTATCCTAACTTTATAATCTTATTCTATACCTAATGCTCAATTGTTTAGAGTTGTACGTACGTGTAAACGTTAGCAAATGAGAGGTGGGGAGAGAGAGAGAGCGAAAGTCTTAGAGGGATACATGGCCTCAATTTAATAATTATTCTACATTGTTGTTTCATACTGTAAGACATCTTGGAGTATGTTACTCTAACAACTTTAGGAATTTTTTTGTACAATAAGCCATCATAGATAGAATTCCATCATAGACAGAATTTCTGAAACTTACTTAACTATTTTCAGGGAAAAGTAGCTCACCACTTTCTAGGACAGCGAGTTCACATAATCACATACTCTTGAAAATGGCTTTAATATCTAAGTTTAACTAAATATAGGAATCCCCTCTACACTGCAAAATACTGAATGCTGAGTAATTTCAGATATAATAAATATTTTCAATTGGTTCTAGAAACTGAACATTCATTTTAATATAATATAACCATTAATTGCATATCTATCATATTACTCTAAGTCATTACTAATAAATTCATTAAATTGTAGGTATGTAACATAAGTCAAATACAATCTTTTTATTTAGTTTGTTTTTAAAAATGTGTTAATGTTGAAATTTAGCGAAATAAGGAAAATACATGATTTAATGAGCAATTATAAACTGAACACCCATGTAACTATTACCTACGTCAAGAAATGAGCATCACCCACACTCTAGAAGTCTTCTGTATATTACTTCCCAATCCAGTAAGCCTTATTTTAGATGTAATCCTTAGTCCTTAGATGGAATTCTTAGATGAATTTTACGGTAATCATGTCTATGCATTTATTTATAGAGTTACCACCTGTACATGCATCTCTGAGCAATATTGTTTTGTCTGTGAACTTTATATGAAAGTAAAATTATATAGAATATATTTTATTTTTTTCACCCAACATTATATTTGTGGGATTGTATTCATGATGTGCATAGTATAGCTGTAGGTTGGTTATTTTCATTGCCATATACTATTCCATTGTATGTACATACCAAAATTTATTGATCTATTGTGTTGTTTATTATATTTGTATTACTTTCAGTTTGGGGAAATTAACAATATTGTTGTTATGAATGTTCTTGAACCTGTATTCTGTAAACATGTACAAGAATTTCACCGGGGTATACCCTAGGAGTAGAATTGTGGGGTAATAAGGTATCCATATGGCCAGCTTTAATCATTACAGTGCAAGTTTTCCTAAATGACTTTACCACTTTACTCTCTCACCAATCCTGTATGAGAGCTCCAGTTGCTTCAAATCCTTGCCCTCATATTGATATATCAATATGGTTGTAATTTGCATTTCCCTTATAACCAGTGAGGTTGGGCAACTTTTAATATGTTTATTAGCCATTTGGATATCATCTTTTGTGAGGTACTGGTTCATGTCTTTTGCCCATTTTTCAGGTAGATTTTATTTCTTTTTATTTGTTGAATTTCTTCATAGATGCTGGATATGAGTCATTAGAACATTATTTTTATTGTAAATATATTGTATTATTTTGTTTTGTCTTTTCACTTTCTTAATGATATGTCATGATAAAGAGACGTTTCTTTTTTTTTTGAGGTAGAGTCTGGCTCTGTCGTCCAGGCTGGAGTGCAGTGGCGTGATATCGGCTCACTGCAAGCTCCGCTTCCCGGGTTCACGCCATTCTCCTGCCTCAGCCTCCCGAGTAGCTGGGACTACAGGCGCCCGCCACCATGCCTGGCTAATTTTTCTGTGTTTTTAGTAGAGACGGGGTTTCACCGTGTTAGGCAGGATGATCTCAATCTCCTGACCTCGTGATCCGCCCACCTCGGTCTCCCAAAGTGCCGGGATTACAGGCGTGAGCCACCGCGCCCAGCTGATAAAGAGAGATTTCTAAATTTAATGTGGACCAATTTACCAATATTTTTCTTTATGGTAACTTTTATGTCATTTATAATAAAACTCTGCTTACCCAAAGATTATCAAGATACTCTTCTATGTTGTCTTCTGGAAACTCTATTTTACCTTTTACATGTAAAGTTATAATCCACAGGTTTAGATTTTTGTATGGAGGCAGGGGTCCACATGAGTGTCTAATTGGTCTAGAGTCATTTATTAAATGGACCTTCCCCACCACTATGCAGTGCTAATGTTTGCATATATCAGTGTCTATACATATAGAGAGAGGTCTGGTGGTAGGTTCTCATTTCTCTCCATTGTCTATCTGTCAATCTTAATATACTATGGTCTTTTAATTACTATAGCTTTATAATATGTCTTGATATCTGGTTGTATAAGTTCCTCAGCTTTGTCTTCTTATTCAGGATTGTCTTGGCTATTCTTAACGCTTTGCATTTCGGTATACATTTTGAAATACACTTGTCATGTTCTACAGAAAACTTGCTGGGACTCTGGGATTGCATTGGATCTATTTGGGGGACTTGAGATAAATTTGGGGGACTTGGTATCTTTCTAACATTGAGTCTTCAAATTCATGAGTATTGTGTTTTATTTATTATTTATTTATTTAATTTTACATTTATTTCTCATTTAGGTTTTGTTTAGTTTCAGTTTTAGGTCATATTCTCCTAGAAGCAAAGCCTGAGACAGAGATTTGGTGTGTTTGATTTATTGAGGAAATGTTCTTCAGGAAAAAATCCAAAAGGGAATGAGGGTAGTAGCACTGGAAAGGGGGAAGAGCAGAACAAGGACGTGACCTCAGGCAAAGTCTAGCTTTGGCCTGATTCAGGCGGGGTGCTAAGCTTTGAAGCAAAGGGCCTGTTGTTTCTGCCCTCCGCTAAGGTAGGCAGTGGAGGAGGGGCGGGAGGATGGCGTAACCTCTTAGGAGTGATGGCTTCTGTCATCTAAGAATAAGGAGAAGCAGCCAACACTCACAGCAGAAGTTAATTAATTTTGTCAGTCTTTTCAAAGAACCAGCTTTGACTTTATCTTCTGTGTTATATGGTTTCTATATTTTTAATTTCTGGTTTTACCTGTATTATTCCCTTTCTCATATGTTCTTTGGATTTAAGTTGTTATTTAAAAATTTCTTTAGATAGTACTTAATACCATCTAATAATTTATTTTTACTATTTTTTTCTAATTTATGTACTAAGGCATACTTCACCTAAACCACACTTCAGCCGCAACCAAATTTTGAAGTGTGTTCTAATTATCATTTAGTTCAAAATATTTTATAATATTATTGTGATTTCCTCCTTGACTATATGGATTATTTAGAAGTATGATTCATAACTTCTATGCATTTGGGCATTTGATTATGATTTTTATTGATTTTTACCTTAAATCTCTCAAGATCCAAGAATATACTGTGTATGATTTTAGTCTTTTGAAATTTGTTGAGACTCACTTTGTGTACCAATGTATGGTCAATTTTGGCAAATTTTCCATATGCTTGAAAAGAATGTGTTCTGCTGTTTTTCATGCAGTGTTCTATGTACGTCGATTGAATCGGGATTATTAACCATGCTTAAATTTGTCAGGCCTCTGAGCCCAAGCCAAGCCATCGCATCCCCTGTGACTTGCAGGTATCTGCCCAGATGGCCTGAAGTAACTGAAGAATCACAAAAGAAGTGAATATGCCCTGCCCCACCTTAACTGATGACATTCCACCACAAAAGAAGTATAAATGGCCGGTCCTTGCCTTAAGTGATGACACTACCTTGTGAAAGTCCTTTTCCTGGCTCATCCTGGCTCAGAAGCTCCCCCACTGAGCACCTTGTGACCCCCACCCCTGCCCACCAGAGAACAACCCCCTTTGACTGTAATTTTCCATTACCTTCCCAAATCCTATAAAACAGCCCCACCCCTATCTCCCTTGGCTGACTCTCTTTTCGGACTCAGCCCACCTGCACCCAGGTGAAATAAACAGCCATGTTGCTCACACAAAGCCTGTTTGGTGGTCTCTTCACACGGACGCGCATGAAATTTGGTGCCGTGACTCGGATCGGGGGACCTCCCTTGGGAGATCAATCCCCCATCCTCCTGCTCTTTGCTCCATGAGAAAAATCCACCTATGACCTTAGGTCCTCAGACCGACCAGCCCAAGAAACATCTCACCAATTTCAAATCCGGTAAGCGGCCTCTTTTTACTCTCTTCTCCAACCTCCCTCACTATCCCTCAACCTCTTTCTCCTTTCAATCTTGGCACCACACTTCAATCTCTCCCTTCTCTTAATTTCAATTCCTTTCATTTTCTGGTAGAGACAAAGGAGACACGTTTTATCCGTGGACCCAAAACTCCGGCGCTGGCCACAGACTGGGAAGGCAGCCTTCCCTTGGTGTTTAATCATTGCAGGGACACCTCTCTGATTATTCACTCACGTTTCAAGGGTGTCAGACCACGCAGGGACGCCTGCCTTGGTCCTTCACCCTTAGCGGCAAGTCCCGCTTTTCTGGGGAAGGGGCAAGTACCCCAACCCCTTCTCTCCTTGTCTCTACCCCTTCTCTGCTCTTCTGGGGGAGGGGCAAGTACCCCTCAACCCCTTCTCCTTCATCCTTAGTGGCAAGTCCCGCTTTCCTGGGGCAGGGGCAAGTACCCCTCAACCCCTTCTCCTTCACCCTTAGCGGCAAGTCCCGCTTTCCTAGGGGGCAAAAAACCCCCAATCGCTTATTTCTGCACCCTGACCTCTTATCTCTGTGCCCTAATCCCTTATTTCCGTGCCCCAACCCCTTCTCTGCTTTTCTGGAGGGCAAGAACCCCCCCACCCCTTCTCCATGTCTCTACTCTTTTCTCTGGGCTTGCCTCCTTCACTATGGGCAAGCTTCCACCTTCCATTCCTCCTTCTTCTCCCTTAGCCTGTGTTCTCAAAAACTTAAAACCTCTTCAACTCACACCTGACCTAAAATCTAAATGACTTATTTTCTTCTGCAATGCCGCTTGACCCCAATACAAACCGACAGTAGTTCCAAATAGCCAGAAAATGGCACTTTGAATTTTTCCATCCTGCAAGATCTAAATAATTCTTGTTGTAAAATAGGCAAACGGTCTGAGGTGCCTGACGTCCAGGCATTCTTTTACACATCAGTCCCTTCCTAGTCTCTGTGCCCAGTGCAACTCGTCCCAAATCTTCCTTCTTTCCCTCCCGCCTGTCCCCCCAGTCCCAACCCCAAGCGTCGCTGAGTCTTTCTAATCTTCCTTTTCTACAGACCCGTCTGACCTCTCCCCTCCTCGCCAGGCCGAGCTAGGCCTCAATTCTTCCTCAGCCTCTGCTCCTCCACCCTATAATCTTTTTATCGCCTCCCCTCCTCACACCTGGTCCTGCTTACAGTTTCGTTCCGTGACTAGCCCTCCCCCACCTGCCCAGCAATTTACTCTTAAAAAGGTGGCTGGAGCTAAAGGCATAGTCAAGGTTAATGCTCCTTTTTCTTTATCCCAAATCAGATAGCATTTAGGCTCTTTTTCATCAAATATAAAAATCCAGCCCAGTTCATGACGTGTTTGGCAGCAACCCTGAGACACTTTACAGCCCTAGACCCTAAAAGGTCAAAAGGCCATCTTATTCTCAAAATACATTTTATTAGCCAATCTGCTCCCGACATTAAATAAAACTCCAAAAATTAGATTCCGGCCCTCAAACCCCACAACAGGATTTAATTAACCTCGCCTTCAAGGTGTACAATAATAGAAAAAAGTTGCAATTCCTTGCCTCCACTGTGAGACAAACCCCAGCCACATCTCCAGCACACAAGAACTTCCAAACGCCTGAACCGCAGCAGCCAGGCGTTCCTCCAGAACCTCCTCCCACAGGAGCTTGCTACACGTGCCGGAAATCTGGCCACTGGGCCAAGGAATGCCCGCAGCCCGGGATTCCTCCTAAGCCGCGTCCCATCTCTCTGGGACCCCACTGAAAATCGGACTGTTCAACTCACCTGGCAGCCACTCCCAGAGCCCCTGGAACTCTGGCCCAAGGCTCTCTGACTGACTCCTTCCCAGATCTTCTCGGCTTAGCGGCTGAAGACTGACACTGCCCGATCGCCTCGGAAGCCCCCTAGACCATCACAGACGCCGAGCTTCCGGTAACTCTCACAGTGCAAGGTAGGCCCGTCCCCTTCTTAATCAATACGGAGGCTACTCACTCCCCATTACCTTCTTTTCAAGGGCCTGTTTCCCTTGCCTCCATAACTGTTGTGGGTATTGACGGTCAGGCTTCTAAACCTCTTAAAACTCCCCAACTCTGGTGCCAACTTAGACAATACTCTTTTAAGCACTCCTTTTTAGTTATCCCCACCTGCCCAGTTCCCGTATTAGGCTGAGACACTTTAACTAAATTATCTGCTTCCCTGACTATTCCTGGACTACAGCTATATCTCATTGCCGCCCTTCTTCCCAATCCAAAGCCTCCTTTGCGTCCTCCTCTTGTATCCCCCGACCTTAACCCACAAGTATAAGATACCTCTACTCCCTCCTTGGTGACCGATCATGCACCCCTTACCATCTCATTAAAACCTAATCACCCTTACCCCACTCAACGCCAATATCCCGTCCTGCAGCATGCTTTAAAAAGATTAAAGCCTGTTATCACTCACCTGCTACAGCATGGCCTTTTAAAGCCTATAAACTCTCCTTACAATTCCCCCGTTTTACCTGTCAGCCCTGAGAAACATCGCCCATTCTCCCTCCATACCACCCCCCAAAAATTTTCACCGCTCCAACACTTCAACACTATTTTGTTTTATTTTTCTTATTAATATAAGAAGGCAGGAATGTCAGGCCTCTGAGCCCAAGCCAAGCCATCGCATCCCCTGTGACTTGCACATATACGCCCAGATGGCCTGAAGTAACTGAAGAATCACAAAAGAAGTGAAAAGGCCCTGCCCTGCCTTAACTGATGACATTCCACCATTGTGATTTGTTCCTGCCCCACCTTAACTGAGTGATTAACCCTGTGAATTTCCTTCTCCTGGCTCAGAAGCTGCCCCACCTTAACTGAGTGATTAACCCTGCGAATTTCCTTCTCCTGGCTCAGAAGCTCCCCCACTGAGCACCTTGTGACCCCCGCCCCTGCCCACCAGAGAGCAACCCCCTTTGACTGTAATTTTCCATTACCTTCCCAAATCCTATAAAACGGCCCCACCCCTATCTCCCTTGGCTGACTCTCTTTGCGGACTCAGCCCGCCTGCACCCAGGTGAAATAAACAGCCATGTTGCTCACACAAAGCCTGTTTGGTGGTCTCTTCACACAGACGCGCATGAAAAAATTTTGTCTATTGTTACTGGTTTTTTGGACTGCTTGCTTTTTCAGTTACTCAAAGAGGATTATTAAAGTACCTCATCATGATTGTGGAATGGTTTATTTCTATTTTAGTACTGTTAATTTTTGTTTTAGTTTTTTTGAGGTTATGTTGTTAGGTACATAAGCCTAATAATATTATGATTTAGTTTAGTTTTTTTTTTTTTTTTTTGAGATGGAGTTTCACTCTTGTCACCCAGACTGGAGTGCAGTGGCGTGATCTCAGCTCATGGCAACCTCTGCCTCCTGAGTTCAAGCTATTCTCCTGCCCCACCCTCCCAAGTAGCTGGGATTACAGGCATGTGCCAACACACCTGGTTAATTTTTTGCATTTTTAGTAGAGACAGGGTTTTACCATGTTGATCAGGCTAGTCTTAAACTCTTGACCTCAGGTGATCCACCTGCCTCAGCCTCCCAAACTGCTGGGATTACAGGCATGAGCCACCATTCCCAGCCTATGATTTAGTTTTCATATCTTCCAGGTGGATTTATCATTTTCATCATAAAATGTCCACCTTTTTTGTGATCAATATTGCTTCTTGACTTAAAGTCAACTTTGTCCAATATTTGTATATCTTTGTTTTGATTAGTGTTTGCATGGTATAGGTTTTTCTATCACTTGATCTCAACAGGACATAAATAGGAGGTATAAAGTTAACAGGGATTTCTACGGGTCTCTTTGGAATCAGTTTTGTTACTCAGAATTGAAAGGCAGCATGATGTTGTGGAAAAGAGTATGGGCTGTGGAGCCACTCAGACTTGGGTTCAAATCTGTCCTTGGCCACATACCCTTTGTGACCTTGGTAAATTGTTTCTCCCTAAGTTTTCCCATTTTTTTACCAAGGGGTTGGCGAAGACCACTGCACAGGGTTGTTGTGAAGACTGAATTAAGTAAGATAATGTATGTAAAGTACCCAGCTGCTAGTAAGCACTAGACAAATACTTGTTCCTTTCCGTCCCTCTTTCTGTTACAAATTAGGCTAAAGTGTTATGTATGGCAGGAAAAGGCAGGGAGAATTCAAGGCAGGGAGAATTACTGAAGAGAGAGGCTTTGCTCACAGGTGTGGCCAATGAAGACTTCAGAGCCTATTGGACCTAAGCTTCTTTCTTGAAGGTGAGGGAAAGCAGTTAGGAAACAGAGCGAGGAACAGGTGAATGTTAACTCAGACCCCTGGCAGGAATGGGGCTGTTCTACGTTATAAACTGCCTGAGAGTTAATAGAGGACTTCCACACAAGTCTTTCGCACTCGTTATTCTTTTAAATCCTCACAGCAACTCTCTGAGTTTGTCATCATTGCTTCCACTTAGAGATGAGAGAAATGGAGACCTATAGGTTTGCCTAATTGTCACATATCTTATAAGAAGAAGAAATGAGACTCAAACCTACATCTTCTAATTGCAGGCAGATAGACTGGAGGTGAGCAGGGTTTGGAATGAAAGATTGTGGCCAGATGTGCATGGGCTTGCTGTCTAGTTGTTGTTTTCAGTAGATAGTGTGGCATGCCCAAAGCTTCGTAACAGCAGATTTAATATAACTGGTATTTTAAGGATGTTTATCTGGTGGTGTTACAGAAGAGAGAGGAAGGTAGGAAGACCAATTAGGAGAGCCCATTGCCATGGTCTAGGCTGGAGGGGAAGGTATGACCTGTGAGTCTCAAAGGGCACTCCTGGCTGGAAGGGAATGAGGAATAATGAGAGTAGATTGACCGGGGCTTGCTTTCTTCCTACTCTTTCAGAATTTGAGATGAATTGCTGAAGGACTTCTCTTACTGAATTCTCCTCAGGGGAGTCTTAATTCCAGGGGTGAGAGTACCAGAAGACAAAAGAGAAAACAAAACAAGAAATCTTGCCCTTAGCATGGAAGAGGAGGGAGAAGAAAGAGAAGGAAAGGCTGTGTCAGGAAGTCCAGAGCACACCTGAATGCAGATCAGTTGCTATGAGACCAGGCCAAAAAGTTCAGGCCAGACAAATCCCACAGAACCAAGGAGATTCCAGCTGGGCACGGTGGCTGGCGCCTGTAATCCCAGCACTTTGGGAGGCCGAGACGGGTGGATCACCTGAGGTCAGGAGTTCAAGACCAGCCTGGCCAACATGGCGAGACCCTGTCTCTACTAAAAATACAAAAATTAGCTGGGCATGGTGGCAGGTGCCTGTAATCCCAGCTACTCGGGAGGTTGAGGCAGGAAAATCACTTGAACCCGGGAGGCGGAGGTGCGGTGAACCGAGATCGTGCCACTGCACTCCAGCCTGGCCAACAAGAATGACACTCCGTCTCAAAAAAACAAAACAAAATAAAACCAAAAACCAAGGAGATTCCTGGGGGAATAGCAGGCCTAAGCCAGAACTATGAAGCAGCAATTTGTATTTAGTGGCACTGGCTTACCTATTTTATACCCATTTCCTTACCACATTCCCTAAAATGACATCAATTACTTTCTAAAATCAGAAAAATTGTATTTAAGTTTATTCTATTTAGAAAGTCTCTATTCTATTATTACAGTTCATAGTAGGAGACTATTAACAAATGACATTATAGCCATGGGGCAAGTTTTAATTTCTTTTTCTTTTTAAAAAATTGTGAAGCAGAAGTTTGTATTTATTGGGTCCAACCTCCCTATTCTGTGCCTATTTCCTTCTCTTGGCCATGTCCCATTTACTACCCCCTCTACCCCTCCTCTCTCAGGCACAACACGAAAATGTATAATACTTTGCTTATTTTTCCTCTTTGCAAATTTATTGCAAAGATTTGTAATCCCAGCACTTTGGGAGGCTGAGGCAGGCGGATCATTTGAGGTCAGAGTTCGAGACCAGCCTAGCCAACATGGCGAAACACCATCTCTACTAAAAATACAAAATTACCTGGGCGTGGTGATGCATGCCTGTAGTCCCAGCTACTTGGGTGGCTGAGGCAGGAGAATTGCTTGAACCCAGGAGGCAGACGTTGCAGTGAGCCAAGATTGCACCACTGCACTCCAGCCTAGGCAACAGAGTGAGACTCTGTCTAAAAAAAAAAAAAAGAAAAAAAAAATTTAAATCTGGGCCAGGCACTGTGGCTCATGCCTGTAATCCCAGCCCTTTGGGTGGTCAAGGCCAGAAGATGGCTTTGAGCCCAGGAGTTCAAGACCAGTCTAGGAAACATGGTGAAACCCCTTCTGTACAAAAAAATTAGTTGGGTGTGGTGGCACACCCCTGTAGTCCCAGCTACTATGGAGGCTGAGGAGGGAGGACTGCTTGAGCCCAGGAGTTTGAGCGCTGCAGTGAGCCATGAGCATGCCACTGCACCCACTCCCAGTCTAGGCAACAGACTGAGACCCTGTCTCAAAATAAACAAACAAATAAATAAAATAAGTAATATCTGAAATTCAATCATACTAAATGAAAATGACAGATAATAACAAAGTGTACGCCAGGGATATTTGCACAATAGACTCATTTTGTCTTTAGCAAATATTTATGAAGTGTCTATTATGTACCAGGAACTTTTCTAGTTTTTGAGGACACCACAGGGAATAAGAAAGTTGTGGTCCATTTACCTACGAAGTTCATATTGTTGATGGAGAAACAGATAGAAGATAAATACATTAAAAAAGAAATCCAATAGTGAGAAGTTCTGTGAAAGCACCAAAATAATGTGATGGAGAATGACTGGGTGGTGGGGGCAAGGTTTGGTAGCTGGTTATGGAAAACAGCTCCGAAGAAATAGCATCTGAGCTGAGACCTGCCTGAGATGAAGCCAGCTGATGGGAAAATATAGAGATCTCAGGCTGGGGTAAAAGTAAAGGCAAGCGCCTTGAGGTGGGATCAGGCCTGACATGTTCCAGAAGCAGAAGGCAGCAGAGCCAGGAGGTGGACAGGAAGGTGCTTAGTGATAGGAGATGAGGCTGGAGAGGGAGGCAGGAAGCCGCCGGATTCTTCAGGGCCTTGGAGGCCAAGGTGACATGTTCAGGTTTAATCCAATTGCCTTTGGAGGGTGTTAAGCGAAAGAGTGCTACGATCTGATTTGCACGTTAAAATAATCATTCTGGTTTTCCTGTGGGAACTGGATTATGGAAGGGTGAAGGCAGAATCGGGGAGCCACTTGGAATTGCAGCTTAGTATAAGCAAGAGATGAAGGGTGGCTTAGGCTAAGTGATAGTGGGGATGGGGAGAAATGAATGGGTTTAGGATATAGTTTTGGAGGCAGGATTCAAAGTTTGTGAGAAAGGTGCAATATTGCTCAGGATTTTTATCCTTTACTCCTTATTTCCAGATAAAACGGATATTTCTAGGGCATATAAACTAACTTACATGTTGACTATGTGAGTCAAAACATTGTAAAAGTGGATTTAGCTAGCATTCTATTTCTTGGATTTTGCTATTAAACAACAAATTTAGTATGTCTAGAGTGAGCATTGTTATATCTGGAATCCTGTGGTCATTGTTAAAAACTAAAATGTCTTTTAAGGCATTGGCATATTAAATCATATTCAAAAGTTTGTAATGTTCAAATTCTCTAAAATCAATTTTCTATGTATTGTATATTTTCATCAGAATTTTTGACTAATCAGAATATTCTGTCCACCAACTAAACCAGTTATGTTCACAATAGAAGCAATTTTAGGTTTTGCATACCACTGCTTCTACATGGAGAAGTAAGAGTTAGTTGTGCCATTTTTAGGAAGTGAAAACAAAATGTTAACAATGATGGTCTATGATGGCAGAATTATGTGTGCTTTGTTTCTTCTACATTCCTTTCTTTTTTTCCAAATTCCCGACGTGCATTACTTTTTAAATCGTAGAAGTTTTTTGTGAAGTTTACCTTACTTAGAGAAGCACTACTCTCTGTGTTACCCTGGTTCATAGTGAAAGACTATATAACAGATGGCATAGCTATGGGGCAAATATTAATTTTTTTTTCTTTTTTAAAAATAGATTTACCGGAACATTCCAGGATTTTTACGTACACTTATGGATGCCCTGAGAAAAGACAAAATAATCTTTCCTAATGATGAAAAGTAAGTTAATGATGAAAAGACATGCATTATTACTGTATCTAAAGGATTCTAGGGGCAACTATCATGTGACTTACTGGATGGTGACATGAGACATCCTGAATATCATTCTTATTCTTAGAATATTGTTCTGCGCTTCTTAGATGGGCACTAAGATTTGGGTAAAGTATCTATGAATTTTTAGTATTTGCTATTTTCCTCATGTCTAATTCAATGACTTCACCAATTCAGTACTCTCTCTGAATTCATAAACGAAGTTGTATATCTATAGCCTATCAAGACCTTTTAAAGGGCTTGGTAGTGTTAGCGTATGCCTATAATCCTAGCACTTTGGGAGGCTGAAGTGAGAGGATAGCTTGAGCCCAGAAGTTTGAAACCAGCCCGGGCAACACAGGGAGACACCATCTCTACCAAAAAATTTTAAAATTAGCCAGGCGTGGGGGCACGTGCCTGTCATCCCAACTACACGTGAGGCTGAAGTAGGAGGATCACTTGAGCCTGGGAGGTTGAGGTTGCAGTCAACTGTGATTGTGCCACTGCACTCCAGCCTGTGTGACAGAGTGACATCCTGTAAAACAAACAAACAAACAAAAAACCAGCCTAACATTTCTTGAGGCATCTCTGACTTCTAGGCCCTTTTCCCCATATAATGAAAACTCGTCTACCATCCACCTTACTAATGTGACAGCAAATCCAATGACTAGAATTTATCAAGTTAGCCTGTTACAGTTAGAGAATTTAAGAATGCTTCCAAATAGACAGTTGTCAATATATTTTTCTATGTCAACACACTTGAGAAAATCCAACATTCTCAGGGGTGTCAGTGAGTCACTGTGGCAGAGATGGATGGGTATCAGAATTTTGGGGGGACAGGGAAGCATTGCTTGAGAAAGTAACTAGAGTGGGAGACAAGACATTCTTCATGCCATAGCCCTTTTGAATTAGCAAACTAGGGGGTTGACCAGGAAGCTAATCAGACCTGTTAACTGCACGTCCATCCTCTACATTTATGGAGAAAAGTAAACAAATTGCTACAAAGAGGTCTCTGATTCTGTCATAGTTTTTGTTTTATTGAGGTTTTGAGTTTTGTTTTCTTTTTTAGTCTTTTAATAAAATATTT
Source organism: Homo sapiens (assembly GCF_000001405.40). Lineage (NCBI taxonomy): Eukaryota > Metazoa > Chordata > Mammalia > Primates > Hominidae > Homo > Homo sapiens. Next base: position 50,903,029 of record NC_000014.9, read on the forward strand.
CAGATGTTACAAAATAGGTGGAGTAAAGAAGAATATAAGGTTCTTCTAACACTGTACAAAATCAGTGTTTCAGTGTTTTTTGTTTTTTTTTTTTAGTATTTCCAAAAATCATGCAGAAGTAAATTAATTAAACAGCCAGTTAAATTGCATGAGTAAATGGGAGAGAGGGAAACTTGCATGGAGAAAAAAAGCTACTATGTGAAATTTTTAAATGTATGATATTGTTATTCCTTGGAAGGAAGGAAAGAAATTTCTTGTAATTTAGACAGGCCTCATGTTTTGCTAAAGCTTTAACTTAGAAGAGGAGAAATCTCAATGTATCATTCTTTAACTGAATGCTTTTCTTCTACTTGTCCCTAGTGTTAAATTCCTTTCTTCTCCTCTTCTCATCTTACATGGAGAGGATGACAGGACAGTGCCTTTGGAGTATGGGAAAAAGGTAAACTAAGGGCTCAATGCTGACTGAAATATACTATACTCATTTCACCATTTTTTTCATTCAGCCAAACTTTGATTAGAGCCGAAAGGAGGGTCTCTGACATTATAGGAGATTCTCTACACCCCTAAATAGCCTCTATAGGTTTATAAAATGGGTATCAGCATCCTTGGCTACTTAGCTCAAAGGAGTGTTTGTGGCAGAGCCTGGCTCCTCATCTGGATTGTGTGGAGCTGCAAGTGTAGGGTATCCCAGGCTGCTGTGGGAACCTCCATGTCGTCTCTACTGTAGTGGCTCTAAAATGGAAGACGCAGACTTTTTCCTTTTAAACAAACTTCTACTAGAGTGGGTCCATAACAATTCCTTGGCATTTTGCAGGGAGGTTCAAGCAGGGAAGGATGAGGTTTTATCAGTATTCTATATTAGCTGAGCAGCATTCAGATCTTTAGCTGTAGAGACAGGCAACTGGGACATGGAGAGTTTTCTGTCTCTGACTTAATGGAACAAACTCCCCAAGTTAGCTGTTTCTGTACACTTTTAGGGAAATTGGACTAGAAAAATCTACAGCTTTGAATGGCCATCCTTTGAGTCTCTTTCTGTCGCTTGCAGCTCTATGAAATTGCACGCAATGCATACAGGAACAAAGAGAGGGTCAAGATGGTTATCTTTCCTCCTGGCTTCCAACACAACCTGCTTTGTAAAAGCCCCACACTGTTAATAACCGTGAGGTAAGAGTTGCTTTGCTAAATGTATGTTGCCCTTCAAGGCAATTAGGGCTGCTCTGGCTTACTTAGGCCACAACATGAAAATGTATAATATTTTGCTTATTTAGGTAGGGAAAGGGTGTGAGCTGATCTGGGTCCTTTTTCTACAGAGATTTCCTGAGCAAGCAGTGGTCATGAGTCTGGGAGGAGTGGAAATCTTCAATGAAGACTTGGCCCAAACACCACCTGTGATGTATATTGTTCTAATGTAAAATTGTACTGGGCTGGTCGGATGAGCTGAGGCCATTGACTTCTCTACAAATCACTTGCCATTTTAACAACAGAAAGTACGAATGTTAGGCAGTATGGAATGTTCTTATTTAGCTTATCATAATCTACTTTGTAAAACATGCTGAAACCTCACTGTGGAGAACCAGAATTTGGTAAAATCTAGATCCTATCTAAAAATATGTAGTTATTAAACATTCTGTGGATATTTGTGAATAAGGTAGTTGCTATGGTCCGAATATCTGGGCCTGCCCCCCCAAATTATGCTGAAACCTAATCACCAGTGTGATGGTAATAGGAGGTGGGACTGAGCTCTGATGAATGAGATTAGTGCCCTTATAAATTATGACCAAAAGAGCTCTTCACTCCTCCTACCATTTGAGGATACAGTGAGAAGCCTTCATCTATGAACCACAAAGTAGCCCTCATCAGACACTGAATCAGCCAGTGCCTTGCTCTTGGACTTCCCAGCCCCCAGAACTGTGAGAAATAAATTTCTGTTGTTTATAAGCTACCCAGTTTATGCCATTTTGTTTTAGTGGCCCACAGGGACTAAGACATTGGTCTTTGGTTTGGACTCAGATAGCAGTGTAAGAAAGTTGCTTCTACATAGTTAAGTTTTTTGTATTTTAGTTTAGTTCATTTAAATGGCATTTGAAAGTTCTAAGCAGTTTTCTAATTTTATGACTAGTTTTGGGGTAAATCCTAGCAGTAGCAAAGCATCACTAGATTTGCTATAAAATAAGTTTTGGCACTCATGTAGCCCTTGGAAATTGACACTTTATTTTTAAGCTCTATTACATATAATTTCCCTCCCCATTCCCAGAGATACTCAACTATTATAGATTATTAGCTAACAAAACAAAAACCAGTGAATGTTGTAAAAATGTTCAAGTTCAGTAAGAAGCTATGTTTTCTAGAGACAATTCTAGAGTTCAATTTCCATTGACTTTGTTAGATTCATTGGATAGAGAAATCTTTAGATCTGAAGGTTCCACGTTCCAGATGTTTTGGGCATATTCTTTAATTGTTCGGTCACTGGAGAATTTCCCCGAGGCAGCTATGTTTTTGAGTACCATTGTGTTCCAGGCCTTTGGATTCTGTAAACAACATATGCATATACAGCCCAGAGTCCCAGTGCGCAGTGAGCTTTATAATAAACATCAGCCAAGCACATCCAAACACATTTCATGAGGGAAAATGACAGGAATAAATTATAGTAAATTACAAATATTCTTGTTTGTCTGTTGAGAGGTAGAATAGAATGCACTTTTCTCATATTTAGAGTATAATTCTCTTAGGAATGAAAAAAAGGTATTTTTCACTCTAAGAGAAACCATGGATGTACATTGCCTAGTTGGCAATTCCTGCTATGGTTACAATGTTTTGGCATGTAAGCCATATTTCCCATGCTTTCTTATGAATGAAGATGCTTCCCTTTAAACTATAGGGGAGGAATCCATTGTCTGCTAAATGCCATGTCAAGAGACTTATCCTATGGCTCATAGAGTTTGAAAAACACTACTCTAAAATGTTAGCTATAATGCAGGCAAACAATTCAATGAGAGGCTTTATTGACCTACTTAGCTTTTCTTGTTCTTTCTGAAGATACGCACCCTAGTAGGCTTACACTGAGTCCCAAACACTCCACTGGGGCTTCAAAACAGGGTCAATTGAGTCTTTATCCTTAATAAAAATATATCAAAATCTCATAATTTTTATATAAAAGAATATGATAAGAAGGAATTTATTTTATAGCCTCTTAATTTTGTAAGGAACTCTAAAAGTGTATTGGAAGTGAACAGAACATTATTCAAAAATGTTATCAATGCATTATAAATGCTTACGAGAAAGACTAAAACTACCATCATTCCTTAAGGTACAGCAAAACAGCATCTGAAATTTGTTTATTCAGACTTTGGAAGCTTCCTGTAATAAGAGGAGGATAAAAGCTTTCTCTCTTCATTTTCTTTAACTATTTAAATGGATAATGAATAGACTTCCCAGTCATATGGGTCATGTTTACTAAGTCTCAACAATACAATCATTGTTAAGAGTAAAAAGCTGCAATTAGCACTAATGAACAAGAAAGACCGAATCAAATGCTGGGTTTCTAGATGAGCATCGTTTGGATTTGGGCCATAATTTTAACAGAGGAGACATTCACATTTGTCCTTGCCCTTGTTCATATTTTTCTTTCCTGTGCTGTTTTATTGATCTGTCTTGAGGTGGCCGTTCTCTTCCCTGTGTCTTTGCATTCTTGCGGCCTGTATATGGCTTTTCTCTCCAATGTACAGGAAGCAGGTAGTGAGCCCCTGAGCTTAGCTCTAGCACTGCCCTGCTTGTTTGTAGCCATTAACTTGAACTTATTCTGGTCTATATGCCACTGGGGGACTGGCCATTATTCTATTAGAAGATAAGGGCTGTAAAGCAGCACAGGCGTTGAATGATCCTTTTTAAAATCCCAGTGGGACATTTAGGATGACAGTAGGAACTACCCTTTTATCTGCCTTGGGAAAGGAGTAGAAAGAAATGTTAGTAAAACCCACCCTGGAGTCTTGGCACAGAGCTAGCCCCCTCCAGTATCCATTCCTCTAGGGTATCTGAAATTCACTAAAAGTCTCTCCTATCAGAGATGATCAACCTTTTTACATATTTACAAAACACAGCTAGAGAGTTGTTTGATAAAGCGTATAACTTTGCATGCAGAGGCTTATTCACATGGCTCTACCCATCCCTTTTTTTTCCCCTCAGTATAGTATTGTCTTCCTTATTCTTCTTTCTTTTTTTAAAAATTCAATTATGAACACCTTTCTCTTTCTACGAATTTATATTCTATTGATACAGCCCCCTCCATGAGAAGTCCAGAAGAGGTACCTATTTTGCAATTTTCAGAGAATAGGGGTCAGTCCTTATCTTAAAAAACCATGTTTTAGCCTTAGAATCATCATGGCAGGTTTCTCAAATACTGATGACCCCACCCATTACTGGGAAAGAATCTCTCAGTGCGGGGGCTGGCATCTGTACTATGATGAAGCTACCTTGGTGATTCTGATGTGTACCTCTGGTTAAGAATCTCGATGTTCAAACAGGCTCCTTGAGGGAGGGGAGGGAGGGAGAGACCTCAACTTTGCTCATGCTGTGTTCTCAGTGCCAGCACAGTGCCCGGCATAAAAAAGACGCCTAATGCCCCTCTGAGGCTTTATTTCCTTAGCTTCCAGGACATGTCTGCTACAGAGTGGGTGCTCAAAAAATATTGAATTATTTGTGACTTTTAAAAAACTTGGATATTAAAAAATTTACAACTGGCTGGGCATGGTGGCTCACACCTGTAATCCCAGCACTTTGGGAGGCAGAGGCGGGTGAATCACCTGAGGTCAGGAGTTCTAGACCAGCCTGGCCAACACGGTGAAACTCCATCTCCACTAAAAATACAAAAATTAGCTAAGTGTGGTGGCACGTGCCTATAATCCCAGCTACTTGGGAGGCCGAGAGGTGAAGGTTGCAGTGAGTCAGGATCACGCCGCTGCACTCCCGTCTGAGTGACAGAGCGAGATCTGTCTCAAAAAAAAAAAAAAAAAAAAATTACAACTCCTGCTGAAATGTCAAATCTCAACCTTGGCCTGAACTTGGGAAAAGACAAGGTTTTTTTTTTTGTTGTGGTTGTTTGTTTGTTTTTGTTGTTTTTTTTTTGATTGCTTAATGGGGATCTGATATTACATGGGGATCTGATATTTGCATTTAATTAAAAAACCCACATTTTAATGAATCATAGTAAACTGGTTTTCTTTATAAATCTTGGCAATTTACTCACCATGTACAGCTGACTCACTTTATCTTGACACTTGACATAGGCTTCGTAGTCTGCAAAGACTTTAAACCTTTTATTTTGTGAGTGGAAGAGGAAAAAAACAGTCAAAATCTTCATTAATAGATATATGCTAAAATTCCATGTAAAATCATCTTTTGCTTAATATCAGGCATGGCTGGTTTACCAAATTCATATTTCTGTTTGTAAGACTTTTAACCAGCCCTCAACCTTCTTATGGTTCTCACATGTGAGAATGTCATCACTGGGATGCATTTGGAAGTTGGGAATATCAGTGGAAGGAGAAAAAGAGAACCAGATTTGTGTGTGTTATTCTTAAACCTTACTGGCATCGCTGGTGGAGAATATCTAACTTTTTCCCCAAGCCTAAACTACCTGAGCAGATCACGCTAATCTATGCTAATCTACATGAGTGGGTTTAAGTTGGTTTAAGATTGGTTTAAGATTTTCTTGTTGGTTTTAGAGTTGGTTGGTTTAAGATTTTCTTGTCCCCCTTTCATGATCCAAATAGCACCATCTTCTTATGGGAACTCACCTGTCATGATAAAATAGCATGTTGATGATATCTTTGAAGAGGTCAGGCTGCTTGGGAGAAAAAAAGCCATTGTCAATTTGATCAATGACCAGCTTCAGCTCTGGAAGTGCCTCATAGTATTCTTTTGCCTCGTACCTGTGGGGTAGGGGTGGGTGGGTGATAAAAAAAGGCTCTGTTATTGTGTTGTGTGATTAACAACACACTAGACACTGCATTCACTGTGAAAAAATACATTCAGAAATACTAGCATTCAAAGACTTCATTATAGATTTCACCATGAGTATATATAACTTTTAACTAGATCTGTAAGTTTTTCTTCCTGTAAATTTGATTCCTTATAACCAAAGACACTAAGAACAATAGATAATGAAAACTCTAGTCAAACATCAAGAGTCTGATGTGGTAGAATACAGCAAGGTCCATTTCAAAGCAGACTTTATGGCTTTAAATGAACATTGTATTAAGTAGATCAGTTGCTTTTTGGATCCACAGATTCTCAAAAGTTGTTGCTACTGAGTGAAACTGACTTCCAAGGGTCAGGAAGTATATTCAACATCCTCCAAATGTTACTTCTTTGGGCAGTACTCTTTATTTTGTGCTTGAACTCAGGTTAATAAACCCATCCAGATATGAAGTGAAAATAAATGTTTCCAATTACTTCTGTACACCCGTATCTATTCTCTATCACATTTTAGTGCATTTCTTTGATATCTTAAAGGAGCACTAGATCATGATTTAAATTATAGGCAACCCTTCCAACTAGAAACTGGTTCATCTTTTGATCAAAGTAAAAATCATACATACGGAGGAAAAATAGCTCTTTGAGGCCAGCTCTGCAATGGCCGATAACAAATAGCAACTCCTCCATGTGTCTGTACTTTTATTTGCTGGGTTTAATAATATTAATCTGTGGCCAGGAGGCTCTCCTGCCTCATCGTGGGAGATGTTCTGCTGCCACCTCTTATGTGATCCAATTTCAGTGGGATATCGGTGTGGGCAGGAAGCCCTCTGAGGTCACATACCTTCTAGGGGGGAGGGGCAGTCCTGCCTAGCAAAGAGAAGCTATTCTCTTACCCTTTCTTGTCCAAAGCAGCCACATCATCTATCCTCATGCCAAAGATGAACAGGTTCTCTTCCCCAGCTTCTTCTGCCATTTCCACATTGGCCCCATCCATGGTCCCGATAGTTAGGGCCCCATTTAGCATGAACTTCATATTGCCTGTCCCCGAGGCTTCGGTGCCTGCAGTGGAAATCTGCTCTGACAGATCTGTGGCTGGAATGACTGCAAGAAAGGTAAGTTAAAATTAGTAATTTTGTCTGTCTAGATCTGCTTGTATTGTATTGAAGCATTTATTAAGTTGGGCTGTTTTGATAATTAAAGTAATACATGCACATTAAGATAAACATTCAAATGGTCTAGAAGGCAGATCACACTCTTTCCCCTTGACTCAGGCAACCACTTTTGTCCATTTTATATGCTTGTATTTCTTTCTCGAGCTATAAACTTTGAAGAGTATCTATTGACTGCGACAAACATTGATACTACATTTCTCTTCTTCCTTTTATTCCTTCCAATTTTTGTTACAGTTTTATTTTTATTTCTTCTACTTTATAAAATATATTGAAATTTCTCTTTTTTTCTTTCTCTTTTTTGGTACAGGGTCTCTCTCTGTCACCCAGGCTGGAGTGCAGTGGTGCGATTACAGCTCTCTGCAGCCTTGACCTCCTAGGCTCAAGCAATCTTCCTGCCCCAGCCTCCCAAGTAGCTGCAATTACAAGCGAGCACCACCATGTCCAGCTAATTTTTTAAAATTTTTGTATGTATGGGGTCTCCCTATGCTGCCCAGGCTGAACTTCTCTCTCTTGATCCATAACATTCAGAGTGTCCCTCCAGGACTCCTCTTTGGCAACCTGAGGAGACTGGATTGTCTGCATTCCTTCTACTTCTCACCTCCTTCCTTCCACTTTTCCTGCAGGGAAATAAGCCACACGTAATTGAGGTGTGCCTGGGGCTAGACATCTAGCCTCTGACCTTTCAGGCTGATTTGCACGCAAATTAGAGCTGCCTGAAGCACTTCCTTTGACTACAAAGGTCAGGACCACTTTTCTGCTTTACTGTGAGAGCTTATTTGTGGATTAGATGTATCTTCTTTTGCATCCCTAGGAACCTGGCTCTTCTCCCTTTATGCAGAGAGTTCTTAAACAGTAACATCAGAGGACCTAAAAACACCACAAAAAGAAAAAGCTCCCTTTCTACCTTTTCAGTTTGGGAAGTGGGTGAATACACAGTTGGGCATTTGCATGTGGATGGTGCTCTGTGAGCTTGTGACCCAAATAACCAAAGGTCCCAGTGGAAGAGAAAGGGACACTGGCTTCTTGCCCATCTGGCTGTCCCCATGTGGGAGCATCATGCTTGATGCTGAAGTGCCCATGTGAGGCACATCTAAGCCTCGTGCTTTGGCAGCCTCACATCTGCCCTCATTTATTATTGATACAAGAGCAAGTGACAGCCCTTCTTCTCACAGGGTGACCAAAGAAATATCTGAAGACTGGGGATTTGGTGTTCTCTTGCAAAACTGGGGCTGGGAACTGAAGACCTTTCCTCTGTTTTATAGAGCGGGTTCTGAATGATGCTGAAACCCCAGGGCTGCCTCCCCCAGCACATAGCTCTCACTGGCTTGGAAGAAAATGTACTTGCAAGTATAATCCTGTGATACTGACTCCAGGACATCAATTTCATTGTGACTTGGGTCACTTTAAAACCTCTTACCGTAGGCCCTTATTCTGCACAAGAGTGACACCTTCTATCCTAAGTTACTAGCTCCTGGAGGTTGGCTGCCCCATCTTTCATACCATGTAATCTCTAGAGTTTGCCCTGGCCCCTGCATATTTTGCAATGAGGGTAGTACCTTTTTCAGCAAGAGATACTCTGTAGTTCTCCAAGAAGATGACTTTCAACTTGCTTCCAACCATAGGGTCATTGTTCACCACATCTGCCACTGAAGTGATCAGCTTTATGATCATTTTGGCCATGTGATATCCTGGGGCAGCCTTTGGGGAAGAAGGTCAAACGCATTGACAGAAGGCAGCCATGATGAAGTAGAAGAATGGCAAGAGATTAGAGCCCTCAAGTCCCCATTGAATAGATTCAACTTACTTTACCACCAATGATAACTGTCCTTGGCACGAATAACTTCTTAGGGTCTTTCTTAATGCCTGAAAAAGATGGAGAAGTGGATGAAATGGAAGACAGCTGACGGTCAGGGCAGTGAGACCTATGCTGAGTCTGCTGCTTCCACCTGCAAGGGGGCTTGTTGGCTACAGGGCTGACTCACGGTTGTACATCGTGATCACATGCAGACAGTTCAAGAGCTGTCGCTTGTACTCATGTATCCTCTTCACCTGGACATCAAACATGGAGGATGGGTTGATCTTCACTTTGTACTCCGTCTCCAGGAACTGAGAAAACTTCAGCTTATTCTCCTGTTAAGACAGTGCATGGTGCCAGAGCTCTTTTGGCCTAGAAGAATTGGGTGGTCTGGTTTTTCTTTTTTTTGAGACGGAGTCTCACTCTTTTGCCCAGGCTGGAGTGCAGTGGCATGATCTCAGATCACCGCAGCCTCCACCTCCCACATTCAAGCGATTATCCTATCAGGGATTACAGGTATACACCACTACTGCCTGGCTAATTTTTGTATTTTTAGTAGAGACGGGGTTTCATCATGTTGGCCAGAGTGGTCTTGAATGCCTGACCTCAGGTGATTCACCCTCCTTGGCTGCCCAAGTGCTAGGATTACAGGGATGAGCCACCGCGCCCGGCTGGGTGGTCTGTTTTTAAAAACTACAGGATAGGCCGGGTGTGGTGGCTCATGGCTGTAATCTCAGCACTTTGAGAGGCCGAGGCGGGTGGATCACTTGAGGTCAGGAGTTCGAGACCAGCCTAGCCAACATAGTGTAACCCTGTCTCTACTAAAAATACAAAAATTAGCCGGGCGTGGTGGCGGGCGCCTGTCATCCCAGCTGCTTGGGAGGCTGAGGCGGGATAATCGCTTGAACCTGGGAGGCGGAGGTTGCAGTGAGCCGAGATCGTGCCACTGCACTCCAGCCTGGGCAACAGAGCGAGACTCTGTCTCAAAAAATAAACAAAAACTACAGGATAAACTCTCACAGTGAGTGCCCAGGAGGGGACCCACACCTGGAAGGCTCACCTGCTTCACCTTGGCGAGTTCCCGGAGGAAGACATCATCACCCAGGAAGCTGTGGAGCTTCGTCAGCTGGCTCAGGTCTTTCACATAGTCTTCTCCAATTTTCTTTCAATTCAAAGGAAAAGATGACTTCAATTTGGGGATGGTAATCAAGTCCAAATGGGCAGTTTCTGTCAGTATTTCTCTCTGTCACCTACCACAGTGTAGTTCACGTATCACACAGAACATGGGATAGTTTGACTCAAAGAAGAGTCTATAAAGTCTATGTGAGAAGAACACTTTTGCTAGTATCTTAAATGTAGTTTCAGCAGTTTTTAAAAATTATTTTTATTTATTTATTTTTATTTATTTATTCATTTTTTTTGAGATGGAGTCTCGCTCTGTCGCCCAGGCTGGAGTACAGTGGCACGATCTCGGCTCACTGCAAGCTCCGCCTCCTGGGTTCATGCCATTCTCCTGCCTCAGCCTCCCCAGTAGCTGGGGCTACAGGCGCCTGCCACCACGCCTGGCTAATTTTTTTTTGTATTTTTAGTAGAGACGGGGTTTCACTGTGTTAGCCAGAATGGTCTCGATCTCCTGACCTTGTGATCTGCCCTCCTCGGCCTCCCAAAGTGCTGGGATTACACGTGTGAGCCACTGCACCCGGCCTAAAAATTATTTTTATTTTTATTTAATTTTTTTGGCGACAGGATCTCACCCTGTCACCCAGGCTGTAAAGCAATGTCGTGATCATAGCTCACTGCAGCCTTGACCTCCTGGGCTCAAGCAATCCTCTTGCCTCAGCCTCTGAGTAGCTAGGATTACAGGTGCATGCCACAACACCTGGCTAATCTTTTTATTTTTGTAGAGACGGGTGGTGGTGGTGGGGGTGGGTCTCATGTTGCCCAGGCTAGTTTCAAACTCCTGGCCTCAAGTGAGTCTCCTGCCTAGGCTTCTCAAAGCACTGGATTACATGCATGAGCCATCACACCCGGCCAGCTTCACTGGTATTAAAGTGTTAAAAACAGGAAATCTACTTATAAGAGTGACCAGGAACCCAGGTTCTGTTAGTTATTTATATGAGCTTTATTATCCTCTTTTACTAGAGAAAACCATCTTCTATGTGAGTGTCCTATGAATACTGTTAGCTGCAACTAGCTACATAATTTGCAGGACCTTTTGTTCAAAAATTAAGAATTTCAAGATGACGGCTATGTGTGATGGCTCATGCCTGTATTCCCAGCACTTTGGGAGGCCAAGGAGGAGCAGATAACCTGAGGTCAGGAGTTCAAGATCAGCCTGGCCAACATGGTAAAACCCTGTCTCTACTAAAAATACAAAAATTAGCTGGGCATTGTGATGTGTGCCTGTAATCCCTGCTACTCGGGAGGCTGAGGCAGGAGAATTGCTTGAACCCAGGAGGTGGAGGTTGCAGTCAGCAGAGATTGCACCACTGTACTCCAGCCTGGGTGATAGAGTGAAACTCTGTCTCAATAATAATAATAATAATAATAATAAATAATTTCAAGATGACTACAGCAGAGAATTAAACCCAGCATGGAGTCCTGTGTGACTGCACAAACCACATGCTGAGGAAGCCAGCCCTGCTGCAGACTGGATTTATAAGTTACAAGTATAGTCATATGCCTCTTGCATTCGAGTCAGGCCTCCTTTCCTCTCAGCACTTCCCAGTTACCTCTGCTATGAGCTCTGCAAGTCCTGGGTTGCAGAGTAGGAGCCAGCGCCTTGGAGTGATCCCATTGGTTTTATTCTGAAACTTGTCAGGTTCTAGCTCACTGAAGTCCTTGAATCTGGAGATGGAGGAGACACATCACTGAATTTGGCTGAAACGGCAAAGGGTCCTGCACACTGGACAAAGTTCGGAGTTATATTCAAGAAGCCAAGTGCAGGCTTAGAAAGGTTAAATAAAGGTGGAGGGACAGGCTGACAGTAGCTATGGCTGTCATTTAAATAGAAATTCATTTGCAACTCAAAAGAATTACCAGAAAAATTCCAAATCTAGTCACTTCCATCTGACTTCTTCACACTGACATATATACTACACTTTCAGTAGAATAGTTTTTGGTATTTTGTTTGTTTGTTTGTTTTGGCTCCTATGTCTAGAATTAAGATGGCTCTGAGAGGAAAGCATTCTTTTCTTTCCTTTTCTTTTCTTTTTTTTTTTTAGGCAAGAGTTTTTTGTATAGAAGAAAATACTTTTAAACATTTGAACAAGGCCTTTCCTCATCCCTAAGTGCAACCCTGCATTTAGTAGCATCATTCCATTAATGGATCAGTGTCAGACCCACTGCCAGAGTAATGGAGGCTCACACTTTAGTCTTCACGATGTCTGAGTGGATTTTAGCCACGCCATTCACAGCATGGGAACCGACAATGCAGAGATGGGCCATGTTGATCCTTTTGCTTCCTTCCTCTTCTATCAGAGACATCCTTCTCAGACGGTCCACATCTTTAGGAAACAAGGCCACAATTCTCTAGCCAAAGGAAGAGAAAGCCCTTGCTGGTCACTCAGGTTTAATGCAACATTGGGATAACGCTGTTCATGTCTTAAGCAAAATCTTTGGTGTACTCAATATAAACTTCACTACCACAGGGAGGGGTTGAGTTAGCTCTATGGAGGTGCCATCCCTCCATTTCAGCACTTTCAAAAAGCTGCCTTTGTTGGAGCCCCGTTCGGACTTGAGTACTTTTGCTGTATCAATGATTGAAAGATGTTTGGTAAGAGGGAACACTGTAGCCATCTGTAACACCTTAAGATCTTATGCTCATGAACAGAGAAAATCTCTCAAAATGACTTACATCTAAATGCTTCTGATTTATCTCATAAATGATTTCCAAATGTCGAGGGAGCAGCTTCTCCACCAGGTCCACGGGCCAGCGCTCCAGGGCTTCCGGGAGCACTGTGTGGTTGGTGTAGGCGAAGGTCTTCTGGGTGAGCTCCCATGCCTGGGGGAAAGGAAGGAGTCAGCTGCTTGCCCTGAAGGTGGGCACCCCACTGCACGGGCCAAACCCTTCTTCAACCCTGCCCTGTCTGCAACAGGACCATTCCAAGTGTGCATAGTCAGAGCACTCAATTCCACTAAGTTCCTGAATAGTCCAGATAATAGAAACATGTTCTGGGTGTGAGGGGGAAGCCATTTGTAAAGCTACTGGTGAAACTTAAGACAGCATTCTGATCAATCTATCTACTATCCTTATGTGTCTTTCACTTATTAAATACACAGATTGAGGGATAAAAACGTAAATAGTGCTCTCAGCAAGTACAAAGTATGTAAAATGCTGACTTCTAAAGCTATGGGGACACTCAATTAGCTGTCTTCTGAGGTTAGATAATTTAATTTTTAATCTTTTTCAACACAAAAATGGTAAACACAATATAAGCCTTAATATAGCTATTGATTTGTGTCCCATTAGGAATGTGCTCATTTATTTTATAGTCTTACTCCCTATAAAACTCTAAGGATGGAAAATGTCAGCGTCAGGGAAAATATACCTTTAACTGTTGAAAGTTAGCAACAATAACTTACTTTGAAAAACTAAAAAGGGAGTTTTTGGCAGTCTTTCAACTGCAGCCATTCTGGTTAATTAAAGGAAAAAGAAGCCAAACTATCCAGACCTTGGACCAGGGCAGTTTTTCAATATCCACAAAAATCCTCATCAGCTCAGGGATCGCGAGTGCAGGGTGAGTGTCATTCAGCTGGATGGCCACCTGGGTGGGGAAAGACATCAACATGAAGGCAACGGATGGCTCAGGGTCTGGCTTCTTTGTCCTAACACATCTGGAGAAAGCACTGATATGCCCACCTTCTATGAAAGACTTGATGCACACTATTCCTGCTCAACGTTGTTAGCACTGAGAGAGAGGAATTAATCTGATAGGAAATCCCAGTCAATCCCTCAGTGGACCCTAACTGCATCCACAGACTAAATACTTGCCTGATCCGGGAAGGCATCAAACACAGTTCCTGCACCACGGGTGGAGCCAAACTTGGAGGCTTTGAAACGGCGGATGATATCTTGCAAGGTTGCAGCCACCACAAAGTATTCCTGCTTCAATCTTAGCTCCTTCCCTTCAAAAAACTTCAAGCCAGAGAGATAGAATAAAAATGGTTCATATTGTAGGTGTGGCCAAAATGTGACTGGTGTCTCCTGCACTAGGAACTTTAAGACTAAGGCCCATTGGACATCTGCTGAGGGGTGGTGGTTTGAATGCCAAACTGTGAGCCTTTGCTCTTTCCTGAGACCCCATGAAAATGGCAGTGAAAGGATTCTCTAAAGGCATACAGATAAAAGATAAAGAGGTTGGGATAAAGACAATAGCAACAACCTTTTAGAGGCTGAAAAACAGATGCATGAGTGGTAAGTGATTCAGAAGATCCAAGACAGCCAAATCCTGACCTGGTAGTGGGGAAAAGCCAAAAAGCAACTCAGTGTGTACATTGGAGCTCCCCAAGGCTCAGGAATTGGTAGTACCAAGTACTGGGAAGCAGGGAAGAAGTGAAGGAAAAGGTTAATGACAGCCTGAGGACACTTGGCCTCCAACCTTATCCCCAGTTCCTGCAGCTGAGCACAACCAGCACATGACCGCCCTCCTGCTGGCAGGCAACGTATCAGGAAGCACTGGCAGCCATGGACCGTGTGGAGAACCACAACTAGCTGAGAATGCCCTACATGACTGCGAGACAGGATTGCAGCCAGGCCATGGTGTGCAGGGTGGAGGCCTTAGAGGCCATGATGGTGGCCAGCTTCCAAGTTCCTCCCACATAGATTTGCTGTCGGTCACCTCAACCGTGTAAATGTCACCAAGAAATGGTCCTAACCCTGAGCCATCACACTTCGATTTTTATAGATCATGGAGCTGCCCTGTCTTTACCTGGTCGTAGAATTAAAAACTGTAACTTCTATTAAAAATGTGAGCCTTGACTAATATCCAGAATCTACAAGGAACTCAAACAAATCAGCAAGAAAAAAAAATCCCATGAAAAAGTGGCAAAGGACATGAATAGACAATTCTCAAAAGAAGATATATGAACAGCCAACAAACACATGAAAAAATGCTCAATATCACTAATTGTCAGGGAGATGCAAATTAAAATCACAATGAGATACCACCTTACTCCTGCAAGAATGGCCATAATTAAAAAGTCAAAAAACAATAGGTGTTGGCATGGATGTGGTGAAAAGGGAACACTTTTTACACTGCTGGTGGGAATATAAATTAGTACAGCTACTATGTTAAACAGCATGGAGATTCCTTAAAGAACTAAAAGTAGAACTACCATTTGATCCAGCAATCCCACTACTGGATATCTAGCCAAAGGAAAAGAAGTCATTATGTGAAAAAGACACATGTACACACACACGTTTATAGCAGCACAATTCGCAATTACAAAGATGTGGAATCAGTCTAGGCGCCCATCAACCAACAACAATATGTGGTATATATATACCATGGAATACTACTCAGACATAAAAAGGAACAAAATAATGTCTTTTGCAGCAACTTGGATGAAGCTGGAAGCTATTATTCTAAGTGAAGTAACTCAGGAATGGAAAACCGAATATCGTGTGTTCTCACTTGTAAGTGGGAGCTAAGCTATGAGGATGCAAAGGCATGAGAATGATGTAACGGACTTTGGGGACTTGAGGGATAAAAGACAATTTATTGGGTGTACACTGCTCAGGTGACAGGTGCGTAAAATCTCAGAAATTACCACTAAAGAACTTATCCATGTAACCAAAACTACCTGTACCCCTAAAACTATTAAAATTAAAAATTTTAAAATGATGAGCACCCCATCCCCCAAATGTAAGCCTTGGACCAGAGTCTTATTAAAACTAATGAATATGAGCATAGAGGTCTGCATATAGAATATCTGGGGCTCTGAACTCCCTAATACTTAAAAGTATAATCACTGACCTATGCCAGGGCTATGGCCAAGTTGAGGAGAAGAATGAATTTGTTATTGTAATTACAGTATAAAAGGATTTTTCAGCTTACTCTTAAAAACAAACAAACAAACAAACAAACAAAAACATGATCCTGAGAACTCCCTTTTACCCAACAAATCTAGTCAATTTTTTACCCCATGCTAACTTAGTATATATTGTCAGTTACTGCAGACGATTATTTCCCAGTAAAATTAGTTTTGGTCCTTACTGAAGACAGGAGGATGAATTTCAAGCCCCTGCAGACTGGGTTTAGGTTGGCAGTACGGTCCCAGACTTGGAAGAACTCTTACTTTGACCCTGACATAGAATAACTTTTTGCTTTTGGGTTAGAGATTTCTCTGAAATGTACTGAAGCCACAATGTTTTCCACAAAGGAATAATAGCATATACCATTAGGTTCCTAAAAATGCTCCAGCAAAATCCACATAATCATCTTCCTTTCTGAGAGATTATGATTTAACACCAGGTGGACATCTGGTATTAAGGACTATTTATGTCCTAGTCCCCCCAAGATCCTTGTCTTCTGCCATCTTTGTAAAGCAGAGTGCTAATTTTATTGCTTCTGAGACCACTTTAAAAAAATCATTACAGCTTCATGAAAATGATTTTACCCATAGAGAAGTTTAGAGTTACATATATTTAAAACAACCAAGAATCAATAGCAGTTATCTGAGATCCAGTTCCAAGTGGTGTGTGTGTGTGTGTGTGTGTGTGTGTGTGTTTTGAGAGAGTCTCACTCTGTCACCTAGGCTGGAATGCAGTGGTGCAATCTCGGCTCACTGCAATCTCTGTCTCCCAGGCTCAAGCGATTTTCCTGCCTCAGCCTCTCCAGTAGCTGGGATTACAGGCGCCTACCATCACACCTGGCTAATTTTTTTGTATTTTTAGTAGGGACAGGGTTTCGTCATGTTGGCCAGGCTGGTCTCGAACTTCTGGCCTCAAATGATTTGCCCGCCTCAGACTCCCAAAGTGCTGGGATTACAGGCATGAGCCATTGCACCTGGCCCCAAGTGTTTTTTTTTTTTAACTAAGCTATATTTACAATAAAATTAGAATAATTGACTATAAGAAAAAGATACAAGTCAGTGGCAGAAGAAACAGATGTTTGTTCATGGGTCTGCCCCAGGGTCTCTAACTCCATCTAGCATCAGGGCAGAGGACCAGAAAGAGCCTAGTCAGTGAGAGAAGAGGCGAGGCAGAAAATATTCAGTGACTTCTGACTTTGCAGATAAAATTTCTATCTGGAAAGGAGGCAGTGCTTCACCAGTGATTTACTTCATCTCTTATATCCAGGTTTTGTTTTAAAATACATCTCAATAACTTCCCAATTAGTGATGGGGTCACTAATCAAGGGCAAAATACCAATTCTGATTTCATGCACTATACAGATTTGTTTTCCTTACTTGGTTGGGAGGAGAAATCTACACAATTCAGGAAGAAATACGGAGCTTGTTCTGCACATGGAAAAACATCAATATTAAATGTGTTTTATAGGTTACTGAACAGGCTCTTGTGAAATAAGCTGCCTCTGTTGCCACTAAGAAAGCAACCTTGATCACTCACATTGTCATTGGGATAGAGGACCCGGGAGATGTTCTCGGCCAGGTTTCGGTCCAGCACAGCCTGAATGTAGTCTCCAACATTAACTAGGGGAAAGTTAGAGAAACAATAAATAGAGAAACCAGCCATTGTTGTTGGAAACCTCTTGATCTCACTGGCTCTGTGCTGTGTGTCATGTGGGATTCCTAAAATTCCTAAAAATCCCAAAGGATTTCAACACACCGTCATGCTGGACTTCACATGAGAATTGCTTTAAAAATGCCCTCCCTACTTCCTCCATACAATGCCTGCTTAGTCAGTGAAGTTCAGATCAGAAACTCAAGGCTTTTTTGTTTGTTTCAAGCTCAATTTGGTTCTAACTACCAATCAAAAAGATTAAGCACACGCATAAAGAAACCAAGGCCTGTGCTGTACTCACAGTCTCTGAGGTTAAAGTCATTTGGTGCCCGAGCAGACCAGAGGCGCATGGTGTTGACAGTGTTATTCATGTAGCCGGGCACGGGGGTGTCATATGGCAGAGCCAGGACCACCTGTGGGATTAAACAGAAGCAGCTGCTCATTGTTTCCCAAGTGTGATGACATAGGTTGAACAAGGGGCTGGGAGACTGCAATGGAATTCTATTCCTGGCTCCATTACCAACTTAAATTGTGTGAGGCCTAAATGGAGAAGAGGGTCTCAGGGCTGCAGAGGGTATTAGAGGAACATGTGGTTCCTCCCCGACCTGGTACAATCTAGTGACTGAAACCATCCACACTGATGGTCCTTTACAGTATTTCTATGTTGACTCTCCATGTGCCCTTGCCCTGATATAAATGCAGTGGAATGGAATGATATGGTATTTGTATTCAAAAAAGTTTATCTTTTTTTTTTTTTGAGACGGAGTCTCACTCTGTTGCCCAGGCTGGAGTGCAGTGGTGCAATCTCGGCTCACTGCAAGTTCACACCATTCTCCTGCCTCAGCCTCCCGAGTAGCTGGGACTACAGGTGCCCGCCACCATGCCCGGCTAATTTTTTTGTATTTTTAGTAGAGACGAGGTTTCACCGTGTTAGCCAGGATGGTTTCGATCTCCTGACCTCGTGATCCATCCACCTCGGCCTCCCAAAGTGCTGGGATTACAGGCGTGAGCCACTGCACCCAGCCAAAAAAGTTTATCTTTCATGTTTCAGATAAAGCCATTGCTCTAATAATAATAAAATATGATATGCAAACAAAGTGACATTGTGAATCTGTACCCACCAAAAAATAGCACTTAGAATATGTTTTGCATAGGTTTTTCAGTGATCTGATTTCAAGTATGATGAAAGTAAATGGAATAGGAAATTTATGAAGCTATAACATCTCATATAATATTTAAAATGCTATGCTAGATTTTTAAAGTTGCATAAGGAGTTATTTTAGTGATTCCTACAGTGATCTGCCAAATCAGCTGATAATTAGCTGAGTTGAGTCTAAGAGGTAAGCTTTGGAAAATCTAGCTTGATCTTTGTGACAGTCACTGAAATAGAGAAGAGGAAGATTAACTATGTTTCACAGTGCATCGAAAATTCAAGTGAGAAATCATTCATTTTTATTCCCGGCCTCATCAGAGTCAAGCTCGAAGGAAGGAGAATGACAGAATAATTGAACTGGAGGATGCTGGATCTCATTTAGTGCAACCCACTTATTTTGGACATGAGGGAGCTGAAGCTGAGAGAGAAGTGACTTGCCCAAGATCACAGTCATGGCAGGATTGAAACTTAAACACGCATCTCTTTAATTTGGTCTGCTGAATTGTGAATGAATGAAGCATTATGGCCCATATCAATCACATATACTCAGTCATACTTTCGTGATCACCGCGACCTCAAAGTAATAAATCACCCTCATTTAAATATCTTTCATTAAGAGATAAAAGTCTCTGGACTTTTAAAGCAAGTTGTAATCAATCAGGGAAAGTCATTTGCAGGCTGGGATTGAGTCTCGGTTCAAACAAGAGTTGGACCCTTCTGACCCTTGAAGCATAATTAAGGCAGCCCAAGAAGTGCACAGCTTAGATCTTCTTTCAGAGAACCTCAAAGAGGACTTGCTCCCTCAGAGCTCACACCAAAGCTGCGCTCTCTGGGACACTCCATGTGGCTGGGACACTAGGGCCGAGACTTCTCTAATGGGCAATCTTTAGTGTCAGGCTCCATCAGCCTGGCCACTTGCTCAGAGTGGCACTGTGGTCTGAGGCTCTCCCTGAGAATGCTGCTTCTTTCCCCTTCACTTTTCACAGGTGGCACACCTGTGTCACAGTCTGAAGCCTTCCCACCTCATCCTGCTCCCTCTCCCCTTTGTCTTTCATAGGCATCCCCCAATATGTCACTTGCACTTCTCATTCTCTCTGGTGTCTGTTTCCTAGAGGACCTAAACTGACACGTGACTGTGTCATTTGACTTTATTGGAAGCCATCCCATGCACGCACAGAGCACATCTGGACTCATGCTCTGACATCACTGGGTACCAGTTTGGGGTTAATTCATGTGATGACTTCAATCTATGAGGCTAAGTTGCATGGCTTGGGCCAGCTCACTTATATTACCTCTGCCCCCTAACCTTGCCTCTGTTGGCCCAGAAACACACACTCTCTCTAATTGAATTTCTGGATACATTATGACAGTATCTAGAGGTGTTTTGTAAATGCAAGTTAGCTCAGCAGTGGGACCCACAGTGTAAATAAAATGCTTCCAGGATTGATTGTGTAAACTGCAAACTTTTATTTTTATTTTATTTTATTTTATTTTTTTTGAGACAGAGTCTCACTCTGTTACCCAGGCTGGAGTGCAGCGACATGATCTCAGCTCACTGCAACCTCCACCTCCTAGGTTCAAGCGATTCTCCTGCCTCAGCCTCCCATGTAGCTGGGACTATAGGCATGGGCCACCACTCCTGGCTAATTTTCGTATTTTTAGTACAGATAGGGATTCACCATGTTGGCCAGGCTGGTCTTGAACTCCTGACCTCAGGTGATCTGCCCGCTTCGGCTTCCCAAAGTGCTGGGATTACAGTTGTGAGCCACTGCACCCAGCCAGGAATGACATTTCAAATTATTCAATTTTGCTATCAACACCTTAATATAAAACCAAAGAGGTAAGCATGCTGGTTACTATAGAACTGACAATTTTCTGGCAAAAAAAAAAAAAAAAAAAAAAGAACTGACAATTTTCTGACAAAGCTGGTTGCAAAATGACCCTTATAAAAGTCACTCCTCTCTTGGCCTCAGCTCCTTTGTCTCCAAAATGACTGGGCTGCGCTAAGAGAAGTAACAGATTTATTTACAAAAATATATTCTATTATTCAAAACACGACATGCCCTATACTCAATATCACCACTATATGCTACATAGTCAATGTATTATCTACTGTACTAAATACTATACAAAACGCTGGCTATACGAGCACTCTGAATACTTGAGTGTCAATCCACTTGGTCCCGGTGTTGGTGTGTTCTACTTTTCCATAGAAGTGCACAGGCAGCATGAATTCTGGGCGGGACTTCTCCCAAGGGTTTCCATATCTGAGCCAATCATCTGCTTCTTCTACCTGCAAAAGGATACAGTATTGCTTAGAATTTATTTGTCAGGAAATATGAACCTAGCACTTCAATTATATTATATTAAATTTAAAACATCTTTAACTGAAACAACTTATGAATACTGAGTACTGTTTTGTAACTTTTTTACAGCCTACATCAACAATAATACTCGCTAATACAGCTCTAAATATTTTATATGTATTACTGCATTTAATCCTCTTTTAAAGATGAGGAATTGTAACTGCTCAAGGTCAAATAGTAAACGGTAGAGATAAGATCTCAAGGTCAAACAGTAAACGATAGAGATAAGATCTGCCCTTAGGTCTCTGTGTTCCAGAGCCTCTGTCTTAACGTCTGTGAATCCAATTGTCCAGCTTCAGCTAAAGACAGACGCCTTACAGGGATGTTTATCGTTGGATACCTGGGCCTGTTGAGTCCTACACAAAGGGTTCAGTCAAGATTCTTGTGGCTAGAATATACAGAATCAGTTAGAAAATGCTACTTACAGAACACTCTTTTAATCAAGCTTATTGGTATAGGTACAGAACATTATTGCATTATGTAGTCTTTGCTTATCTCAATCCTTATGTAATTTTGATTTGATAATGAACTATAGATTATAGTTTATTTTGAAAATAACATATTCCAAGAGGTAATGAACTTATTTTATTGACAATTTCAATATTTTCCTAGGTATTTATGTCAATTTATAACAAAATATTTCTTATATACGATTTTAAACTATGGTTTCTATTTAGGATATCCTGGACATCAAATACATTTTCATTTGCAACAAACAAACAAACACATCAAAATAAGAACACCACCACCACCAAACACATTGGAGGGGGATGTATTTTTAAATTATTGAAACCTTTAAAATATGACACATACAGTTGTGGATTGCTTAACGACAGGGATACATTCTGAAAAATGTGTTCTTAAGCAACGTTGTCATTGTGCAAACATCACAGAGTGCACTTACACAAACCCAGATGGTGCTGCCTACTACACACCTGAGCTATATGGTATGGCCTCCTGCTCCTAGACTACAAACCTGTACAGCACGTTACTGTGCTGAATACTATAGGTAATGGTAACACGATGGTGTTTGTATATCTAAACATAGAAATAGTACAGTAAAAATTCAGTATAAAACATAAGAAATGGTACACCCACAGGGGGCAGCTCCATTACCATCTTATGGGACCACTATTGCATATGTGTTGTATTGTTGACTGAAATGTCATTATGTGGTGCATGACTATACATTAAAAAATGGAATTGTGTTCTGGCCAGAAGGGGGTAAACAAAGCAGCTTTGTCAATGAGATAATCTCCAATATGGTTATTTTACCTATTTGATACCTCATATTCACCTCTTAGAAAACTCAGCTTTAGTTTTAGAAGATACTGCTTAAGAATTACAACACAATGTTGGACATCTCATGATCACCTAAACATGAGTGTAATGCCTGTCTCAGGAACAGTGTGAAGAGACAAAAATAAACACAGCCACTATCTTTTGAGAATTTAGACTAACCATTATTGTCAACAGCCAGAGAAATGAATACAAGTTCACTTATTCAAATTTTGATAGTGTTGTTTATCAAGAAAGCCAGTAAGCTTCCCACTAATATTAACTACCAGTGTAATGATGAATGGAAATGGGACTCATAGCAACAACATCTTTAGTTGGAAGAGCTAGGAGTTAGAGAGCCACTGGAGGAAGGAGGAGGTATCAGATGCAAGATGAACCCTAGGGAAGGCTGGAGAGAGATCTGAGCTCGTCAGAAAGTCACATCTTCTTAAAATGCAGATTCTCAGTAGGTCTGGGGAGGGGCCTGAAATTCTGCATTCCTAATAAGCTCCCAGGGGCTCCTGATTCTACTGGTCCCTGAACCCCACAAAGAGCAGCCAAGAGCTACAAGGCAATGCAAAGTCAATAACTGTAATCTGTAATTCAGAATTAAAAACTAAACTTCCGCTATCCCAGTCATAAGAGAACAAAGATAAAATTTTTTTGAGGCAGGAAGGTCACTTGATCCCAGGAGTTTGAGAGCAGCCTGGGCAACATAGTGAGAACCTATCTCTAAAAAAAATTTAAAAATTAGCCGAGTGTGGTGGTGTGCACCTGTAGTCCCAGCTACTCAGGAAGCTGAGGTGGGAGGATTGCTTGAGCCCGGGAGGTCAGGGCTACAGTGAGCTGTGATCATGCCACTGTACTCCACCCTGGGTGACAGAGTGAGACTCCATCTCAAAAAATAAAGTAAAATAAAATAAAATAAAATTTTAATAAAGAAACAGTTGAAGTTTGCCAGTTGTCAAGAAGCTTGTTAAAGAGTCCATTAACTTGGCCAGGCGTGGTGGCAACGCCTGTAATCCCAGCACTTTGGGAGGCCGAGGTGGGCTGATCATGAGGTCAGGAGTTTGAGACCAGCCTGGCCAACATGGTGAAACCCCGTCTCTACTAAAAATATGAAAATTAGCCGGGCATGGTGGCGGGCACCTGTAATCCCAGCTACTCAGGAGGCTGAGGCAAAAGAATCACTTGAACCTGGGAGGCAGAGGTTGCAGAGAGCAGAGATTGTGCCACTGCACTCCAGCCTGGGAGACAGAGTGAGACTCTGTCTCAAAAAAAAAAAAAAAAAAAAAAAAAAAAGAAAAAGTCCATTAACTTGGGTTCATAACTAGAAATGCTATAATAAATAAAATGATGACATCAAC
This sequence comes from Homo sapiens, assembly GCF_000001405.40. Lineage (NCBI taxonomy): Eukaryota > Metazoa > Chordata > Mammalia > Primates > Hominidae > Homo > Homo sapiens. Next base: position 50,926,819 of record NC_000014.9, read on the forward strand.
AAAGGATCAAAACATCTTGACTTACAAAATACTTTATGCTGCACTTAGGCAAGGGCCAATTTTGGGTTTTAAAATACTGAGCAATGTGAACACTGCTTCCTGTAACAGGAAAGAACCATAGGCCTGTTTGCCTCATTTCAGCATGCAGGGCTGTTGTAAAACCCATCTGAAGGTATTGTATGAAATAGGAAGACGATGAGGCAGAAACAGTTTTCCTCTGAAAACTCATGACCATGGGAGAACTGATGACATATTTTTTTGCTGAGAAATGCAGCAGGATGATATACTGTCCTGCCCCCAAGAAGCCTGAAATGCTCAGATAAGAGAGGATGGGCACTGAACTTCCTCCTGTGGGCTCAGTCCCTGACTCCTGTGGAAGTCAGAGGTTGCATTTACTCTTTTTATTTTTATTTTCATTTTCTTTGAGACACAGTTTTGCTCTGTCGCCCAGGCTGGAGTCCAGTGGCACAATCTTGGCTCACTGCAACATATGCCTCCCAGATTCAAGTGATTCTCCTGCCTCAGCCTCCCAAGTACCTGGGATTACAGGTGCCCGCCACCACACACAACTAATTTTTGTATTTTTAGTAGAGACGGGGTTTCACCATGTTGACCAGGCTGATCTTGAACTCCTGACCTCAAGTGATCTGCCTGCCTCGGCCTCCTAAAGTGCTGGGATTACAGGCGTGAGCCACCACGATAAGCCACATTTGCTCTTTTGAGGGTACACTCTTACATGAGATTCTTAATGCCATCAAATGTTGGTTGAATTTTTTTCCTGCCAAGTAAATGATTGGTTTTAGCTTCATGGGGCTAACAACTCGTAGGAGAGTTTATTTGCTTGCTGTTCTTTATTGTGAATCTCCCGCTGATTCAATAAAGAATTGGTGAATAATTCTATCAATTTTATAAGGCTTGTTTTTAAGGTAGATTGAGAAACAAGCGTTTCATAACAAGTTGACCTGAGTAGATCTGAGGAGGAGAGAACTATCCCTTGCTGCCTCCACTAAATCTACAGAAGCTGCAAGATGGTGATAAACCTTCTCTCTACCTTGCTTTCTTCCAATGAATTGACAAATTGATCTGTAAATTTAGGTTTCCATGTAGCCAGTGATCCCCAAATGCACTAACATGCCAATCATATGAAGGGGTAGGGGTGGGGGGCCAAGGTGGGAGAACTTTCATCTACATCCAAGTGAGCTGTCAGAGCTGTTTCATCCCAGAGGCTGCACGGGGCTGAAGAAAGCAAGCGTGGATCTGTGGAGTAAAAGAGCCAACCTGGGTGCAGGTGGCAGCTGGACTAGGCATTTCTTTAGAGGAATGACTCAATGGAATCTGTCCCAGCCAGCAGGGATGGAGAGGTCAGCCCAGGGGACTCTGTTGACTGAATTCTAAGAAATGCTCTTCTCTGCACCTGTGGGATACAGAGTCGACAAAGAACCAGTGAACAGTCATCAGGAGAGCCCATGAACTTGGCTTTCTGATGTTATAATAACTGATAAATGTTTCTGTGGCACACCAAGAATTCCACAGTGATAATTAGAAGCTTGCTGGGTAATGTGAATCACGCATGACTGGCTATTACGAACTTGGTGTGGGTGCTAAGAGGCAAGAGAAGGGTTGCAGAAGCCACTTGGATCCAGCTCCGAGATACATACTGTGAGTGCCTTTCCACCCAGGGCTTTGGTGTGATTGTGAAACTTCTGTGAGGTTGTTGCAATTGTCTTTCTCCCCACTTCCTCCTAGGCCAGCTATTTTCATAGAGGACTGTTACTGCACTCCCCATGAGAGGAGATGGTAAATATAGAATTTTAGCAACACAATTTCAGGGGGTGCACGATGAACACTCCACGCCTGCAAATCTTCCTTGAAGAGACTCAAAAATTAAAAGCCCATCAACCTTTAAAAATCTTCCCAGCATGTGGAATTTTCATCAGCCTTCTCCAAATCTGCCTTTGTAAGAACAGTGTTACGTGTTGAGTGGGGGCATGACTATACTCTGAAAAGGCCTGCTGCTTTCTTGACAGATGCATTTTGCTTTTTATGGAAATAATTTCTTTTTTATGGTATGATATATTTTATGTTTGACGGTTAAAATCCCATCCCAGTAAACAATGGAGGTGGTAAGTAAAATTATATACCCTTCTGATTCAATTTCAAGTCATAATGAAAGAAGTGATGATGGTTGATAAGGTTAGCTTTGGAATTTATTTTCTTTTATCTTATTTTATTTTATTTTATTTTATTTTTGAGACAGGGTCTCACTCACTTGCCCAGACTGGTGTGCAGTGGCACTATCTCAGCTCATTGCAACCTCCATCTCCCAGGCTTAAGTGATTCTCCTGCCTCAGCCCCCAAGTAGCTGGGATTACATGCACGCGCCACTATCTCCTGGCCAATTTTTGTATTTTTAGTAGAGACTGGGGGTTTCACCATGTTGGCTAGGCTGGTCTCGAACTCCTGACCTCAAATGATCCACCCACCTCGGCCTCCCAAAGTGCTGGGATTACAGGCGTGAGCCACTGCACCTGGCCAGCTTTGCAATATTTTGAATGAGCAAAACCTATTTGGTCTTTCTTTATTTTTCTTTTTAAAGAACACTGGAATACATGCTTTCTTGGTCTGATAGGAGAGAAAGAGATAGTTTCCTGGAACAAAGATCATTTAAAAAGAGCAAAGGTAGGTGTGATAACAGTGACCCTTCATAAAACGTAAGGGGAAAATATACCTGAGACAAAAAAAAAATTGAGATTTGTTTTCTGAGTTTCTTTTAAATCTTCCATCTGATAATAGTTAAGAGATAAGAAATGAGATCCTTGGAAATTCTGGAGTATAGTGAGTAGCGCATGGTATCCTTTTCCAAGGCTAAAATTAGATACCATGTGTTGTTTGGTTAGGTTGTGTCAAAGTGTTGGTTGTCCTGGACATGCCTGCTAAATAGGCTCTCAACATGGAACTCTAGGTTACTCCATTGGGGAGAGGAACAACCTATTTCATTTTTATAACTTTTAATGATTACAAAATACACATTATTTATGGAATCTAAAACATGTAGAAGAGTAAATAGAAGATAGTATATATATTTCTTACAGAAAATGAGATATGTAGAAGAGTACATAGAAGACAGTAAAAGTTGCCCATCTTCCAGAGACAACTTCTGTTGAAGCTTTGATGTATTTTTTTCTAGCACTTTTCCTTTATCTTTCTGGCCTTCTCTGGATAGCTGAGGTTTTATTACCCTTATAACTCTATATCCTCTACTTATAGGTAACACAATGATTTCCTATTTTGTTAAAATTAATTAAAAATATAATATGAATGGCTTCACTAATATTTTATTATAGAATAGCACAATTTATTAAAGCATCCTCCTTTTCTTAGGCAAAATTAGCATTTTATTGTGTGCTTACTAATATTAGCATTTTATTGTGTGCCAGATATTTTACATGTTTTTATAATAATTCTGTAGAGTTTGTATCTCCATTTTGCCATTGAGAAAACTGAGGTTCAGGGAAGTTTGGTAACCTAGTTGAGACAGCATACCTCATAAAAGTAATCAGGTCTCCTAAGTTGACATTAGGTCTCAAATGAGAAATTAGGACCCAGGCTTCTCTTCTACAAGATGCTGCCTCTCAGCTTTTATTTATTTGGGGGTAGCTAAAGATAAACAGCTCTGGTCCTTAGCAAAATGTGGAAGTTTGTCTTCCACTCTATCCCTAATATTCTCCTGAGTCTTTTTCCTTGGCACATTCTCTCATCAAACCAAATTTTTTAGTTCCTCCCTTTTTTGGTTCACAAAGAATCCAAATACTGAGGGAGGGGAAAGAGGGCAGTGGTGACACTAAACTCATTCTCATAGGGTTATCTTCCTTTATCCTGGCACAGCCTAGGTCTCTGCATCCAGTCCCTGAGCGTTCTCTTGTTGGACTCATCTCATAAGTGTGGGAAAGGCTCAGAGAGCTCAAGTTTTTTGGAAACTGAAGATATATATTTCTGTCAATGGTGTATGTATGAGACAAAAATAGGGAGAGAGGAAGCCTAAATCACACTTAGTATTAGCAAAAACTGTCCACACTAGGGCGACTGTAGACTCAAACAGTTACCAGAGATAAAAAAAAAATAAGTACCTAACAATCTGGTTTGATTATATAAAGTAAAAGTAGTGTCATTTGGATAGATTTGTACAAATTTCTATGGGGCAGTGTAATTATACATATTAAATGTGTGCCAGATTTATTTGCTATAACAGTTAACAACACTGTCTGATTTCATCTTATAAAAAAATCAGGACACTTGGTTTGTGTCTTGTAACCATAGCATATTAAAGAAGGCAAGACTCTGAGTGTAGAATAGAATACTGAATATGGTCCTGGGAATCTGGGGATACAGACATGTATTGGCCAGCAGTGTGATCTGAGGTAACTTTACTTCCTCAGAGACTCAGTGTTCTCACCTACAAAATGGCAATGTGCTTCCTATCATCAAGGGTTCTTGGCTGAGATCATGAGTCAAAGATGTGCTCCTCCATTATGACTGCTGCAGAGAATGGAACATCACACATTGTAGGTGCTCCACAATCAGGCAGTCAGTGATATATATTTTCAGAGCACCCTGTGCGTCAGCCACTGCCCTCAGTGCAATGGATCTGGTGATGAGTGATACTGGAAGGCTCTCTGTTCTTGGGGAACATACATTCTGAAGTGGGAAGATGGATAGATAGAACTCACTGATACCAACCAAATGCCAGAGAAATTAGTACAGCTCTATGTTAAAGGTCCATATATTATAAATCATCCAGAGCACCATGAAAGAGAAGTACCTTAATGACAAAATTTAAAAAGATGGCTCACACACCTGCCATCCATCTCGGATCTTCTGATTGAAAATCCCATATTCATACCGAATGCCGTATCCATAGGCTGCAAGTCCCAGGGTTGCCATGGAATCCAAGAAGCAGGCTACATTCAACAGAGCACAGGCAAAAGATAGAGTCATTAAGCTGAGCCAAAATTTCCAGTCTTTCCCTAAAACACATGGCAGCCACAAAACATTGTTATATGAAGAACCACATTTGTATTCTAAAGCACAGATACTACTGCACAATGGGTATTGATTTTTAAAAATAACTCATTTCTAATTATAAAATTAATACTATAGAAAAGTTAGAAAATGCAAAAATGTATAAAGAAGAAAATCTCATCTATGACCTCACCATCTAGAAATAACTATTGTGTACATTTTGTTTGAGAACAGATAAGGAAGCCAACCTGCACCAGATAATGTCGATTATTGTCCCCACACTGCCTTTTCTAAGGGAAGCTGTCTCTATCCTCCCCTAAGACTCACCCCACTGGAAAAGACAGTCCCAGGAGAGTATAACTTATATGTGTCCCATTCCCTTCCAGCAACTGACTGACAAGATATTCTGTGGCCAGCTCTGTTTCTTCCTGGCTAATGGAATTCCACTGTTGTTCAGATATTAGGTGATCATATGCTTCAGGGAGGCTGAACCAGGAAGTGAATCTTGCTGGATTGGTCTAATCTGCTAAGCCAATCATAGCAATTGTATTTCCTTCTCCGTGGGCATACAATGACATTCAATCAGATGAGTGGTGCTAGAAAGTCTGTTGGGTATAGGAGAATTCTGGGAAAGATTTTCCTTGCTGCCACTGTCTTTTTTCCATGAGGGGAAAGACAAAAGGACCAGAGACCTGGAGTCCTGCTATACTCCTGCTGCTGAATAAACCAGTCTTGGAATGGCCTTACCTCTGGAGTTCTTGTTATATGATAACACATGTCCTTTTTGATTGAAGCATTTTTGCTAGGTTTTCTGTTATTTAATGACAGGGCATCTGATCCAGAACAGTTAACCAACAGGCTGGGTAAGGATCTGTCTTGTGGCTGGATGAAAACTAAGGTGTTACACTAATCAGATTGTCCCTCCCAGGAATTTAAGCTGAGAAATATACACAGAATGAGGAAGTGTACAGTAGGAATTAAAACTGACAAGAATATTAAAAGCTGTAGATCAAACAGAAAGGGATTGAATGAGGTTGGTGGTACAGCCCTTAAAACAGAGATCCACAAACACAAATGGCCTAGGCTTTCAAGTTTTTCTTACATCGCCAATCCCTGTGCTCACATATGGCCTGGCTCTGCTCCCATTCCTGTTCTCTTTGAGCTGTGGCTCTTCGGCTTTTCCTGAGTCCTGATCAGATTATCTTTAGAGGGGGTCCCAACTTAGATGAGATCATCTAATGAGAATTCTCAGCTTCATCAGCCTCTTCACTCTGACTTCATCAGTCAACTCAAGGAGCGATGTCATGAATGTCAGACACAGAGTTAACCTAGCTAACAAAGACTGAGGGCTCGGGCTTCACATAAAAGGTAGGCAGGCTGGTTCTTATTCTCAGATGTGCATCAGCACTGCTGGCCTTCCTGCAGCCCCATAGAAAGCCTACTAAATTGTCTGATAATTAACTTCACAGGAAGGTGGCAAGTATCCCACAGGCATTGTTTTATTTTGTTTTGTTCATTATTAATGACAATGTTAAAGCACACTGTGACTAATGTACTAAGGATGAAAAAAATGAAACAGATGCAAATGGCTTTCTAGTAACTTGGGTGTATGCAAAATCAGAAGATTTTTGAACAATTTCTAAAAGAGAGGAGATAATTATTTTTCATAGAATACAATCTGATACATGTGTGGTAGTACATTTTTATTATTAAATTTAAATTTCACAAATAATACATTAATGCATCTTCCTTAAAAATATTAAAAGTTACAGACAAAAAAATTTATTATGCCAGCATCCCCTTTGATCGCTATCCCAGTTCTGCACTCCTCCCTACAGGGGGTCGTAGGGAACAGTTTCGTATTTAAAATTCCAGACCTTTTTTTCTACATATTCACATTATATACATATGTACACACACACATATATACACACACACACACATATATGTCTGGAATATATATCTTCCAGATCTTTTTCCTATATATTTACACACACACAGACACATACATATATATTCACAGAAAATATTTAATTTTTAAAAAACAAATGGTATCACACTGTATGGCTTTAATGCAATTTGATTTCGCTTTTAATTTGGAGATCTAGCTAGGAAAGTACATCTAGGTCAATTTTGTTCTTCAACAATCAGTGTAGTACTTTTATAAACTACACTGTAACAATTATTTTCCCCACATGTCTTCTTATGTGTGTGCTTCTTTAGGGTAGATATCAAGTGGAATTACTTGGTTATAGAGATGTGTATTTTCTAAACTAATGGAGCTGGTATTGTATTTTTAGTGCTTTCCTATATATTTGATGAAAAATTATTCCCTGAAAAAAGCAAAGAACTCAAATTGTATCCACACACAAAAAGGACATTATTAACAAAATCATACCAATAATATTAGTGTATCATTGCCCACTAGTCAATCAAGCAGTCAAGTGCACAAGGCAAGACAATGGTTGACCAACTGGGGTCATGCCTCTGACCTGGAGTCTACCACTGAAAAAATAAAATAAAATAAAACAACAGCAACTTAACTTAGGTCATGCCACACAAGGATGTGAATTGAGAAGCTTTGAACAAATAATAGTGAAGTAAAGACACTACTTTTGACCTAGACGTACTTTACTGGATAGATCTCCAAACTAAAAAAGAAATCACATTGTATTAAAGCCATACAGTGTGATACCATTTATTTTTTAAAAAATTAAATATTTTCTATGAATATATATATGTGTATGTGTGTGTGTAAATATGTAGAAAAAAGGTCTGGAAGATATATATTCCAGACATTTACATGTGTGTGTATGTGTGTGTATATATATATATGTGTGTGTGTGTTTGTGTGTACATATGTATATAATGTGAATGAATATGCAGAAAAAAGGTCTGGAATTCTAAATACTAAACTGTTCCCTATGACCCCCTATAGGGAGGAGCACAGAACTGGGGTAGTGATCAAAGGGGGTGCTAGCATAATAAATTTTTTAGTGTGTTAACATTTAACATACTCTTAAGTGCATAGGAAGGATCTGGTTAACTGAGTTTTAAGCAGTGTCTCTTTTGTTCAAGTTCCCATCTCTACTATTTGTCTAGAATTGATCAAACCAAAGTGCAAACTCAAGAACAAATACATCTACAACCAGGTCATACCTTGCGCTTCTTCTAGGAAGCCTGCCTGGTTCTTGCAAGCATGGTCATGCATGGCATCTGAGATGTCTTCAATCGGCCAGACAATATAATACACTCACAATGTCACTTACCAGCAAGTCTCCCAAGACCACCATTGCCAAGTCCAGCATCTTCTTCAATTTCTTCTAACTCTTCTATATCCAATCCAAGCTGGTAATGAAAGGAAAACAATATTGGAAGCAGATAAAAATTCAGGCCATTCAGAGGGACAGCCATTTCCTACAGCTCTGGGTAAAGGTATTCAGGTTTAGCTGTGTACCTAATCTAGCGTCAGCTCCCTTGCAGCTTGTTCTGGCATCAGGTACTGACTGCAGAGGCAAACTGTATGAGATGGTGCAGCTGCAGCATGGAGAAAAGTGTAAGCTCTAAAAGTCCATTATTGACTCTGTTACTTCTTACATGACCCTGGGCAAGCTACTAACTCTATGCCTCAATTTTCCTATTTAAAAAAGTGGAGGCTAACAGTACCTACCTCACTGATGATTGCCGTGAATTAAATGAGATTATACAAACAAAGCATTTAGAACTATTCTTGGGCAGATATCCCTCAATAAATGTTAGCTATTATCATTAAAAAAAATTGTGTGTGTGTGTGTACAGTAGGGTTAAAACCTCAGAAACAGTCCAGTACCAAGCTGATATTAATTGGACTGAGGGATTTTGAAAATGACCGAAAGGTCTCAGGGTCAGACGTTCCAGAATGGACTAAAGTTCATCTTTTCATGACCACAGCATATTTACTCAGTAGGGTCAAAAGTTGTCAACTCAAAACCAGTTAGTGGGTTACTGCCCTGGAGACCTGGGTCCTGACAGCAGGCAGGGAAACTGCAGTCCTGCAATCCAGCTGGATGGGGTAAAATCCTTTACTTTTCCCTGGGGTGGATAAGAAGCTGTGGGAAGCCAAATAGCATCTGTGAACTTGGGCACGGATGGGACTGATTGCCAGCTAGCTCCCTGCCCCAAAGTGCTGGGGATCACACAGCAGAGTCCACAGCACCACTGGGCACCCATGACAGAGCTCTGCAGCCCTGGAGATCACATTGGATTGCTCATTTTACGATGAAAGAATTGTTGGTCAGGCAAATGACTTGTTCCATCCTGACTAGATGCTAATCTAGCCCAGGCATGGCTAAAGGTGGCCTACTGTGAAACAACTGGGTTCTTATCTGAAGTTAGGCAACCCATGAAACTGGGTATTTTTTTTAAATGGAAAAATAATTTGCACATTTGAAGACATATGTGGAAGATGCACCAGTGCTTGAAGTTGTGCCCCCGTTTCCATGGCACCTGTTTGGATTCCTACCTGTCACACAGGTCTTGACAACTGTATCTTACGAGTTCAACCTTGGTTATGCTTCTGTTCAGTGTTAAAGGGCCTTTCAAATTTGCTCTCTGCAGATTAGAGCTTACTAGGTTCCTGGTGTAAGCCAACTGCTGGTGCTAACACTCAGAATTTTTAAATTCTAAAAACGTAAGTCTAAAGCATGATATAGGCTGGCACGGTGACTCACACTTGTAATTCCAGCATTTTGGGAGGCCAAGGTGGGTGGATCACCTGAGGTCAGGAGTTCGAGACCAGCTTGGCCAAAATGGCGAAACCCCATCTCTACTAAAAATACAGAAATGAGCTGGGCAAGGTGGTGCATGCCTGTAATCCCAGCTACTCAGGAGGCTGAGGCTGGGAGGTGGAGATTGCAGGGAGCTGAGATCGTGCCACTGCACTCCAGCCTGCGTAACAGGACGAGACTCCGTCTCAAAAAAAAAAAAAAGTATGATATAAATTTTGAGCAAGTAGACATGGATCACATCACCCTGCCTGGCTATAGGCTACTCCAAGGGAGAGATGTTATTTTCAGCTGATATTAGGGGAAGGAGAGGGAAGGGACATGGAGAGGACCTGCAGGGGTTCTTTCACAGGAAATACTCCACCTAACCCACATGTATGTGAGTTAGCTATGACCTGGTTGTAGACGTATTTGTTCTTGAGCGAAGGACACATGAGGGGACAATCCCATGGCAAAGGAAATGAAAAGTTTGAACAGTCTCTCATTTAGAATGTGTCTTTGCAAATACACATTTCTCCTTTCAACCACATCAAAAAGGTTAAGGGCTACCTGTTTTGGGTATGAAGGTGCCTGAAGCTCAGGAAAGAAAAAGTTAAATATATTCATGAAAACAACTTAGCACATTAGGGTTAAGACTTCAAGCTTCTCCTTTAAGGAGGAAGTGTATTTTACATCTCATTAAGCAACAGAGAAAGTATGACAACAGAATTTTTAAAGCTGATCATTTTCACAAATTGCCTTGATACATGAATAACAAAGTTTGATCATTTCTTAAAAATGAGATAGAAGCCCAAAGTAAAGATTGTGATTCTGATAGCAGAAGACTCAAGTACTTTTAAAAGGCTTGTTCAGACACTAATTTCTGAAATGTAATCTGTGAGGAATGCTGTCAAAGACTTTGATTGCAAAAGAAAATTCTCATGAGTCATAACGAGTTATCTAACTTTTTCTGGTTGTTCCTCTTAAATGAGAGATTACCAGTGATGTATATTTCTAAAAGTTTGTAATAGCCACATCTATAGAGGCGATTTTTCACTCTTATTTTACTTTATTTTTTTGTGCAATGTCCCCAAGTTTCCTGAAGTGCACATGAAATTTAAAGAGACAGGATGAGAGAAATCTAGGAACAATGTACCTGGTAAATGGCCTCATCACAGGCATTTTGCAGACCGAGGTTGATCATGGTGTTCTGTAATGTTCGGCCCATGTAAAATTCCAGAGAGAGGTAATATACCCTCTGAAATAAAGAAAAGAGAGATAATGTTTCCCCCAAGAGATCAACCTCACTTAACATAAAAACACAAGGTCATGTGTTAGGTCACCAATAAGAAACAAACAGGCAGGACTATGTCACCACAGGTTCGAATGAGACTCCCGTCAGAGGTGTTTGAACCAAAGTGACTCCATCTTGAATAGGAGCTGGGTAAAATAAGGCTGAGACCTACTGGGCTGCATTCTCAGAACGTTTGGCATTCTAAGTCACAGGATGAAATAGGAGGTCTGCACAAGATACAGGTCACAGAAACCTTGCTGATAAAAGGTTTTCTTTGCCTCCTTTTTAATGATTCCAAATTAGCATGGACTTAAGATATTTAAAAATATTTCAAAATCTTTTCTTTTTTTATTTTAAAGACAAAGTCTTGCTCTGTCACCAGGCTGAAGTGCAATGGTCCAATATCAGCTCACTGCAACCTCTACCTCCTGGGTTCAAGAGATTGTCCTGCCTCAGCCTCCTGAGGAGCTGGGACTACAGGCATGCGCCACCATGCCCAGCTAATTTTTCTATTTTTAGTAGAGATGGGGTTTACTCCATGTTGGTCAGGCTGGTCTCGAACTCCTGACCTCAGGTGATCCGCCCACCTCGGCCTCCCAAAGTGCTGAGATTAGAGGCGCGAGCCACTGCGCCCGGCCCCTTTACTTTCTTAATAAACTTGCTTTCACTTTACTCTATGAATTTGCCTCAAATTCTTGTGCGAGATCCAAGAACCCTCTCTTGGAGTCTGGGATGGTGACTCCTTTCTGCTAACACTCCTATAGAGATGTATGAAGGACTAAATAAAAGTGTTACTGACAACAGGTTTTGGCAAAGCACTATTTTTGGCGAAGTAATTCAGTATTTTTTACCCCCGGGGAGAAAAAAAGCAAACTCATCTAAGTAGATTCAATGTTTTGTGTTTTTTCCCTCTCCTGATCATGAACCTCATGAATAAAGCATAGGTTTTGGACAAACAGAAGTCAGACGGCCATAGCTCACCATTCATTAATAAAATATTTATAGGGCACCTTGGTGGGTGCCGGTAAGCTGAGTTGGCTATGACTATCTCAAGTCATCCAAGAAACACAAAGATTAACTCCCACACACCGCATGGGTAGAAAATATTCCTCCTTGGCTGATTACTGTAAGAAATTTTACAGTTTAATTAATTAATTAATTTATTTATTTATTGATGGATTGATTGAGACACAGTCTCCCTCTGTCGGCCAGGCTGGAGTGCAGTGGCGCAATCTCAGCTCACTGCAACCTCTGTCTCCTAGTTCAAGCAATTCTCCTTCAGCCTCCTGAGTAGCTGAGACTACAGGCGCCTGCCACCATGCCCAGCTAATTTTTGTATTTTTAGTAGAAACAAGGTTTTGCCATGTTGGCCAGCCTGGTCTTGAACTCCTAACCTCAGGTGATCTGCCTGCCTTGGCCTCCCAAAGTGCTGGGATTACAGGCGTGAGCCAAGCGCCCGGCCTACAATTAATTTTAGAATCAAATTTTTCTATAAAGTCTATTTACTGGCAAGTTCCTTATGAACAAGAAGACTACCTAAGGTTTATTGGTGTTTGTTCTTATTGAAATTGGAAATTTCTCTATTGACTTAGACATTATTTGCCTTTGACATGGTAAAAGTCAGGCAAATATCATCAGAGTTGAAGGTGAGAGGTACAAAGTTCAGACCTGCTGAAAACCTTCTTTATATACAGCACAGTTTACTAATTAAAAAAAAAAAGCACCAGTGAGTAACTTCATTGCCCCCTTTTACAATATCTTATTCTCCAATCATCTATCCTCTCTTCTCTACTAGACACAAAACAAAATGGCAAAAATCTGTAAATGCACCAATATAGTTACCTCAAATTTTAGGGATTGCCCCATTTCCATAAGATAAGAAGTAAAAAAAGAAAAAATAATAATTTGGCCAATCAAAAAAAATTGTGAGTAGAATTCAGTATAATAAAGGCGTATTATCATATTTAACATACTAGTTACACATAAATATTTAAAACAAAATATTATTTGAAAACGTCAACTTGGAAATTTCATTCTTTCCCATTTTCCTTTTATGAACAATTGAGTTCTAAATTTCACAACAAATGGTCAACATCCATGACCTAACGGGCCACCTAACACTGCTTTCCAGAACACATCATCTTCGTTTTCATCCAAGTTGTTTGAATGTCTATAATGCTGTTACTAGAACCCTCACCAGCTATTAGATACCTTCGAATGATTGGATAAAAGTACCTTCTCTGGGGCAGACATAGGCAATGGCTGGTGCTCTAGTACGTGATGACCGCTGTCACAGGTAATAGTATCTTAAGCCACAAATACCCATTTGCATAGTATTACCCAGTTTAAAAAAATCCTTCCATGTGTGTATTTTCATTATCTCTATAACCATGATGTTTTGCCTTTTTCTTTTAAGTAATCTACAAAAAGCTTGTTTATATAGTATATATTCCACACTTGCAATTGTGAGGTTATACCCCCAGGAATAATGACTACATCTGTATTAAATTTGCCTCCTTTTTAATGATTCCACATTAGCACGAACTTAAGTCTTCTTAAAAATATTTCAAAGTCTCTCTTGAGAGATATGTGGTTGCTCAGAATAAAGTAAATGAGAAAATACTTCCTTGCATGACAGACTTTATAAGGACAGGAACGTAAGGTGATTCCCTGTTTTCTCACAAATAACTTCTTAGAGGTAATCTCTCCTTATATTTGGGAATATATAAGACTTCAAAAAATAGATCTTGGCCATACTCTTACTTACTGGTCTCTAAATATTTGTTACATATGACTGATAGTAAAATATATGAGCATCTCCAATATACTTTATAAATTACATGCATGTACTATGATTACTAGTATTTTATGTAAAAAGTGGATATTTTCAAAAGGCTTGTAAAATAAAATAAAGAAGATATAACAAATATTTTTAAATTGTATGTTTTATTTTTATCCCCAGCATTAGTCAGAGGGCCTGGGTACTTCCGGGAAGACCTCTGGAACACCTGTCAATAAACCTGAGACTTGCAGGACAGGCAAGAGTTGAGCATAGAAATGTGGTAGGAAGGACACTGCAAGTGAATCGGGGGCCCAGAGTGGGGATTGGTTTGTTGGGAGAGCAAGGTGGGTACAGAGGGTAATGGAAGATAACAAGGGAAGAACAGGCCCACCTGGACTGAGAAGTGCTTTCGAATACTTGCTTAAGTTCTATGGCAGGCAAGAGGAGCCAATGATAATTGAGCAGGGGCAAGATGCGTTGCTTTAGGAAGCTTGAGCAGACCACAATGCACAGAATGAGACGGGATCATATACTCAAATGCCTTCAGGAGCTAGGCAGAGAAAATAAATGTGTAATTGAGGTCACATAAAACAAAGAAGAGTACTGGGCTAAGAAATGGAGTGTGCAAGTCCTGACCACAGGCGCTAAAAATTAAATTCCTGAAAAATGTCTTGGCCAACAAAGTATGTCTGCTATCCTTATTCAGCCTCAGGCTGCCGGTTTTACCACTTCTGGAAAGCAAAATAACCACGTGAAGTCAGCTGCAACAAATGGGTAGCTAGAGCCTCACCAAGGCAGGAAGAGATAATGGAGGAGAGCACGTCATTCAAGGGAACCTATAGAAATCAACAGAAATTGGCAAACAGTTGAACGGCAAAAAGTGAGACTAAAGTTTGCGTCTGGATTGTCAAGATGACAATGGCATGAAAACAAAAAACACAGAGGCCAGTCGTGGTGGCTCATGCCTGTAATCCCAGCACTTTGGGAGGCCGAGGTGGGTGGATCACCAGGTCAGGAGTTCGAGACCAGCCTGTCCAAATGGTGGAATCCTGTCGCTACTAAAAATACAAAAAGTAGCTGGGCATGGTGGCATGCACCTGTAATCCCAGCTACTCAGGAGGCTAAGGCAGGAGAATCACTTGAACCCGAGAGGCAGAGGTTGCAGTGAGCCGAGATTGCATCATTGCACTCCAACATGGGTGACAGAGTGAGACTCTGTCACAAAACAAAACAAAACACGGGAAGATGGGGCAGGATTGGGAGAAATAATGGTTTGAGTTTTTAACGTACTGAGTTTGAGGAAATAGGAAGATATCTAGATATGTTCACTAAACACTCAGAAATGTACGCATAGAGTTAGAAAAGGAATTCAGACTAGGGATCCATATTTGGGATTCATCTGCACAGTTATTGGAGAGCAAGGGAGGTGGGAGAGGAGCTTGGACACACCTACTTGCTCTACTTTATGAGGGCAGGAACCATCCTGTTTAGACAGACGACTGTGATGGAGTAGATATTTGATGAACACGTGTGGAATGAAACATGTTCATTGTTGTATCCCCAGTGTATCGCTATCAGAATTTACACACGTCGGAATTCCTGGCTTATATCTGCACTCACGTAGAAAAGGAGAGCCCAGTGAAGAAACTGGCCGGAGAACCAGGAAAACCATAAAGCACTGCATAAGCCACTGAAGGAAAAACATACAAGATTCTCTGGTGCTCTATGATGCTAAATGCTACAGAGGCGTGAGTGTGTGTTTCTAATATATGCTCAGTGTCCCACCCTTCCGCTTAAAATTGTTAAAAATAATTTTTAATGAGAGGCGCAGTATGGTGTACTTAGTAGCATTCCCTTTGTGTAAATAAATTTTTAAAAGATAGTGGCCGAGTGTGGTGGCTCACACCTGTAATCCCAGCACTTTGGGAGGCCAAGGAAGGAGGATCATTTGAGGCCAGGAGTTTGAGAGCAGCCTGGCCAACATGGTGAAACCTTGTCTCTACTAAAAATACAAACTTAGCCAGGTGTAGTGGTAGGAGCCTGTAGTCCCAGCTACTCGAGAGTCTGAGGCAGGAGAATCGCTTCAACCCTGGAGGCGAAGGATGCAGTGAGCCAAGATGGCGCCGCTGCACTTCATTCAGCCTGGGCGAGAGTGAGACTCTGTCTCAAACAAAACAAAACAAAACAAAACAAAACAAAACAACAAAACAGTAAATATATGTATACATAAAGTGTTTTCTAAGGTGCATTTAAATTTTTAAGGATACATTTTAGCAGTTGCTACCTTGGTGGAGGCCTAGGTCTTTGGGGTGAAGAAGAGTTACTTTCCATTTGAAAACTGTTACAGTTGCAATTTCTTACTATGAGAATTTACATTCATTTCCTTTCTTAAAAATTCCTATGGGGTTTCTTGGGCACTGGGATTATAGACCATTTTTTTTTCTTCACACCTTTACATAATTAAAAAGTTCTAATAAATGTTTATATATATTTCCCACTGCCCCTGGGATGTATCCCAATCTTTTATTCTTTCCAATATGTCTCTACCTGGCTTCTCCAGTTTCCTCTCCCAATACAGACTCACACCCGCCCTCACTCCAGCCTGCACACAATCCCTCTCCCTGCCATGTCCTCCCCAGTCCTTCCCCACTGCCTCTCGCCCTCTTCGCAAACTGTCAGGCAGAGATATTGTCCCTCTGTAGGTCCAAAATCACCCTAAGGAGGTCTCTGCTCCCGCCCCCACGCCGTGGATGGAGGTGGTCCCTGACCAGCCTTCCTCAGCAGCTCTGGGGGCAGGCCTCGGGTGTGGAAGGGCTAAGGGTCGGGGGAGTGTGTGTCTTCGGGGAGGACGAGTCCAGGGCATTGCCTGGCCCTGGGCCGCCTTTGCGAAAGACTCACGGAATTCCAGGAGCTACACCCACTCAGGAGAATGGGTGGGCGGCGCTCTACGCTTGGAGCGGGACCCTGCCCCTCCTCTGCACCACACTTAGCCACTCCCAGAGGCCTGAGACTTACGACCTTTTCCCAGCTCGGCGTTTGTCTCCCCTCCCAAAATACCAAGCTCCAGCAAGGCAAGATTTTTGTCCCTTTTGTTTAGGGCTGAGTGTCCAGGGCAGAGAATAGTGTCCGGCATACAGGACAAGAGGCCCCCGTCACCTCTTGATTAAATGCTGAGAGTCAAAGTTCCAAAAAAGTTTGTGAAGTGGACAGGCGAGAGGGGCCTGGGCTTTTGCCCACCTGGCGGTTTCCAGGGGCGGACGGCACAGTGGTTTGGGCGGGACACTGGCGGGTGGCACCTCGGAGACATGAGTTCGGCGTCTGTTGGGAGGCCTAATCTGTCCCCCAGGCTGCCCGCCCACAGCCTAGACACGTCTCCTCTGGACTTCGGGGCAAGGACCGGGTGCAAGGGACCACTCTGAGGGGTTCTCCACCTCGTCCCGCCCGGCCGCGGCCGGAGACTCCGACTCCGGGCTGGACCCCGGCCCGCCGTCCCGCCCCCGGTTACCTTGGGGCACTTGTCGTAGTAGTGCTGCTGCGTGCGGATCCAGCGCCCCACCAGGTGGTCGCGCACCGTGTGCGCCAGCGCGAAGTAGTAGTCGCGGGTGGTGGCCACGTTGCGGTCCTTGACCAGCGTGAAGTGCAGGTGCCGGTTGAAACTCTTCTTCAGCTCTGCCACGTTCTCCACGCCCACGATGCCGCGGATGCTGATCTGCCGCCGCTTCTCCTGGTCCGTCAGGGGCTTCGCCATGGCTGGGGCGGCGGGCTGCGCGGCGGGCTGCGCAGAGAGCTGGAAGTGCGGCCGGAGGCGCTGGGCTGCCGGGCAGGGGTGGAGTCCGCCCCGCCGCGCCAGCAGCTTTCAACGCGCACGAAAGTTTGGGGCCCGCCCCCTCGGGCGGTGCCGTCCCCGCTGCACTCCCACCGCGTCCCGGCCCCTGCCCCAGGCCGGAGGGCAGAGGAAGTGCCCGGCCCCTCCCGAGGCTCTGGGGCCGCAGTGGGCTCGGGGGTGGGAGACGAGGTCCAAGCGCCGGCGAGACCCCTGCCAGCCCGGGACCTGGGCTCGGAGGCTCCCTTCCGGATTTCCAAAATCTGCGGAGGCAGCATTTGTTCCGCCTCTCCCCTCTAGAGTGTGGAGACAGGAGGACGTCTGTGTAGGGAAGCACGTCGTTGGCAGACTGCTGTTTTGCCGATGTTTATTTGTTATGCCATTATGACTGTTAGGATTTCTCACCTGGAGTGGCTTCCGCCATAAGCGCCGGGATCTGGAAGGACGGCACGTTTGACTTCTGTTGTCCCAACCTCACTTGCCAGCCCTTGGCACCGCCCCAGCTTGGATCCTCAGGGCGCCTCTGTTATTTTCATTCATTTTTTTTGAGGACTCCAGGGTTCAGGTTTCTTAACTCCTGGACCAAAGTTCGCCCCGCTCGTAGCACCCTGTCTCTCATCCTTAGAGGTAGGTTACTAAGAATCAGAGTAGGTGAGGTGAAGCTCTAGGGTCATTATGCGGCAGGGGCTTTTACCTTAGGCTTCTTCGAATTACGTTTTAACTGCAGTGGAGGGTGTGGGGGGAGGAGAGGGAGAAAACAGAAGGGTATGTGTGTGGAAAATGAAGGGATTACTCACTGGACTAGTTGCCTTCTTTACAAAAAACAACCCAGTCTGTGTTACTGTGCGGTACAGGCTGATCTTTGCACCTCCACTTTGGGTGGTATTTGAATATGCGTGTTTATGTGTGCTTAAACCTTGGTAAAGGCAAACACTTGGCATTTTAGGATGTCAGAGGTTTTTTCTTCCTCATTAAGTAGTATTAATATATTATTTTAGAAACAGTCCATTGCCAGAATTAAGTTTTCTTTTTCCTTTTTCTTTTCTTTTTCTTTCTTCTTCTTCTTTTTTTTTTTTTTTTGAGACGGAGTCTCACTCTGTTGCCCAGGCTGGAGTGCAGTGGCGCGATCTCGGCTCACTGCAAGCTCCGCCTCCCGGGTTCACGCCATTCTCCTGCTTCAGCCTCCTGAATAGCTGGGACTACAGGCGCCCGCCACCTCGCATTTTTTATTTTTTATTTTTTTATTTTTAGTAGAGACAGGGTTTCACCATGTTAGCCAGGATGGTCTCTATCTCCTGACCTCGTGATCTGCCCGCCTCGGCCTCCCAAAGGGCTGGGATTACAGGCGTGAGCCACCGCGCCCGGCCAATAGTCACATATATTCTTCTAAGTTTATTTGTTTGTTGTTTTTTGAGACAGGGTCTCACTCTGTTACCCAGGCAGAGTGCAGTGGCGCGATCTGGGCTCACTGCAAGCTCCGCCTCCCGGGTTCACGCCATTCTCCCGCCTCAGCCTCCCGAGTAGCTGGGACTACAGGCGCCCGCCACCACGCCCGGCTAATTTTTTGTATTTTTAGTACAGATGGGGTTTCACCGTGTTAGCCAGGATGGTCTCGATCTCCTGACCTTGTGATCCGCCCTCCTCGGTCTCCCAAAGTGCTGGGATTACAGGCGTGAGCCACCGCGCCCGGCCAAGTTTTCTAGAAAAATCTTAGTATACTTATATTAATATATTTTGTTTTTTATAATAAACCCAAGTTGATTATTTTGAATTCACACATGGTGGTGGTGGGGGGGGGGGGGGGGGCGGGTAATGGATTAATTGATTCAGACCAAATGTGACCCTCACCATAAAAGTGAAAGTTCAAAGCTCATAGTTCTGACAAAATTTCCTGAATCCTTGTCCTCCCAGATTCTGAAGTTTGGACTTGAGCTTTTGGGGCAGAGACTGAATTGGGCCTTATGCAACTCTTGCAATACCGATGACCTGCAAAGGACAGTATGGAAGAGATGAGCATTAGAGTTTGGATCCGGATGGGGCCAGAAATACCCTGAATTAAGAGTGGGAAGGGGGGGCCCATCAAAATCATTGATCTTAAAAATAAGTAAGGCCTGTGGGGTGAAATTTGAAATAAAGCAGAAAGATAAGCTTCTTTGATTATTATATAACTTAAAAAAGTGTTTATCAGCTTTGAATACCCCCAAGATGGTCACAGCATTAAGCCAGTTATGGGTCATTCGTACATAAGTGTGAAATTAGTCACTCAGCTTTAACAGCTGGATGAAAAATAGGGTAGAGCCTAGGATGAGGGAATACCAGGTCTGAGTAGGTCTTCCTCCCAGAAAGGTCTCTGAGCAGGAGAAGGCATCATAATGTCTGGGCATTGGGGAGTGAATAATTAGGGGGCACACAAGAAGGGATGAAAGACACCAAAAGCAAGCTTACTCGGTTTCTTAGTTTTGCTTAAGACAGTTTCAAATAGATGGCTCCCAGCTCCGCTGTCTACTTTCCTGTACTAAATTCTTGTTGGAAACTCAGGGTAATGATGAACTAATGAACACACTATTTTCTTGATTCACTATCCAGTCGGTGAGCCTGCACCCCCGGCTTGAACAATTCTCTATGCAGAAAAATCATGAACTATAGAATGCTCAATATATAGAGTATGGGGAAAAACTATCCATCTCCATGTTAAAAAGAACGTGATGGAACCAGGTGATTTAGGGTGTTCCATAGACCCAGTCTTAAACGACAATGAATTACATTGCAAGACAGTTATTCCCCTTTCACTTTTCTTTAAGTCTTTCTGGAAAGTCCTTTGTGTTAACATGTTAGCATTTTTTAATCTATATTTTTAACAGAATGCAGGTACAGACTCTAAAAGTTCTTGAAGTTTTAGCATCTAACTAGAATTTAATACAATTATCTTCCATTTATGGTAAATGATACTTTTTCAGTTGACATTCTGATATAAACTTTGTTTCATCTGCTTGTTCTGTGCTAGTCTAGGACACTGAGGCCTTGAGAGGTTAAGTTACTTGACTAAGAAAATTAATATCTTTAAAAACCTTTCCTTTAGCCTCTCTTGACCAGAAAGAACCAGAAACTATGGATCCCTGAAAAAGTATCAGATTTCAGTGGCTCACATGTTTATAGCAGCCTTACTCACAATGGCCTATATTATTCCTGCTTCTCATCCACTGCTTCCCCGTGGCTGCTGTAACGAAATGGCGTTTGTAAGTAGCTGAACAAACAGTCCAGAACTCATAGGACAAGTGTAAGTTTCCCACTGTTGGAAATACAAAAAAACATGAGAAAGTAGTGTGTTAGTTCGGGTCTTCAGAGAAGCAGAAGCTAAAACAGGATTAAACATGTTAAGATTTTTTACTGGGGTAAATGCTTGTGGGAGGGAAAAACGGGGAGTGCTAGCCAGAGAGAGCATCAGACTGTGATGCCAGTGTGACCTAGAGTGAAGGGGAGAGAGAGGGAAGGGTAGAAGGGCATATCTCAGACAGCCCTGTAGTCCCAGGAAGATCCAGCAGTGCTGCTGGGCAGTTCTGGAGGGCATCTGCTGTCAGGAGTCCACGGTACTCTGCTCGGTCATTGGTGGGATCATCCTCCCGGAGGCATGGCCTCTGCAGGGCTATCTGGAGCCCTGGGTCGGTTATGCTTCCTGCAGCTTGGGGCATCTATGAGGTCCTTTCTAGTGACCACCACAGAAAGATATGAGATAAACAAATACAGATTAATACCCACTATGTTTCAAAGCAGGGCCTATTGTGGTGGCATACCACTTTCAGATTATCAAAACGGCAACTAGCATTTTCCAAGGACTCTGGCAAGGCCCATAATGTGCATTACTCATTTAATCTTCTCATCAGCTCTGTGGGACAAGTTCTGTTTTTCTTTCCATTTCACAGATGAGGAAATCGAGGCTTAGAGAAGGTGAGTAGCTTGCTCAAGATCACCTCACCAGTAAGTGATGGAAGAGGTTTTCAAATCCCTTAATGTTGTTTCTCCTCCCCTGAAACAGGATTTGTGATCTGTTAAGTAAACCTGAATTCTGACTGCATCTCAGCTAACCTATTACCCTACTCACTTGTTTTGTTTTGTTTGTTTTTTTTTGAGGCGGAATCTCGCTCTTGTCACCCAGGCTGGAGTGCAATGGCGCCATCTTGGCTCAGTGCAACTTTTGCCTCCCAGGTTCAAGTGATTCTCCTGCCCCACCCTCTTGAATAGCTGGGATTACAGACGTGCGCCACCATGCCTGGCTAGATTTTGTATTTTTAGTAGAGAGGGGGGTTTCACCATGCTGGTCAGGCTGGTCTCAGACTCCTGACCTCAGGTAATTCACCCGTCTCGGCCTCCCAAAGTACTGGGATTATAGGCGTGAGCCACCGCGCCCGGCCTGTTTTGTACTGTTTATTGGTTTTTGACCATCTTCTAATCAGTTCTGCAATCTAGGGAAATGCCAGAGGTCCACAGTGGCCCCACAGACAGGTCACTAACACTCTGGAAAGGGGTGGTGTAAACCATGGGCTGAGCTTTATGCTCAATGAGGGAATTTGAGTACACTGCACTCAGCATATTTAATGTATGAATCTGTTAACCAAGGTTGTTATCCAGGCTCCGCTGTTTCAAATATTTAGAAAGATGACTGAGGGCCAGGTGCGGTGGCTCACACCTGTAATCCCAGCACTTTGGGAGGCCGAGGTGGGTGGATCACGAGGTCAGGAGATCGAGACCATCCTGGCTAACATGGTGAAACCCCGTCTCTACTAAAAAATACAAAAACAATTAGCCAAGCGTGATGGCGGGTGCCTGTAGTCCTAGCTACTTGGGAGGCTGAGGCAGGAGAATGGCGTGAACCCAGGAGGCGGAGCTTGCAGTGAGCTGAGATCGCCACACTGCACTCCCAGCCTGGGTGACAGAGCGAGTCAATTCTGAGCCAAAAGAACAAAGCTGGAGGCATCACACTACCTGACTTCAAACTATACTACAAGGCTACAGTAACCAAAACAGCATGGTACTGGTACCAAAACAGAGATATAGATCAATGGAACAGAACAGAGCCCTCAGAAATAACGCCGCATATCTACAACTATCTGATCTTTGACAAACCTGAGAAAAACAAGCAATGGGGAAAGGATTCCCTATTTAATAAATGGTGCTGGGAAAACTGGCTAGCCATATGTAGAAAGCTGAAACTGGATCTCTTCCTTACACCTTGTACAAAAATCAATTCAAGATGGATTAAAGACTTAAACGTTAGACCTAAAACCATAAAAACCCTAGAAGAAAACCTAGGCATTACCATTCAGGACACAGGCATGGGCAAGGACTTCATGTCTAAAACACCAAAAGCAATGGCAACAAAAGCCAAAATTGACAAATGGGATCTAATTAAACTAAAGAGCTTCTGCACAGCAAAAGAAACTACCATCAGAGTGAACAGGCAGCCTACAAAATGGGAGAACATTTTCGCAACCTACTCATCTGACAAAGGGCTAATATCCAGAATCTACAATGAACTCAAACAAATTTACAAGAAAAAAACAAACAACCCCATCAAAAAGTGGGCAAAGGACATGAACAGACACTTCTCAAAAGAAGACATGAATAAATGCTCACCATCACTGGCCATCAGAGAAATGCAAATCAAAACCACAATGAGATACCATTTCACACCAGTTAGAATGGCAATCATTACAAAGTCAGGAAACAACAGGTGCTGGAGAGGATGTGGAGAAATAGGAACATTTTTACACTGTTGGTGGGACTGTAAACTAGTTCAACCATTGTGGAAGTCAGTGTGGCGATTCCTCAGGGATCTAGAACTACAAATACCATTTGACCCAGCCATCCCATTACTGGGTATATACCCAAAGGACTATAAATCATGCTGCTATAAAGACACATGTACATGTATGTTTATTGCGGCATTATTCACAATAGCAAAGTCTTGGAACCAACCCAAATGTCCAACAATGATAGACTGGATTAAGAAAATGTGGCACATATACACCATGGAATACTATGCAGCCATAAAAAATGATGAGTTCATATCCTTTGTAGGGACATGGATGAAATTGGAAATCATCATTCTCAGTAAACTATCGCAAGAACAAAAAACCAAACACCGCATATTCTCACTCATAGGTGGGAATTGAACAATAAGAACACATAGACACAGGAAGGGGAACATCACACTCTGGGGACTGTTGTGGGGTGGGGGAAGTGGGGAGGGATAGCATTGGGAGATATATCTAATGCTAGATGACAAGTTAGTGGGTGCAGTGCACCAGCATGGCACATGTATACATATGTAACTAACCTGCACATTGTGCACATGTACCCTAAAACTTAAAGTATAATAATAATAAATAAATAAAAAGAAAAAGAAAAAAAGGAAAAGAAAAGGAAAGATGACTGAGAACCCAGATTTATTTTACTTTTGAATTCCCTTAGTGTCTGCAGACAATGCAGCTGACTGCATTGCCATCTCTATAATTGGCTGTGACAGTGACCATTTACTCGTTACCTGAGTATATTTGGCTTGTCTTGAAACAAGCGGATGTTCCTGACACTTTCAGGTCCTGTCATATTTGATTTGCTCATTGATACAGTAGTTTGAATTCTTAGGCATAGTCCAGTGGGAGTTCCTGAAAAGATGGAAATACTTCCAGCCTGTCTTCTTCCTCTCCCTCAAATCACTGACAGCCTTCATATGCCTATTGTGGAATATGCTGAGATTGCAGAATCACTTAGTGCCTTGATTTCAACTTCTGCAAAGTAAGGACAAAGATCTCTGTCCTTCTCAGTCCATAAAATGGCTAAGTTCGGCTGGGTGCGGTGGCTCACGCCTGTTATCCCAGCACTTTGGGAGGCCAAAGCAGGTGAATCACGAGGTCAGGAGTTCGAGACCAGCTTGGCCAACATGGTGAAACCCCATCTCTACTAAAAATACAAAAAATTCGCTGGGCATAGTGGCGGGCGCCTGTAATCCCAGCTACTCGGGAGGCTGAGGCAGGAGAATCGCTTGTACCCTGGAGACGGAGGTTGCAGTGAGCTGAGATCGCACCACTTACTCCAACCCAGGCAACAAAGTGAGACTCTGTCTCAAAAAAAAAAAAAAAAAAAAAGATGGCTAAGCTCAAAAGAGATATGAGTGGAGAAGTGCCAGGAAATGGTAAAAGCATTATTAAGATGGAAACTTCTGGGTTGGGATTATATTTTGACATATTAACCAGTGTTTTGATTTTCTCCTGATGGTTTACTTTTTCCCTATCTCCCTTGGGGAGCTGCTGTAGCACTTGAGGTGCTTATAATCTCTGAGGAAGATGTGAGCCTTCCTGGTTTTGAACTCCAAATTAACATTCAGGAGACACATTAAGAGTGAGGGCAAGGGTCTGAGGAAAGTGGGGCAGTAATGAGAAGATGACATGGAGGTGTGGGGAGTAGAGACATCACTGGTCTTGGAGTCAGGATCCTGGAGCTGGCTTCCTTGATCAGGTAGCAGAAATCCCAGGCAGGCTGAGTATCTGAGAAGTGCCCAGGACTTTGCTCTGCTTCCTGAGAAGAGCCCAGCGAGGAAGTGACTGCCTGGAGGGTCTCAGTAGTCAGGGCTTGGACAAGGTTCACAAAGGCTCCTCATCCCCAGGGAGGCGCAGGGCAGCCATTGACCAAATCCCCAGCGCTGAAGACTGATTCAGAGAATACCCAAGGGAGAGGTATCAAGGCTAGAGCCTTCTCTCCACTGGCTACTGCCACCAGGGCCTTAGCACAGGGAACCCCTGCTGAGGGGTCCTCAGTTGAATAGACTGGTTGACTGAATTTGAGATCAAATTTCTTCCCTGGAGGAATGAGAGCTTACATTAGAAGTTAAACTGAAACTGTTACAGGCCAGGGCAAGGTGGTTCACAGCTGTAATCCCAGCAATTTGGGAGGCTGAGGCCAGTGGATTGCTTGAGGCCAGGAGTTTGAGACGACCCTTGGCAACAGGGCAAAACCCCATCTCTACTAAAAATACAAAAATTATCTGGGTATGGTGGTGCACGCCTGTAGTTCTAGCTATTTGGGAAGCTGAGGCATGAGAATCACTTGAATCTGGGAGGCAGAGGTTGTAGTGAGCCGAGATGGTGCCACTGCACTCACTCTAGCCTGGCAACAGAATAAGACTCTACCTCAAAAAAACAAAACAAGAAAAAGCAGTTAAACTAATACAAAAAATATAAAGCTGCATGTCAGGCCTCTGAGCCTAAGCTAAGCCATCATATCCCCAGTGACCCGCACGTATACATCCAGATGGCTTGAAGCAACTGAAGATCCATAAAAAAAGTGAAAATAGCCTTAACTGATGACATTTCACCATTGTGATTTATTTCTGCCACAACCTAACTGATCAATGTACTTTGTAATCTCCCTCACCCTTAGGAAGGTTCTTTATAATCTCCCCCACCCATAAGAAGGTTCTTTGTAATTCTCCCCACCCTTGAGAATGTACTTTGTGAGATCCACTCCTGCCCCCAAAACATTGCTCCTAACTCCACCGCCTATCCCCAAACCTGTAAGAACTAATGATAATCCCACCACCCTTTGCTGACTCCTTTTTCAGACTCAGCCCACCTGTACCCAGGTGAAATAAACAGCCTTGTTGCTCACACAAAGCCTGTTTGTGGTCTCTTCACACAGACACATGAAACACTGCATTCCTTGCACATCTGAGTTTATACGCTGTTTGTATTTGCATTGCCCACTGGAGTTATTACTAATGCAATAAGACATGTTCCAGAAAAAGCTTTCACCTTTGTTTTTTGTTTGTTTTGAGACAGAGTTTTGCTCTTGTTGCCCAGTCTGGAGTGCAATGGTACGATCTTGGCTCGCTGCAACTTCTGCTTCCCAGGTTCAAGCGATTCTCCTGCCTCAGCCTCCCAAGTAGCTGGGATTACAGGTGCATACCACCACACCCAGCTAATTTTTGTATTTGTAGTAGAGATGGGGTTTCGCCATGTTGGCCAGGCTGGTCTTGAACTCCTGACCTCAGATTATCCACCCACCTGAGCCTCCTAAAGTGCTGGGATTACAGGCGTGAGCCACCATGCCTAGCCAAGCTTTCACCTTTGTATGGGAGCAAATGAGGAGAGTAATTCTGGACAATTTTGCAAAGAGATATGAACAAATCCTGACCAAGGAAAGGAAGTGAAAAGTGTGCTAAGCACAGGGTTTCAGCAGATAATCATGATGCAATGTGCACAAGGGACAGCCTCTTTGCTGCCTTGTCTCAGGGTCTTTGTAATGCAAACCCTCCATTGAGCCCACATTTTGACTTGCCCTTTGTACATGATTGATTAATTGCAGGCTTTAACTATATAAAACATATAGGCTTCTATAAAAAATATTATTGAATTTTAGAGTTTTGTTCCCTTATGGGGGTAAACCTAAGGAATCACAAACCCCAAATTCTCAAATGCCAAATACTTTAACTTCTCTAAGCTGTTTATCCATCGTTAAAGTTCTAACTAGTAAGGTGCTTAGATAGTGAAGGATAACACGTGTTAGCTTAAAACATATAGAAATGCCGGAAGAAAATAACTTCCCTTTCACTTAATATTTCCTAGGATGGAGGCTGGGAGTCTGAGGATATACTGTAGGCTGATCTCATATACAAATGAGGGCTTTTCTTTTTGCATTTCTTGTATTAAATAGATTATAGTTCATTGAGCATAGCTTTGCATAGCATAACCTACCTCTGTTTTTCAAATTCAATGTTTCTAATTTATTGATTTATTAGGAAAATATTTGTTAAGTACCTACTATGAGTCCAGCATTGTGCTGGACACTTAACAGTGAACCAAACTGACTGTAGAATAACAAAACACCTTGTCTCCCCAGGATCCTATCTTCTGAGAACCACCTCTTCTCTTTATTTTCCTGCTTCTGGTCTTACCTTTAAGTACAAGTCCCTATACTTACTGCAGGAATGGCTGTTTTACACCCTGACCCAGTTTTTACAACCATGACTATAGGACTCCTGTAGGGTCATGAAAGAAGAACTGGGCATTAGCCAACTTGGGATATCAACAATGCGATCATTGAATGGGTACTCACTGTGTACAAGGTACTGTGCTCGCTGCCAATGGTAAAACAATTCAGTTCATGGCATCTGCCTTACCCAGAACCTTTAAACTACTTCAAGGCACCATATTCGCATTAAGGTACAAGGCAGACTATGCTAAAGAAAAAACAAGTAGCCCAGATCTTAGGTGGTATCTGAGGTCACAGGAAGAAAAGAACATCTTGCATTTGTCTAGAAACCAAATGATAACAGCCATTTCTCTATCTTCCTAGAAGTTCCATTTCCTTCTCCACCTCATTGAATGATAGTTTCTCAGTCATTGAGTCATAATACGTTTCCAGCTTAAGATGAAAATGTAAAATTTCTCCCCACTCAGAATTTTCATTTTATGTTTTTTAGGGAGTTGATGTGTGAATTGCAGAGACAGGCTGATACCAGCAGGTGGAAGAATTCACCATTTGAACTCCACATCATAGGCTAGTGAATGGTTCAGCAGGATGTGACTGCAATTTTAATCACTGCTTCATTTCCCTTTCTTTGTTCCAGATATTTATGCACCAAAACCCTGTGAGAAAATGACCCATAATCTGAAGAAGATAAATAAAAATGGATTATTTTTATCACTCTAGACAGAGCATAAAGAGATGGCATTTTCTCCATTTTAAAATCTTAGATGTAAATACACTGAAATCCAAAGAAAAAAATTATTCTGATAAATTGGAGAAATTTAAAAATTATAAAAAAGTATGGGGTTTCAACATTCTTATGATAGATTTAAAGAACACTCAAAGTTTGATGTGCTGGTGGCTTGGGCCTCCCAGTGAACCACATGAGCTTACAGGATTAGGGTCGTGAAGTAGAGGGAGCGGTGCTGGGGTCCAGCACAGGGTTTCAGGCCTGTCTGGGCACACCTGTGAACTGGTAAGACAGGCCTGGGCGAACTCTATGTGCCTAGGGGAGGTGGAGCCATCTGGGAAAGATGTCAGATCACACCCCCTGCTGGGATTTAGATGTATGCGGACATGTCTAGCAAGCTGTGAGGGCTGAGAAGCTTCCTGGGTGAGAACTCACCCTAAGGGCAGGAGTCTGCTGATTCACTTCACCCAGGAAGAAGCCTTAGTTGTCAGAGGGGAGCAGTAAGTCTGACTATGGCATGGTAGCAGTTTCTGGATTCTGTTCCCTGGTCCAGCTACCTAGAAGCCTGTATACCCTGTGGATGTAGAGGGCTGTCAGCAAACCCTGAAAGAATTTTCTCACCAAGCTTTGTAGAAAATACTCAGACTCAGAAACAGCATCATACCATCTAACTGGAAGAAGTGAGTCATTCTCTTGTATCTTAGAGGAGGATCTGGATGAACTGTGATGACCAGTGGGGCAGGGCGTGGCCAGCAGGACTGGGAGCAGCACATGGAGACACCTCCTGGAGACTCCTAGAAATACAGGACATGATAGTTGGAGGTTTGGTGAGACAAATGGGAGTGAGAACTACTGGCATTTGTGTTGGAGTTAATGGAATGCCCTCTGATTCAAAGACTCAGGGGAACTGGAGAGGTATGCATCTCTCTTTCACACATATTCACCACATATGCACATCTCACATCTCATATATGTGTGTATATGTGTGTGTGTGTGTGTATATATATATATATATATATATATATATATATATATATATATGTCAAGTTATCAGAGTTTTCAAACATTTACTAAAAGAACTTTATTTTTTTTTCCCAAGGCAGAAGAATTTTTCTTAGTACAGAACAAAATAGAGTCTCCTCTGTCTACTTCTTTCTACACAGACACAGTAACAATCTGATTTATCTTTCTTTTCCCCACATTTCCCCCTTTTCTATTCGACAAAACCGCCATCGTCATCCTGGCCCGTTCTCAATGAGCTGTTGGGTACACCTCCCAGACGGGGTGGCAGCCGGGCAGAGGCGCCCCCCACCTCCCAGACGGGGCGTCGGCCAGGCGGAGTTGCCCCCCACCTCCCGGACGGGGCGGCTGCCGGGCGGAGACTCTCCTCACTTCCCAGATGGGGTGGCTGCCGGGCGGAGGGGCTCCTCACTTCTCAGACAGGGCGGCCGGGCAGAGACGCTCCTCACCTCCCAGACGGGGTGGCGGTCGGGCAGAGACACTCCTCAGTTCCCAGACGGGGTCGTGGCGGGGCAGAGGCGCTCCCCACATCCCAGACGATGGGTGGCGGGGCAGAGGCGCTCCCCACATCTCAGACGATGGGTGGCCGGGCAGAGACGCTCCTCACTTCCCAGACGGGGTGGCGGCCGGGCAGAGGCTGCAATCTCGGCACTTTGGGAGGCCAAGGCAGGCGGCTGGGAGGTGAAGGTTGTAGCGAGCCGAGATCACGCCACTGCACTCCAGCCTGGGCAACATTGAGCACTGAGTGAGCGAGACTCAGTCTGCAATCCCGGCACCTCGGGAGGCTGAGGCGGGCAGATCACTCGCGGTCAGGAGCTGGAGACCAGCCCGGCCAACACCGCGAAACCCCGTCTCCACCAAAAAATACAAAAACCAGTCAGGCGTGGCGGCGCGCGCCTGCAATCCCAGGCACTCGGCAGGCTGAGGCAGGAGAATCAGGCAGGGAGGTTGCAGTGAGCGGAGATGGCGGCAGTACAGTCCAGCCTCGGCTCGGCATCAGAGGGAGACTGTGGAGAGAGAGGGAGAGGGAGAGGGAGAGGGAGACCGTGGAGAGAGAGGGAGAGGGAGACCGTGGGGAGGGAGAGGGAGAGGGAGAGGGAGAGGGAGAGGAAGAGGCTAAAAGAACTTTAATAAATGATGTCTTTTTATGTGTAAGCTCTTTGTAAACCCTCTTTTTTGGAGAGGGTAATATTTTTCTATCAGTAAAACATACTTATTAAAATGTGTGGAAATCTTAAGTTTGCGTCGCAATGAATTTCTCCAAATGGATGATGACTCATGCTCCGTAGCCAGACTGAGCTACAGAACATTATGAGCAGCTCAGAAGCCCCTCCTGTGCCTGCTTCCTGTCACTGTCTCCTAAGGGTGATTGCTACCCTGATTTCCAATATGGCAGATTACTTTTGCCAGTTTTAAACTTTGTATAAATGGAATTATACAGTATGTCTCTATTTGTCTGACTTCATTTACTCAACATTGTAAGTTTCATTTATGTTCTTGCCAAATTTCTTACATTTTCATCATTATGTAGTATTCCATTATATTAATGTAGCACTTTTTTTTTGAGATGGAGTCTCGCTCTGTTGCCCAGGCTGGAATGCAGTGGCACGATTTTGGCTCACTGCAACCTCCGCCTCCAGGGTTCAAGCGGTTCTCCTGCCTCAGCCTCCTGAGTAGCTGGGACTACAGGTGTGCACGCCCAGCTAATTTTTTGTATTTTTGGTAGAGACGGGGTTTCACCGTGTTAGCCAAGATGGTCTCAATCTCCTTTCCTCGCAGTCTGCCCGCCTCGGCCTCCCAAAGCACAATTTTATATATCCATTTTGCTGCTGATGGACATTTGGGTTGCACCCAGTTTGGAGTTATCATGAACAAAGCTGCCATAAACCTATTTGTACGTGTTTTGTTTTGTTTCAAGACAGTCTCATTCTGTTGCCCAGGCTAGAGTGCAGTGGTGTGATCTCAGCTCATTGCAACCTCCACCTCCTGGGTTCAAGCCATTCTCATGCCTCAGACTCCTGAGTAACTGAGATTATAGGCATGCACCACCACATCCAGCTAATTTTTTGTATTTTTCGTGGCGATGGGGTTTTACCAAATTGCCCAGGCTGGTCTTGAACTCCTGGGCTCAAGCAATCCACCCACCTTGGCCTCCTGAAGTGTTGGGATCACAGGCATGAGCTACCATGCCTGGCCTGTATATGTTTTTTATTGCATGCATGTCCTCATTTCTGTTGGAAATATAACTGCTAGATCTGATATATAAGTTTTAATGCATTTTCTTCTGTATGTGAAAAATGTTGTTTGGGTACAGATGTACTGTTCTTTAGAAGTAAAGTATTTGAAGTAATGAAGAAAGTGAATTTGACTAGAAATCCAGAAAGAAAGAGGGATGACATTATTTAGAGTAGCTGGGTACTGATAATTTTATTTATGTATTTATGTTATTTATTAATGTCGAATCTTGATTAGTTATCATAAGTTATAATAAGTGGTAACAATATAAACCATTTCATTGCTCATGACAGATATAAAAACTTGCAGGATAGTTTTTTACTGCTATCTAGAATCTTTTTAGAATGCCTCATCCTGCAAACTAATTATTAATATTAACCCCAGGACAATAGGCTTGGAAAGTAATTTTTAATTAAAAAATTTTCTTCCTATCTGTGCAGATGGTTAAAAGCTGATTGTGGCACTCATAGTTTGTAGCCATTACCACTAGAAACCAGGAAAAATCAGTGAATCTTCTAATTTTTTATTTAATAAGTTGGCAAGTTTGTTGTAAGCATTGACCACCGTGTTTCATGAGCTTAAGCTATGAAGACTGTATGAAAAGGAGCAACACTAAGTCTGGGTCCTAAGAAACAAACGCTTTGTGATGTGGGCCTCACTCAGAATGTCTGTGGCTAAAAATATCCCTGGGGGGTCAAAGTTATCCAGTGGATCTTGGCTCAACCTTGCGGATTGGGCATCTAATCTGCAGGAGCATCGTTTAGCAGATTTGTTGGAAACTAATATTTGTTTTACTTATTTTCTAATAATAAAAATAGAATGTGTTTATTCTAGAAAATTTGGAAAGCATATACAAATAGAAATAAAAGTTATACGTAATAACATCATCCCTTCTTAATATTTTGGAGTATTTTTTTCAGTTTTTAAAGCACCCCTTTTTTTTTAAACAGCTCATTTGTTCAACACATATGTTTCTGAGAACTTCTTGTGTATAGATGGCAAAACTGAACAGAACCAGAAATCCTGCAGTCCTTTATAGGGTCTCCAAGACCATAACTTATACAACAGAATCCAGAACAACTCTAAGGTCAGTGGTGGTGATGGAGAAGCTGCAGAGGGGGATCTCTGGGTGACTGTAATGAAAAAGAGCTAACATAGCAGCCCTGAGACAGCAGACCTCAGAAAGGCCTACTTGCAAGGTTGACCCACGGCTAGCATCTGGGAACTTGGCTTTCAGGAGTCTTCCTACCATTCCGTAATTGATAAGGATGGTTTACTGTGCCTAGACTGTTTGTACAAACAATATGGTTTATGCTGAATACCACTGTCCTGCTGGAAGTCTGAAATTTTATATGTGCTAGGCAGAGGGTTTCTATGACCAGTCCCCAATAAAAACCGTAGGCTCTGTTAAGTGCATCCTGTGCCATTTTACTGGGAGGACCCTGGAAGCTTATGTCTGGTTTCCTTTGGGCTTTGCCCCATGTGCTGATTTTGCTTTGTAGCTGATTTTGCTTTGTATCTGATTTTGCTTTTGCTGGTTTTGCTTTGTGTCCTCTCGCTGCAAGAAACTGTAACTGTGAATACATTTACTTCTGAGTCCTTTGAATCCTTCTAGCAAATCACTAAACATGAGGGTGGTCTTGGGGGCCCTTGAAATGATGA
This sequence comes from Homo sapiens, assembly GCF_000001405.40. Taxonomy (NCBI): domain Eukaryota; kingdom Metazoa; phylum Chordata; class Mammalia; order Primates; family Hominidae; genus Homo; species Homo sapiens. The sequence goes on from NC_000014.9 coordinate 50,960,107, forward strand.
CCCACTAGGAAATTAAGTTACCAGATGAGTCATTACCTCTACTTTCACAAAGGCCCTTAGGATAAAGTTGGGCATATAACTCTTTGAGTAGGAGAAATATTAGAGGAAATGTGTTGTTTGGGCATTGGTTTATTCACAATCAACTCTGCCCATATTGGCTTACTCACCAATCCCCAAATCACTTAGTCTCAATCATACAAGCACTTTTCACTTAAGACTGACACTGGTTTAGGCTGGGCGCAGTGGCTCATGCCTGTAATCCCAGCACTTTGGGAGGCTAAGGCTGGCAGATCATGAGGTCAGGAGTTCGAGACCAGCCTGGCCAACATGGGGAAACCCCGTGTCTACTAAAAATACAAAAATTAGCCGGGCGTGGTGGTGCACACCTGTAGTTCCAACTACTCAGGAGGCTGAGGCGGAAGAATCGCTTGAACCCAGGAGGCGGAGGTTGCAGGTGAGCCGAGATCGCACCACTGTACTCCAGCCTGGGTGACAGAGCCAGATTCCATCTAAAAATAAATAAATTAATAAATAAAATTAAAAAAAGACTGACATTGGTCTATATAAATTAAAGAAGCCTTTTCAAAAACTTGGCAAGGAGGGAGGTAAGGGAAGAGAATAATCTCACAGAGCAGGAAATGCCTTAAAATTGGATATCAGACATCCTTGCACCCAAAGTCCATTAGACAAACACTGTCCAAGGGAATTCATTACTGGCTGTTTCTTTCCTTGGGTCTTACTCTGCTTCCATGTTTCTGCTGACCATTGTTTTGGAGCAGAATGGCTTTTACCATGTCCTCTTGTCTTGAGAACTCCAACTGCAATCTCTGAGCTTGGCAGGAGCAAAAAGGAGTACCTTAAAATGAAACCAACCAGGCCGGGTGCAGTGGCTCACGCCTGTAATCCAAGCACTTTGGGAGGCAGAGGCGAGTGGCTCGCTTGAGCCCAGGAGTTCAAGACCAGCCTGACCAACATGGTGAAACCCCGTCTCTACTAAAAATACAAAAAAATGAGCTGAGTGTGGTGGTGGGCACCTATAATCCCAGTTGCTCAGGAGGTTGAGGTACCAGAATCACTTGAACCTGGGAGGCAGAGGTTGCAATGAGCCAAGATTGCGCCACTGCACTCCAGCCTGGGCGACAGAGCGAGACTCTGTCTCAAAAAAAAAAGAAAAAGAAAGAAGAAAACAACCAGCCTCCATTGCCAGATGCTATCTGCACAAAGATGAATTACTGCACAGAAAAATTTAGTTCCACATTATCTCAGTCATCTCTGCTGAGCTGGGCTGGAGTTTTCCTTTTGCATAATCAGAGGTTCCATTAAAACATTTTAAAAACAAAAGCAGGCAGGGAGAAGAAAATAAGCAGTTTTTTTTCTGAAAACACCCTTCTGGTGTTCTCAATGCAGCAATGGCTGGAACTTAAAAATTCCCATCCTTCTAGCCATTTTACTCTCAACTCCCCTCTTTTGTTCTGCTACACCGAGAAGCATAATTTTTGTCCTCAAGAATGTGAGCAAAATGCCCTGAACATGGCTGACCTTTGAAGATCTTGCATTTCAGCCCTCAGATGCAGCAGGCACGGTGTATCCACTTCCTCCAGCCATGGTGTCACGGAGAGGGACAGTCTTCACTGGATATGAAAAGAGAAGGCAGGGTGCCCTCTTGGCTGCAACAGATATTCTCATAGCTGCCTGGGTATTATTTTGTGCAGGTCTACATTTCTGAGCTGGCTGCTGATACTGGAGTGACCCAAGCTCCCTTTTCTCTCCTTCCCAGGTGACCATGCTTCTCTGTCCCAGAGGGTGCAGCCTGTTTATTTCAACAAATTCCCTTTGCACACAGTTCTGTTTTGCAGTCCAGTCTCCTTTATGCTGACATTGATCTAAATGCTTTTTAGGCACTAGTAGGGACATAAGTGACTTTATTTTAAATGCTAATCTGCTGACTAACCCCAAGTCTGGGAATGCCTCCAAAATGTCTAGGTGATGTATTACTGTTTATGTAGGAACAGTTATTCATTGTAAGTTTCCCTCAAAACAACCCTTGATAATGTTGTAGAAATCATAGGCTGTGATGCTTATAGCCACCTACATATTCCTTCCAGAGTATAGATACTTTTTCCTCAAGATACACATCCTGGGTCTGGGCGATTGCAGTGCAGAGATTTACCTGTCTTGTAGCCAGCTGCCTAAGACCAAGCTTCTGTTTGTAAGTTCCCCCCAATAAATCAATTTATTTTATTTTTATTTTTTGAGACAGAGTCTCACTTCATCACCCAGGCTGGAGAGCAGTGGTGCGATCTCAGCTCACTGCCACCTCCGCCTCCTAGGTTCAAGCAATTCTCCTGCTTCAGCCTTCTGAGTAGCTGGGACTACAGGCACATGCCATCATGCCCGGCTAATTTTTTTATCTTTATAGAGATGGGGTTTCCCCATGTTGGCCATGCTGGTCTCAAACTCCTGACCTCAAGTGATCTGCCCACCTCGGCCTCCCAAAGTGCTGGATTACAGGCATGAGCCACCATACCCAGCCCCCAATAAATCACTTTATATCAACAGACTGAATTTGTCTGCCTCATTCTTTGGTGTCTTGGCTCCTTTGGCATTTGGGGTCCACTTTGCATTTATGACCCTTTCATGTATGCCCTGTCAAGTGGTTGACAGGATTTCTAATGCTATTGAAACTTCTAAATTTTAAGAAGCTCAAATGGGTTTCTTAGTGGGAAGTTGTAAGAAATTGTATTAGAGATTATTACCTTGATCAGCAATGGCCTGAACATTGAAGACTGGGAGATTTAATTGAGGAAACAGAAAAGAGATTGAGCTGAGGATGGCTCTGGAGGCATGGGGTAAGCTGCAGTATCGGAAGCTTTCCACACTTCGGATACTGTATTCCTGGTGAGAATTTTCGGGCACAGAAAGTAAAGTGAGGGGGTGCCAGAGAGGCACCTGGCTTACTTGAGAGCTTTGCCTGAGGTTGGCCTTGTTCACTGTCCTCCAGGACACTTGGTGGGGACTAAGACCCTACTCAGAAGAGTCTCTTTTATACCATCTTGGTGATCCTCTGGGAGGGCCAGGGCCAGCTTGCAGGGAGACCAGTTCTCTATCAAAATTTCTTCAGGTCCTGGACATAAACCATTTCAATCTATTCCAGCAAATGGGGGAGAAAGACTGACTTCCCTCTCCTCCAAAGCCACTCTTTGATCCCAGTTGATAACATCTTCTTTAAGCCATACATGCCAGTGTAGTGAGCAGATGGAGCTGAGAAGCATTGCTCAGTATTTAGTATTAGAGGTGTGTGCATGGGCAGTTGTGGTTGGTTTGTTCACGTGCACATGGAACAGCTTACAGGGAACAATAGGTGCATGGAGTCATATTGAAGAAGACATGGTCTCTGCCTCCAGGTAATGCATATTCACATAAATTACTGCTAAACACAATTTAAAACTTGAAAATCATTCAAATCTATGTTTGAGGACCCACAAAATACACACAAAACTGGAATTTTAATTTGTTACTCCAAATCCCAAGTGGAACAGCTTTGCATATGAGGACGGAAGGGATGGAGCAGCTCGCTGGGGAATGTGTGGATTCGTGCTTCTCTGCTATGTGGAAAGTATGGTTAAGAGTGAAGGCCCCAGGGCTGGGTATGGTGGCTCACTCCCGTAATCCCAGCACTTTGGGAGGCTGAGGTGGGCGAATCACCTGAGGTCAGGAGTTCGAGACCAGCCTGGCCAGCATGGCGAAAACCTGTCTCTACTAAAAATACAAAAATTAGTTGGGCATGATGGCGGGTGTCTGTGGTCCCAGCTACTTGGTAGGCTGAGGCAGGAGAACTGCTTGAATGCTTGAACCTGGGAGGTGGAGGTTGCAGTGAGCTGAGATCGCGCCACTGCACTCTGGCCTGAGCGACGGAGTAAGACTCTGCCTCAAAAAAAAAAAAAAAAAAAAAAAAGAGTGAAGGCCCTAGAACCGACATGTAAGGGTTTAAATTCCAGCTCTGTCAGTTACCAGCTGTGTGGCCTTGGGCAAATACAGAAACTTTATTTGCTATAGTTTCCTAATTTTTACAATGGGGGATAATGGTAATCCAATGACATGATGTTGTTGTATAAATTAAATGAGTTAATAAATATGAAATGCTTCAAATAGTGCCTGACACACTGAGCACTCCAGTAACAGTAACAGTTACTCTTAATACCTGCCCTAAGAAGTATTGGTGGGAACTATATTCAAGGACTATAAATCTTTTTAAGTTACTCAAAATCAAAACCCTTTGTAAATCATTTTACCCCTCCACATCCTCACTGTGAACGTAATAGCAATGTATGTTTAATTATATACTGACCATTCTCCATTGCAAGGATAAACAGCTTAAACAAGAGGAATCTCCGTGAGTTCCTCCTGCACTAGACACAGCATATTTTCTAACTTAATCCTCACAACCACCTTAGGATATGGATATTATTATCTCTAATTTATGATAAACTAAAACTATTGTTTAAGGTTAATTACCTTGTCTAAGCTCACATCTAGTAAGTGATTGACCTGGGCTGGGAACTGGGTTTTTGTGACCCCAGAGTCCACGAGACAGATTTTCAGGTGAATAAGATTCAAAGAATTAAAAAAATTTTGAAACCAGTTGTGTAGATCTTTATATCAGAAAAAAATTCCCAGCTCAGTTTCTGGTAGCTTAGAGGCAGCAATTTCTTGTGTTCATTTCTTGGGAAAGACGTGTCAAGTCAAGTTGGCTGTGGTCCCAGTTTCTACCGAGTTGTAGAAGCTATGTTGTTTTTTGAGCTAGATCAGCTGTGAGCATTTGACATTCTGAGACATAAAGTCAATATAGAAGAGAACCTCCCCTCTCACTGTTTATTCTCTGCTACGATTGTAAATGTCTCCCAGCTTTCTGCCATTTCCAAAGCATTTACTTTTGTTCAGAAAAAAAAAAAAATCCCAGAAATTAAAGGCCCAGACTAAACAGCATTCATTTATTTAAAACATTACGTAGATATAACCTGTCACTTCACTTTGCTTAAAACCCACCAGTGGCTTCCTGCTACACTTGGAATAAGCCCAAATACTTCATCATGGTGCAGGGGTCCTTGCTCATTTTGCTGCCAAGCCTCTATCCCTACTTTTCTAGAAATAGCACTCAAATTGGATTCAGTGGCTGGAATTCTAAGTGGTGATGTCCTGCCCTCCCTCAGCTAAGAGGTAGACCCAGGATACAAGCAAAACCAGACACCATCTTTCTGGAATTAAATCTTGAGCAGTGAGACAATAAAATGAGGATGAGCTGGAGCTTTTGCGCCCCCTTGGCAGTCTCTGATAAGACCCGATATTCATCAGTTCCTGCTACCTTGATCCCCAGAGCTGCCCTCGTTCCCATCTTTCTGAGCTGCCCCATGTCTTTCTCGCATATTCCTTCTATGCCTTTAGGTCAGCCACAGTCAGGTTGGGTGTTTTTGTAGCCAAAGATTCCTATCTGGCACACCTGCCTGGCAGGGCCTCCCTGCAGTGGTCCCTCAGTGTCTGCGGGGGCATTGGTTCCAGGACCTCCCTGAGATACTGAAATTCACAGATACTCAAGTCCCTGATATAAAATGGTGTAGCATTTTCATATAACCTCAGCAGGCTGGGCTCTCCACCCTCCTTCCTCTCACTGCATGCACCTCACCCTCACTAACTCTTTGACTTACTGGGCTTGTTCCCGCCTCAAGGCCTTTACCCCTTCCCTTGGTCTTGGCTTCTTCAACCCAAATATAACCCCTTCAGAGAGGTAATTGCTGACTTTTCCATATCTCTCTATCTCATAGCCTGTTGGATTTCCTGTGTTGTATTTATTAAGACTTAAAATGATTTTGATCTTTACTTATTATTTCCCTATTTGAATATCAGCTCTAAGAACGTAGGGACCTTGTCTATTTTATTCACTGGTATTCCCAGTAATAGCATTGTTACAACAGCATTTATCACTTAATAGGTGCTCATTAAATATTAATCGTATGAATGAGTGTGTTGTCTGTGGTACATCCTATGTGTAGCAATCATATGTCATATAACCTACAGGTTAAGAGCCTGTGTCTTGGAGTCAGACTATTTGGGTTCAAACCCTGGCTGTCATACTTGTATACTGTGTGACTTTGGGCAAGTTGCTTAACCTCTTGTGCTTCAGTTTCTTCATTTCTAAAATGGTAATAATAAAAATGCATAAGTAAGATGAAGGGTAAGTAAGATGATTCACTAAAAGCCCTTGGTACATTGCCTGGAAAACAATAAGATTCAATATTTGGCAACTTACATTATTAGAGCACGGTTGTCTCTCCATATCCGTGAAGCCTTGGTTTCAGGACACCCCTGGGATACCAAAATTCACAGATAGTTAAGTCTCTGATATAAAATGGTGTAGCATTTGCATGTAACATATGCAAATCCTCCTATATACTTTAAATCTCTAGATTACTTATAATACCTAATGCAATGTAAATGCTTTGTAAATAGTTGTTATGCTGTATTCCTTTTATTTGTATTATTTTTCTTGTTTTTTTAATTTCCTTCCCAGCATTTTCAACCCAAGCTTGTTTCAATGCACCCATGTGGAACCTGCGGATATGATGAGTGATTGGATTTCTCAATTGTAAGAAGTTCTAGTTAGAGATTGTATGATGCACTACTGGCTTAATAGTAGCTCTTTTGGCCGGGCATGGTGGCTCACGCCTGTAATCCCAGAACTTTGGGAGACCGAGGCAGGCGGATCACCTGAGGTCAAGAGTTCAAGACCAGCCTGGCCAACATGGTGAAACCCCGTCTCTACTAAAAATACAAAAATTAGCCTGGCATGGTGGCGTGTGCCTGTAGTCCCAGCTACTCAGGAGGCTGAGGCAGGATAATTGCTTGGACCCGGGAGGTGGAGGTTGCAGTGAGCCAAGATCGCACCACTGCACTTCAGCCTGGGCAATAAGAGTGAAACTCTGTCTCAAAAAAAAAAAAAAAAAAAAATGGAACTGTTTTGGAGAAAACCAAAGCCAAGTTCAACATTTAATATATACCACTTGGGAAAACTCTACTTACAATAGCATGCATTATCTGCCACAATACATGCTACTTTGCTCTTCAGACTAACAAACACAATTCGGTCCCCAAGTACCTCTGTATCAAGCAGGGCCACTGGCAGTTATACGTAATGTAATGATTACCCTTGCACGAGATCTGGACCTTGCTAGCATATTTGTGAGGCTGCAGAATAATTTAAAGAATGCAGTGGGATTATGTGTGTGTTTTTTTCTTTCTTTCTTTTCTTTTTTTTTTTTTTTTTGCATTTCTCTTTTGGCTATTTTGTTTGTATTGCTACTGTTAACTGAATTATAAATAATAGGAAATAAAGAGCTTCTGGGAAGTAGCTGGAAGCTTTTGACAGATTTAGACATCTGAATGATAGCTCTTCACATATCAGTTGGTCCCAAAAACTTTTCCTAGATTTCAAAAATTTGTGATTTGTTCTCAGCATCTTGACAATTTTATTAATTATATTATCCAGTGTATGACTATTTCAATTGTATATTATCCAGTGAATGATTATTAATTTTATGCATGTACAATATATTTTTTCATTTCTATACTGCATTATAATGGGATCTTTTAAAAGACCTTTTAAGTGATAATTAAGATGTGAATTTAAGTTTATCAACTTTCAAAGGAAATAACAAGTAACAGAATGATGAAATTGTTAGCTGGTGTAATGCCTCTGTGACATAGCTGAATTTCTGCTCTGCCCTAACACTGCTTTAAGAAACAGGATGCCTGCAATAAAAAGTTCCCTTTGTAACCGGAACAGTTGAGACTGGTTAGAACCAAAATAGCTGAGCAAATGACTTCAGAAAGAACTCGGGCTTCATTATAATCTCATTTCCATGCTAAATGACACTCTGACCATCACCATAACAGTGGACAATTGCTAGGACAATGACCAGAAGAAGCTATAAAAGGACAAAAAAGGAGGAAGGCATCACTCCAGTTCTGGGAAGTTCACTGACCCTTTCCAGAAAAGACCTGAGTCTTCCTCTTTTCATTTTCCTTTCTTTTTTTTTTTGAGACAGAGTCTTGCTCTGTTACCCAGGCTGGAGTGCAGTGGTGCCATCTGGGCTCCCTGCAACCTCCGCCTCCCAGGTTCAAGTGATTCTTCTACCTCAGCCTCCCAAGTAGCTGGGATTACAGGTGCGTGCCACCACACCCAGCTAATTTTTGTGTTTTTAGTAGAGAAGGGGTTTCACCATATTGGCCAGGCTGGTCTTGAACTCCTGACCTCGTGATCCATCCACCTTGGCCTCCCAAAGTGCTGGGATTACAGGTGTGAGCCACCGTGCCCGGCCCCTCTTTTCATTTTTAATGTCCATCCTCTTCGTTAGAGAAACTCTTTATTTGCACCCCTCACCCCTCACTGGTCAAGAAGTTGATTTGTGAGCCATGCTTCCACTTCTTAATTCCATGGCCATTGAATAAAGCCTGCTCTACTTGACAATTTTAGTTTTGTGTATTGGCTTCATGACACTGAACATGGAAAGACTTCATGTTTTGAGGGATCCACTTTGTTGGTTATAAGATGATGCCCCCCATCTTATTGTTTTTCCAAATGTGTAGGCAATAAAAACTTTGCTGAGTATACACTACCCACTCATTCCTTACCTCTGGGCTGTCAGCTCTAGACACACATTAGAATCACCTTACAAATTCCAGATTCTCAGGCTGCATCTTAGACCAACTAAATTAGTAACCTGGCATCAGTATTCTTTCTTTCTTTATTTTTTTTTGAGACGGAATCTCGCTCTGTCGTCTAGGCTGGAGTGCGGTGGCGCGATCTCGGCTCACTGCAAGCTCCGCCTCCCGGGTTCACGCCATTCTCCTGCCTCAGCCTCCGGAGTAGCTGGGACTACAGGTGCCCGCCACCACGCCCGGCTAATTTTTTTTGTATTTTTAGTAGAGACAGGGTTTCACTGTGTTAGCCAGGATGGTCTCGATCTCCTGACCTCGTGATCCGCCCTCCTCGGCCTCCCAAAGTGCTGGGATAACAGGCGTGAGCCACCGCACCCGGCAGCATCAGTATTCTTAAAGTTCCCCAGATGATTTCAGTGTGCAGTGGAGGCTGAGAACCACCACTCTATCAATGGCTGAAGAGTGTCTTTCTTTCTTTTTTTTTTTTTCTGCGACAGAGTCTCGCTTTGTCACCAGGCTGGAGTGCAGTGGCACAATCTCAGCTCACTGCAATCTCCACCTCCCGGATTCAAGCGATTCTCCCGCCTCAGCCTTCTGAGTAGCTGGGATTACAGGCATGCACCATCACACTCGGCTAATTTTTGTATTTTTAGTAGAGACGGGGGGTTTCACCATGTTGGCTAGGCTGGTCTCGAACTCCTGACCTCAAGTGATCCACCCGCCTTGGCCTCCCAAAGTGCTGAGATTACAGGCGTGAGCCACCACCGCTCCCAGCCTAAAGAGTTTCTTTTGACATGTGTTGTAAGATGTGTCTTGATTTGAGAGATGTTAAGGTGTAAAAAACAAAACAAAAAAACCAGCTGGGTCTGGTGGTTCACGCCTTTAATCCCAGCATTTTGGAAGCCCGAGGCAGGAAGATCCCTTGAGACCAGGAGTTCAAGACCAGACTGGGCAACATAGCAAGATTCCATCCCTACAAAAAATTTTAAAATTAGCCAGTAGTGGTGGTATGTGCCTGTAGTCCCAGCTGCTCAAGAGGCTGAGTCAGGAGGATCCCTTGAGCCCAGAAGTTTGAGGCTGCAGTGAACTATGATCATGCCACTGCGTGCCAACCTGAGTGACAATGTGAGACCTTGTCTCTCAAAACAGAAACACAAAACACAACCCTTGCATCTGAGAAATAAGAAAATTGTAATTGCTATTATTAGTCTAGCCCTAGAAGGATTCAGACCATGAAAAATATCATATTGGGTCAGATCAATTTTGTGGGACAACTGATGTTCCTTAGTTGTTCTCCTTTTACAGTGTCTTTGACATTGTTTACTAGGAGTGCACCCCATGTATTATAAAGCTTCCTTTGGTTACTGCCAGACACCTGGCAAGAGCTTAGAAATGAAGCTTGATGCATAAAGGAAAAAAAAAAGGAAAAAAGGGAAACAAAACAAAAAGCATGGTGTGTGATGCGTGTGAATCTCCTGGTCACTGGGTGCACCCTTGTATCCTGTACTCTTTTGGGCCCCTGATTTCACATCCCAACTCCCCTTGGAGTTTGAGGTCAGCCTGACCAACATGGAGAAAACCCGTCCCTACTAAAAATGCAAAATTAGCTGGGCTTGGTGGCACATGCCTGTAGTCCCAGCTACTTGGGAGGCTGAAGCAGGAGAATCGCTTGAACCTGGGAGACAGAGGTTGCGGTGAACCGAGATCATGCCATTACACTCCAGCCTGGGCAACAAGAGCGAAACTGCGTCTCAAAAAAAAAAAATAGACTCAGTGTTTCATCTGATTCCTTGGGATTCTCGCTTTCCCCATCCCTAAGGCAAGGAGAGCAGATGCTCAGATTCTCTTAATATCAAAGCAAAGTGTCCCCTTAGCTAGGATGATAGCTAGCTTAGCCTCAGCATATGTGTTAATTCTTGGTCTGACTTGAAATCTTGAAGATGTGGAATTTGATAGTGGCATGGAGGTTTGGCTGGACCTCAGAAATTTTAAAGACTGAGTGATTTCTTTCCTATAAAGAAATTTGTGGTTTTCTGCTGGTGTATCAGGTCTTAATACAACACTACACCTAGATAAAGTTTGCGTATTCTGCAAAGCCTGTTATTTCTGCCAAAATGCCAATGATAAAATCAACCTCTTGAGAAGCTACAATTAACCTTCACCTAGTCATCATTTCAAGCCTGCCCAACCAATAAGCCTGCAGACATATTTCTTCACATCTGAGAGAAACAGTGCCCACCAGGCAATTAGGAAAATACGTTGAGATCCCATATGAAAATCAGCATTACGGCAGGAACAATTAGGATCCTCATTTACTGCAGGTGATTTGCTCATTTTAAACTAATTAAACTACTAGGTTGAAAACACAGTTCAGAAACAGAGTGTAGAGTAGTTCATATTTAATACCTCCATCTTTCCTTAAAAATTGTTTGTTAAATGGAAGCCTAACAATAAATCAAAAAGTCAATAAATCTTTGCTACTAGAAGTGGGTTTAGATAAGATAAAGATGGTTCCATTTAATTAGGGAAGAAAACAGATGGCTGTGATGTATGAACAAGGATAATACAGGAGGGTTTAGAACATAAAATATAAGTTGGAGAGGAGCTTTAGAAAATTGAGAAGCTTATTACATCTGGACAGGTTTGGGGAAATAGGAGCAGACTATTATGAGTAATTTGAGGGAGGCTGGAAGGAGAGAACTCATGAGACTCAGGGTCCAGTCCAACATGGCCCCACAGTGACCGCATGACAGCACAGCCCTGGCAAAGGGTGGCATCCTGCCTGATGGGGCCTGAGACAGCACTCCTGCACTGTCCATGTACTTTGCTTCCTGCTGAGTGATCCTTGAGTGTTGTCACGGAATTTTTTTTGTATTAAGATATAATTTACATGCCATGTAATTCACCTTCTTGAAGTATATATTTCAGTGGTTTTTAGTATATTCGCAAGATTATGCAACCACCACCACTATCTAATTCTGTACTGGAAATTTGATAAAATGTTGATCCTTTTTCTTTTTTCCCAGGGGCCCAAACATCTATTTCTGGTTTTTTTTGGTTTTTTTTTTTTTTTTTTTTGAGACGGAGTCTCGCTCTGTCACCCAGGCTGGAGTGCAGTGGCGCGATCTCGGCTCACTGCAAGCTCCGCCTCCTGGGTTCAGGCCATTCTCCTGCCTCAGCCTCCCAAGTAGCTGGGACTACAGGCGCCCGCCACCATGCCCGGCTAATTTTTTTTTTTTTTTGTATTTTTAGTAGAGACGGGGTTTCACCGTGGTCTCGATCTCCTGACCTCGTGATCCGCCTGCCTCGGCCTCCCAAAGTGCTGGGATTACAGGCGTGAGCCACCATGCCCGGCCACCACACATCTATTTCTGTAGTTTTTCTTAGCACAGCCATGGTAGGGTGAAGAAGTAACAAACTGAAAGGCCCAGACTGAGGTTTCTGTACATCTATTTAGGTGCTTTTGTTGTTCACTCATATTCAGTGCTCCAAATTCTGTGTTTATCCAAAAAATTGGTTCTTCAGATAAACACAACATTTAGGTCGCCTCAGTTGTATGTGATGTATTATGTCAGATCCACGCTTCCCTAAACATCAGCCTTAGTGGAAATAGCTAGCACATATTTTGAGAAATACATACAGGTGTCTTTAGTGTGTTCACATAAATCATAAGGTAGTGTGACCAGAGAATTTGTTTGTTTATTATAGTTCCATTGATTCATAATCAGAAATCTGGATTCAATAGCAAGCCCTCCTTTCTTCTCAGTGAGTTGAATAGATAGGCAAAAGATTAATGCCTACAGCAGAGGGAGGAATAAAGGGACCTCATTTCTAGAAAATAAAATGATTTCTTGCAAATCACTTATTCACTCCTATAAGGAAATATGAGGAATTACAAGTTCCATTAACTTCAGTACCACGAGAAGAGTAAAACATAAGCAATGCGTTCCATTAGGTAGTAAACAGAAGAGCAGAAAACCAGAACAGAGATGGGACCAACAGAGGAGGAAGAAAAAAGTAACATGGTAGTGGAAATGATGGCACCAGCGGCCCATCTGGAGCCACTGCTGCAAAGACTCTGGCTGCAGGGGGCAAGGTGAGCCTGGGGCTGTCTGCTCAACGGAGCCAGTAGGGGCCGGGAACAGGCGAGAGCCCTGCTCCCTACTGAGTTGGCAGGGCCAAAGCCCCAAAATCCCAGGCGCAGCTGCGGCAGCCCAGCCATAACTCTGGACTTGGGCATCCCTGCGCTCTTGGGGGCCTGGGAAGCTCCCCTCCCCCCGTAGGCTCAGAAGTACCTGCTCCCGCTCCTTGGCCTCTCCCTGCTCCTGGTGCCCCCTCCAGGGTGGAGCAAAGTTGTGGTCAAGCCTGGGCGCTGTCGGAAACCCCCCAGGTGTGTGTGTGCTTGGGACAGCACTGTCACACCAGCCTTCTGCCACCTCAGCCCCCTCTGGACTTTGGGTGCTGATGAGCATGGGAGGGAGGCCGAGGTGGAGCCGAAGATAGCCCAGTGCAGGCCTGCAGGCACCCCTCAGCACAAACATCCTCGGTACTGTGGAAGGCATGTTGATGGTGGCAGGAGGAAGTCATGCTCCTGGACAGAAAAGGGCAGGTCCCTGGTGAAACCCCTACCTTCAAGCCAGGGATGGCCTGAAGCCTGGGGGCCAGGCTGCCAGTTCTGGGGTGAGTCCGTGGCCCAGAGTGAGAACTGATGATGCTGTTTCCAGGCCCATCCATGCCTGCCTATGGATCATTCAGTACACACTTCCTTCCTTCTGAGCCCATGAAAACCCTGTGCTCAGCCAGACGTCGACACTACCAGCTGCAGGAAGGAGTTACCCACTCTGGGTCTCCTCTCTGCTGGGGTCTGCACAGACATCAAGGTGACCTGTCTGTGGAGGGAGCTACCCACTTCAGGTCTCCTGAGAGCTGTTCTGTCACTCAATGAAGCTCCTCTCTGCCTTGCTCACCCTCCAGTTGTGCAGGTACCTCACTCTTCCTGGATACAGGACAAGAACTTGGGACCTGCTGAATGGTGGGACTGAAAGAGCTGTAACACAAACAGGGCTGAAACCCTCAGCCACCACCCTCAGCTCACCATGTTGCAGGTGATGAGAAGGAGAGAAGAGCTGTGGCCCTTCTGGGAGCCCATACCTAGGGGCTCCTGGAGCCAGGGCTGTGACACCCTCTTTGGGGCTCTGTGGTTCCTGGTATCTCCAAGCTTCCGGGTGCCACCACATACCCTTCAGCCAGATGCATGTTCCTGTAGTGGAAGCTGTGTGCAGTACATCTGGTCCAGCCATAGCCTCTTACAGAGCCAACAACTTTGCTGGTGCCTGGAGCTGCCTGCCCTGCCACAGCAGCTGGCCTGCCTGGCTGTGTGCAGTGGCCAGACCCAGAGCTCACTTGCCCACACACCCCTTGCCACTCCACACCTGACTCACCCTTAGCAGGTGTGGGATCCAGGCTGGTAGTGTGAGCCGAGTGCAGCCTGCCAGGCCGAGTGGGCAGAATGAGCCCAGTAGGTGCAGGCAGTACTCAGGCAGAAGGCGCTGCCAGCCACAGAGGTTTTTGGCTGGAGAAGTGACACCCCAAGGATCCCGTGACAGAAAGAGGAATGTGTAGAAACTGGAATCAACGGAGAGCAGCAGCAGCTACCAACTGTGTACTATTCCACTCTGTGAGGTTATAACTCAGACCATATATTTGTAGGTAATGTTTTTCCTTTAATCAAGAAACAAAGTGTTTTTTTAGTGGCTAACAACAATGTTAGGTAGATGAATAATGTTGTAATTATTGTTTTGCCATTCAAAGAAATGTTAAAGGAGCTAGGTTTGAAAAAGTCAGTGACACTCTGTTTTGCAGTACTATAAAATTGCAAGCCAAATGTGTGGCTTTTTAAAAATAAAGTAGGCCAGGCTCACGCCTGTAATCCCAGCACTTTGGGAGGCCGAGACGGGTGGATCACAAGGTCAAGAGATCAAGACCATCCTGGCCAACATGGTGAAACCCCGTCTCTAATAAAAATACAAAAAAATTAGCTGGGCGTGGTGGTGTGTGCCTGTAGTCCCAGCTACCCGGGAGGCTGAGGCAGGAGAATTGCTTGAACCCAGGAGGGGAGATTGCACTGGGCCAACATTGCGCCACTGCACTCCAGCCTGGTGACAGAGTGAGATTCCGTCTAAAAAAAAAAAAAAAAAACAGAAGTAAATCCCCAATACTTGGAAGCAGACCCCAGACATCTCCACTGGACATTTCACATCAGGTTAAATTTCATATGAGTAAAACCAAAAGGCAGTGCCACATGCCCAAGGAAACAGGGGAAAGAACACATGCTCTCCAGAGCTCTGGGGGCCTTTCCAATGAGATCTTCCTGAAGAAACATCGCTCTGACAAAGGTGAATTGTCATCCGCAATAGATAAAAACTAAGAAATTCTAGAGACATTTTATTCTCTCATAAAAATCATTTATTGGCACATCAGAAATGACAATTTTTTCTAGTATAGTAGTTGTATGCATCTGTAATTGCAATTCAGTGTAAACTACATGTTACAAGTCACTAGAAATCTAATTAGCAGGATGAATTTAATAAAGAACAAGAGGAACTATGAGTCTACCACGGCCCAGCCATTGAGTCTCATTGGAGAGTAAATCAAATATCAAACTAGTGTTGCCCTGCAACAGTTTTTCTGTAGCCAAGAAAAACCAAGACACACATAAACAGGATAGCACCCATTCCATAAATTAGGTACACTTAACTAGAAAAAGATTGTAACTGATAGAAATAATCTAAATAAAGTAAGCACAAAAGTAAATAATTAGCTATTTACATATATTCCTTTTTGCCAAAACTTTAATTTGTTAGCTTTCCCATCCTATCTCTTCCCTTCTATTTGTTATTCTTGTTTTTTCATGGTGAATTTCTTGGCTCACTGAAAAATATTTAGACAACTAATTAGAACTTCTTTCCGGGTCCTACCTTTCCTAAAACTTTATGACAAACTAATGAATTTCAAGGGTAACCTATGTAAGTCTATCTCTATATAGAAGTAAGATGCATTATTATTCTGCTATCAGTCATAGTAATGACATACAGTCCCATGTTTTTCCAAACATTGTTTGGACTACTCCAGAAAATTAGGCTGTGAATGGCAGCAGAGTGGATGGATTTTTCATTCATAACAGGCACAGATAGTATATATGGAGACAAGCATGTTTATCCTGAGAATGTGAATGCTGTGGACTGCAACTCAAGATCTCCCATTACTGAGAATGGGTCCTTTGCCCTCTGGTCACTCTTTTTTTTTTCAACTGTCAATTTTTAAGGCGTGGTATCATAGCAGCATCAGCAAATAAGAATGCTGACATCATTTCTACCAAGAAGGGCTCTGTGATGAGTGGCAGCAGGTACCATAATTAAATAGTGCAGCTGAAAAGGCATTGAGTTGGTACATTTCTGGTGCTATGGCCAGAATGTGTGGATTTTTAGCATCATTCTAGGAAGCCTGAAAGATCTTGCCCATGAGTCTCTTTGACCCTTGCCCATTTCCTTTCTAGTACATATGACCATTTATAATTATTTTATTTTTGCTTTTTCTCCTACTGGAATATAAGCTCCGAAGGGCAGAGACCATGCCTGTCTGTTCACCACTGTGTCCCCACAGTGTCTAGAACATAATGTTCTAGTGTCTTGAACAGTGCCTGGTCAATAGTAGGTTCTCAATTAAAAGCTTTTATTAAATAAACGAACCAAATCATTAAGTCCCCTGGTTTGCCTGTGTCTTAGAGACTTTCCAATTTTATACAGTGGCCAGGGTTCTGGCCTATCCTAATTATAGAGCCATCCTAACGATCCTACCCTGATGTGAACCTGTGTAGCGGATATTTTTGTGCTTCAATGAGTAGTAAAACTTCTCAGTGATAGATTCATTCTCCCAAAGCTTAGCTCTGCAGAGCTAACGCTACAGGAGAGGTAAGAGGGTAAGAACATTCTAGCAGGTAAGCTGTATGCTACAAATTCAGCTCATTCTTCCCTACCTCCCCCTACAACCTCATTGTTTGACAGAAAGCTTAAGAAAAAAAGTTAGCAGGAGAATTTTCTCCTGGCGGTGCCAGTCCAGTAAGTCACCAATAACCTGATCAGAAAAGAAAGAAAATATAACTCACCTACATAAAAAATTAAGTTAAATAAAAGCAAAATCTGGGAGTGGGAACCAAGTGACTTGGTGGGCTGTCTAGGTCCTTTGTTGGTTAGAATTGTTGGACATGGAAGCGGAAGCAGGCATGACAGCGGAGGAGAGGTTGAAAGGGAAAAGGGCAGAGCTGTGGGTGTAAAGACTGCAGAGGACCAGCTTTTCTCTCCTCCTTCTCCCACTCCTGCCAACTCTGCACCCCACCACGGCTGGCTGAGCTCCTTGCTGTGGCTCTCGCAGGCGGAGGTAAGAACAGGCAGCTGGCGCCTCCACGGCACATCCTTAGGCTATTGATGCTCTGCTGGAGTAGAAGTCGGGGACTGGGAGCCCGGTGTGCAGCGTGACCTGGGGAATGAGACTGTGAGTCCTGAGAGGCATCGTGCATCCCCCTGTCCCTTTACACAGTGTACCGTGGGTGTGTCCCTAACTCAAAAAGTGTTCTGTTTGCTTCGCTTTAAACATCTAGGCTAGCAGGCATTAAACGGAATTCAAGAAGAATCCTGCCTATGGTAACAGGCTGCTCACCATGGTGGGCTCTCAAATCCTGGTGACATTTGATTATATGGTTCTTAGTCACCTGCCTCTTTTAAAGGATTCCGGGGAGATTGTGTTCCTTATAACTGAAGACACAGGCCTTGGTTTTCAGATAGAGGAGCCTACTGGCCACACCACAGTGACCACTGCCAAATCCATGGATAGAGGACAGATTCGCAGAGACAGCACTTCCCTTATTACTTGTCCACTAGTTATTGTAATTAGGGCAAACATTTCTTTCTGGGGTCGCATAGATGATTGCCAGTTGTGAAAAAACATGGCATTATACTATTTTACCAATTTCCGTGTATCCCCAAACCTCAATGGATAGCTATGGATAAAACTAGAACCATTTCATGCAGTTCTTATCCCTGTCTTCTCCAGCCCAAGAGTCTTTATCAATAGATAATCAGAAGGTCCTGAAAACCCCTGAAGAGCATCTAGTATAATATTCTTTGAAAGGGAAATGGCTAATGTGAAAAACCTTGAATGGGGTTTTTCTGAGACTCGCTTCTAGGGTAATTTATGGTTTTCTTTCTTAAAGTGTAGAGGCTGAACTCTGAAAGATTAGATTCCAGCCTTCTAGAAAACCCCATCTCCTTGCAGGGAGAAGGGCAGGGGCTGCTAGTTTGCAATCAATGTTACTGCACATACTGAAACACAACAATGAATTTTGATAAATAGTTTCCAAGGCTGGTTCTGGATAGGGCAAAAGTCACCTGTAATTCTCAAGCCTTATCTCAAGACAACCATTTGTGGAATGAGGCTCATAGTTGTTAATGAGATGCCCAGCTCAGGAGGGAAGTGAAACCCTAAGTCCTGACAGCGGCTGGCAGGGCACAGCTCTTCCCCCATGCATGGCTCTGGTCCCCCTTCCAGGCCCCAGCCCAAGAGTCTCTCCACCATTCCTTGCCCATGCAAGGCCCCTCATGCCTTAGAAACTGTGCACAGGCTGTTCCCTCTGTCTGGAAGGCTCCACGCAACTCACTCCCTCACTCCTTTAAGGCTCAGCTCACCGGTAACTGCGATAAGCCCTACCTACGCAATACTGTGGCTGCCCTTCCCAACCACACCACTCATGGGCCCTTGGTCTTTTCTCCACTGCACTAAACACCTTCTGACACACCATCTGATTAACATTGTAATTATGCTTATTATTTATTGTCTGTCTCCTATCACTAAGATGTAAGTTCTATGAAGGCAAGATTTTTATCTGTTTTTTTGTTTTTTTTTTTCACTGATGTATCCCAGACACTTATAACTGTGCCTGGCACATTAAAGGCATTCTATAGATATTTGCTGAATGAATAAATGAGAAGCTGTTGTTTTATTCTATAATAAATAATAATTGACTAAGTTGTAGGTAGGGACTATGTTTTCTACCCCTTAGGACCTAACAGAGCCAAACAAGAGTGCAGAGAAGATGCTCAGATTTTCTGATAATGATACTAATGCTTCAGTCTTACACCCTCACCTCTTCTCAGGCACTCCTGAGCTTTGTTAAGTCATTCTATTTGTTTTCATGCCAGTTGGTTAAAGGCTTTCGTTTCTATTTAGAGGTGAAACTAGAGCTACAGAGATGATCATTAGCCAACCATGAAGAGAATTCTAGTTTCCTATGTGCTATTAACTAGTCTGCGTCCAAGTATAAAGAAGGTGCTTATGCTTGGCGTGGAATAAAATAAGTTGCCAGTGCTGATCCCTTTCTCTCCTCCTCTCCTTCATATCTTGGTCTGGGCCTTACGCTGTCAGCTTCCCTCTCTTCGGTTGGATTGAACGGCCCTGGGCAGCCTTTGAACCGGTAGCCAGCAACAGCTGTTTAACCTCAGGGGCAGGGTGCTTACCTGCACGTTCCTGTTCAGGCTGACCGCAGGGAAGAAGAGGCCCTCCACGTTATCAAATGCTATGGGACCTTGTTGTTCATCGTTGATAAAAAATGTCAAGTTTTTTCTATTTAAGTCGAGGAGGACCCCAATTGTGGCCCCTTTTGTGATCCCTCCCTCAGTTCTGTAGGAAAAGAGAAAAATTGGGGTTCATTTCCTTGTGGTCACTCTAGAAGCTCCCCCCTTTTGTGTGGTGAAACCAGTGTCTTGCAACCTGTTTATAATCATCACTACCCCAAAACCGTTTCCCTAATCATCCCTTGCACATAAATTTTAATACCGCAGATATACTGTATACCTGTTGGTACTGTGTGTATATCTGTGTTTTATACATAACAAGAGTATGATTTTTTGCTCCCTCCCTGCCACCATCAATTTTCACTTCCTAGGGGGAGATATCTGCCCTTGTGAGTTGCTCTGCTGTTGCTGAGAGTGAACTCATTCATTAGGGTCTCTACCACTGAGTCACAGCAGTAGAAAACCAAACATTAAAGACTAGGAAAAAGTCGCCTTTGGGCTATCAGAGCTCTGACTCTAGGAATATTGCACACTTTGTATAAATGGTGTGAATTAAATATCATTAAATACAAAGTGACTTAATTTGAAAGTCAAAATAAGAAGCACTTTTGTTGCACCTAAACCACATGCATGAGAAATTGGATTTGGGGCCTTATGTTATCCATTAAACAGAAAAACTCATTCCAGAAGGATAGCAGTTTTTTGGCTTGTTGCATTTGAATTAAGAACTTGGAGGCTGTCTGTGAAATGACAGCACTGAAGAAGAGGCTTCTTCTCTGTACAGTGAAATAATTATACTCTGAGATGTAGTGATTTTAAAGAACCTGCATACAAATGCCATTTTACAAAGAATTGTGTCTTATGCTTCAATTGATGGTTTCACAAAATGCCATTAAAAATGGACGATCAGATTTGTCTTTCCCATTTTTTTGAGATCTAGCAATATTGAACTTCGTCCTCATCTCAGCAGAGCACAGGAATTTGTGTCATTCATTTCCTCTTGCATGCAGGATACAGACTGTACATAGTCATTAAAAGACAGGTTTACAAATTGCCTCTTGCTACTTCACAGGTTTAACAATGAAAGCACAAGTGACATGCAGGTTGCATGCAAGCAGATGTGTTCAGCATTAAGAATGTGTTTCTCTGCATAGTGTGATGGTTATGTCATTATTCACTCCTGCACTTCAAAACAAAGACGCTAAAAGGGAAAAAGTAAGTGTGGCATTTGGGTGATAGCACTGAGAATCTATTGACAGAGAGTTCCACAAAATGCCGATCACTGAAGATAACCACTTATCTACATCCAGTAGGATTTGCTTTCATGGTGAAATGGTGTGTGTGTTCACTTCAAGTGACAGCGAATAATACACACTTGAATGCTATAGAAGCTATCCAAGGGAAAAGGAGGCTTTAGGAGTCTACAGGCTGGAGAAGGGTCAGTGATGAGCATACAGAAAAAGATAAAACAGTGGGGTCCAATTATCCTACCAATGTCTGACTTGCTTTCCCTTTGATCTGGTTGAACACTACTGTATTTTTTTTTTTTTTCAGAGACACTAATGAGAATGTATCCTGGGGAAATCTTGGAGCATAAGGTGGACCAGGGTCCACAGTAGAAATTTCTCTGCCTAGGAAATTTGTGAAAAATACATTTGAGGAACACAATCAAATGAGAAAGGAAATCCATTATAGTATGTGTTCAATTATAATGATCTATATTTTGGTGGTAGAAGAAAACCTCAAGGAGATTACTGTATTTCCTTTCCTTAGCAAACTGGCTGCTCTGGATTAATACAGTAATAAGAGAGTTCTCTATAAGTAGAAAGCCATTCAAATTGGCATCCATAAGCTTTAGTTTAATGAATCGTAATAAGAAGAATGGCTACTATTTTCAGGTGCTTCCAATGTAAGGCATTTTCACATATTTCATTTAATCTTCAGAAGATTCCCACAAGGAAAAATTTTATTGTACTAATTTGATGGATTTGGAAACTGAGGTTCAAAAAACGAAGTAACTTGCCCAAAAGTGCTTTTCTGTTAAGTTGTAGGTCTGGGTGTTTCAGCATCCTGGATTGTTTTCTTATAATGGATATCCATTGGGATTCTTAGTTTCCAGCCATGGGTGAAATACAGCAATGAAGGGAGTAGGAAAGTACTCAAGTCTCTATCATTATATAGAAAGTAAACCACCAGCATGGACTCAGCTGAGGCTCATAGATTGCCTGTGCTACTTAATGTAGACCACCTGTTTGATTTCCTGAATGTGGTCTATGTAATAGGTTTTTGAACTGGGGCTCTCACTCCTGATCAGAAGCCAACGTGAAGAAGGCTTGGTTTGGGGGCTGCAGGGTACCTGTTGGTGTGCGAGTTGTTGTGCATGAACCAGCTCCGGTTATTGTCCACATACATTGCCCAAGCTTTGTCGTCTTTTCCTAACATCACATCCTTCATCACGTCCATGCGAGCCACACCAAAGGCAGGATCAGGGTGGTTGTCATAGCGATCTACCGTGAGCTCCCAGTAGTGGATGCCCTTGGAGAAGCCAGTCTTCCCTAGCACCACCCGGTCATCATAGCTACTACAGGTCACTGTCAGGTTGTCATTGGAGAGGATGATGTCCGAGTGCGCCGAGCCAGGGTCGAAAGCAAACCAGGCCACTGGGAACAACAGAAGGGAATCAGGTTATTAAGACAGACCCAACAAGCTCAGCACCATAACATACTCCTGGGCGGGTGAGGAGCGTTGTGTAGCGTTTTCATGCTGCCATGCAGGAAGGAGGCGTCCAGGGCCAGGGCAGACAGGGGCACGTCCTGGGAGTTGGTACTCTCTGCACCAGAAGCAGACGGAGGACACACGACCGATTCAGCAGGGGTTACCTGGCTCAGACTGCACTCCCAACCAGGTGATCCGGGAGTGAAGTGGCATCGATTTTGGAAGGTGCAAGTCCCTTCACCTGGTGACTGGCAGAACAGTGCACCAGAGACATAAAGGGAGAGGGGATGCGCTAAGATGCCTGTGTAACCCCTGAGGCGGGGAGGCTAGGAGCTAGAGTCCTAGATGGAGGAGGGATAAAACACATGGAGTGAAATCAGGAAATATCCCTTCGGCAGAAGTGCTAACATCTAGTCGCTTTGAAGTCTTCCTCGGCTCTAGTGAAAGCTCACAAGCTGCGAAGCTATAAGCAACATAAACTAATTTTCATGAGTGATTGTGACTTGCATGTAGGACAGGTTGCTGTCTGCATAACTTAAAAAACACAGTTTGCGTGCTACTCCTGAAACTAACACGTCAGAAATTTTGCTGGAGCAGTAGGAATTTCGGACATTAGGTGCAGATAGAATGATGTCTTTGTACGCATTGTTACGCCCCAAGTTCTAAATGCCACCTATAAATATCACACTCGAGAGATGTAATTGCTGATTTATTAAACCTGTGAGACACCTCACATGCACTTTGGTCTTTGCTATTTGGTAACAGAATAAGGTTATTCCATACCTGCCAACAGCTTTTTAATGTCAACTGTTGTCATTCCAAGTGAAAGGCATGGGGGAGAGAGATAGGAAGCAAAATTGACATGGATAAGAAAATGTGTCTCTCTTGATAGACTAGTACCCCAAAAGGACTCAATTTAAAATGCCACATATACTAAACAGGTGCTCTCTGACTTGTACCTTTACCCACATTTAGTGCTCATAAAGAGTGCTTTGCACTGATGTAAAAGAAAACTGGGGGAAAAGTAAGGTTTGAGGCATAACATTAAACACTACAGGCATCTTTTCCATTTTTTAAGAGTTTGAGAAACTGCTATAATAGGGTTAGAATGACAATTAGACAATTTTATTGACATAAGACAAGTTGCCGCCATTTATTTTGTGAAGGAAATTGAGCACACCAATCACGTAAGTAAAAGATAATTACAATAGGTATACTTGCCTAATTGAGAGTAAGGTGCAGATTGTGTCTCAAAATTGCATCCTATAAAGAGATACTACACATCAACGCTATGAAACAACAACCAGGTTGATAAAAATTACTTGTATACGCTTAAAAAGCACCAGTTGAATATAGATACCAGAGGCCTGATCCATGAAAAAACAAAGCCCTTTTTATATTATTTAGTTTGTTGGGTAAAAAACTGCCCCTCTGCTCTTTCAAAATGAAAAGCACATCTTTTTACCATTTAATAAATCCTCCTCCAATTGATCCTAAACTCTGTAGCTGAATTTTTCATCTTCCAAGTTCAATCTTTTCCTCTAAAGTTTCCACAGTAAGAAGGCTAGCTGTTTTAAAAATGGGGAAAATGTACTTAATTGCAACGGAGAAATCACTGGATTTTGATAAAACTCTGCTCTCACTATTCTATGCACTTCTAACTCTGGTTATGCCAAAAGGTCTTCATTGTGACTTGAGCCCAAATTAAATATAACTAAATGTGTAATGTAATCCATTTGTGAATACATACATCTTATTAATAATTATTAATAATGACATGACGAATGTGTTAAAACTGCCTCCTTTCCTTCTTAGGAGACAAGATCCTTCTCACCTGAGGGAGGGGAGGAGGGATGGTAGGAGTGGGTGTGGTCTCAGAGATACATTGGAATCCCCTGTGGAACTTTTTCAACCATCTCCCTTCCTTAAGATTTGGATACCTGTACCCCATGAGAAATTACATTGTGTGGAGGAAGACTGCCTAGTCTTAAAATGTTCAAAAGTGTGTGACCTACAATTTCCAGTGGTTTCAAGGACTGATCTAGAAAATGTGGTTTTGATGAACACTGGGGGATAAAGAAAGGATCATTTTATTTTCTTTTCTATTTAGTAAGGCCTTTATATGCTAATTCCTAAAACATTTGCAGGATAATGTGCTGACTTAAAAGAATTTTACAAGAATTAAAAAAGCAACTTACTATAAAAAAGGACTAATGGCTGAGTTAAAAACAAAATATAAAAATTATGATCTTACTTTTGGTTAGTTTGCTTTTCTCTGGGATGAATTCACATGCAAAAGAATCGTTTCCTCCCATCTCATGGCTGATTTTTATGTTTTGTTTCTATCAATTATCACTTCAATTCCTATTCATGTGTTAGAGCATAGTGACTATGGAATACCTGGAGTTTTAAAACCGACTCTCATATTCAGCTTGGAAATAAGTTTGTAGAATCTGAATAGGGCTTTAAAAACTTTTAAATGAATCATGCCTTGTGCAACTCTTTTTCAAAACAAATATTCTGAAATCTTTTTACACTACTTTAAATACATTATCATACATTTAAGATTCAACAATACAGCTAGAATAATGCTCTTAAATACACCCATCAAATATCCCAAAACTCACATTTCATTTTATTCTTGAGACAATGTGCATTACAAAGACTGTAACGATATTTCAGTACATTAGACACAAGGGAAAAGAGTTTCATAACAAAGCATGTTGGGAAGCCATAGTGCACAGAAAAACAATAAGAAACATAAAAGCACAAAGAAGAATGTCATTTTAAAGACAGCTTGAAGTCCCTGCATCCTTTTTGCACTGTCATGCTGTGGCCTTCTTCATTCCAGAATGTGGGATGAGCAAAAAGAATAAAATAAAAACCAAAAGAAACCTTTGGAAATATGAAATGTGCATCATGTGTATCCATGATTACAATATAGTCCTGAAGAGATCAAATAGGTCTGCATCTTATATATTTTAACATTCTATTTGCTAGGCAGTGTTCGCTACAAAGGAACACAAGTCTAGCTTTGCTGAAATCAGCCTTAGGCTCTGTCACAACCAGCTTGGCTGTGGGAAACTTCGAGGAGTCCAGACTTTTTGATTACTCAGATCTTTGGTCATTAGGCATTAGGAGTTAAGGGTTTCTAATTCGGCTAGCAGTGATCCCACCCCATTGCTAGGAAAACACTCAGCCATGAGCCCCACTGTCCTAGCAGTGAGCACAGGCTTTTGCAGAAAATGCTTTCACTTTCTGCTCTCTGGATTGCCTGCTTTATAGGATGCTTTCTGCTGTTGGTGTGTTTTTACTTTTATTGTACTTTGTCAATAAAGATCTCTTGAGTCTATGTTTAATCAGACCACTCCAGGCTGGATGCACTGATCCAGTCTCCCAGACACTGCTGGTTTCCTGGATACAGAAGGGCTGCAAACCTCCACATTACTGCCATGGCCGCCACTCAGCCAGCGCCCGTGCCGTGCTATGCCACTGCATGTGATGACAGAGCGGGTTATCCATGGTGGTACCAGCTTGTGCGAAAAGAATAACTTCACTCATCACTTTCTAATGCCGTAATACATGGACCACAGCTCCATGGTTGCTCCTTCCACCACACAAACAAGAACGCCACAAAGCTCCACCATCCCGATGCTCCTCATACGGAAAGCAGGCCACAGACAGAGACTAGCTCATCCCCCTCACCACGCACATGAATGGCAAGAACAAGACACGCGTTTCAGAGATGCCTTCAAGGCACAGAGATCAAGGGGAAAGGTCTGAGGAGCTCAGCTCACCCGGTGCATTGAGAGACTGTAAAGAGGAATGCAAGCTCAGCTGGTGGGGTGAGGATCGGAAATCAAAGTAGGATCTCCCGGGGAAGCTGGGTTGTAGATTAAGGGTGGAGGAGAAAGGACTCATTCTACGGAGCGGCAATCTTTCCGAAGGCACTGGAAAAGGGAGGGTCTGTTCTTCTGAATCTGTGTCTAAATGTAAGATCAATGCAAACTAGAGATCAGAAGTCTGCTATTATGTCCCCGTGCACGGTTCCCCAAGACCTGCCTTAACAATGCATTCATACAAAGCCTCATCTTTCCCACAGGGTGCCACACTCAGGCATTTACAAAACCAATGTGCCTGGGGGCAGGGAGGGAATTTTCGGCAGATCAGGACCCAAGACCAGAGGACACCTCGAACAACAAAGGCAATTGTTGTCACTTTCCCGATTTTTAGTGGTAGAAAATTGGAAGGTTTCCTTTTAATTAAATAAAATACTTTTAGAATTGAATGTACAAAATGTAAAGGCAAATTTTACCTATTGATGACCAAGAGGATATTATTTTACCCCCTTCAGTTGTCCTGGGAGTTACTACCTATTCAACAATGGCCTCTTAAAGGGTTTCTATCTAAGAGATGGTGATTTTTTACAAACTGTTTCCTATTCCATATTTTCCCATTTCTCTCCTAATGTGTATTTTTCTATTAGATGGATGAGCTGATTTTTTATACTAGCACACTCCAGACTCTATCTTTGAATAGGAGAGGAAATGTGGGGTGGTCTAAGGAAGACAGGGCTGGACAAGTAAGCAGGGAAAGAGCCTTACCTTTGTTTCTGAATTATGATCAGACTCTAGGGATGTCACTTGACCATCTTTGTTTCTCTAATGATAAACAGACTGTAGGCAGTGGTGAGGTGCATTGGTGGCAAAATATCTGTTTCTGTTCAGATAGTCAGGTTTGGCCTGAAGATAATTATTATATCAGACTAAAGACTTAACAATTATTTGATCTGGTTTTAGAAGGGCATGAGTTAGTTTCTCTGAATTACTAAAATTGGTCCTTTCTATTTTGTCAAACAATAGCTGGTTCTATGCACGGTGTGGTCTAGTCAGAGGTGGATCTTTCGCCAATTGAAGCCTTCTTAACATTCAGTCTAATAGCAATAATTTAGGAAATACAGATGGTAGGAAGGTAATATGCCATGTCCAAAATCACAAAGGAACTTTCTTCTCATTGAAATAATAATTTTGTTTCTGTGACCAGAGGGTATTTCCGTGAATTTTTTTCTGGTTTGAATCAGTTAGCAGCAATTCTTTGCTGGACATACACTTCTATCAAAATGTTACTCGCATGTTGAAGCAAAAATAACTGGAGCACGTGTGTGTGCAGAATATCATCCTATGTGAAGAGCTCTGAACAAGGGCATTGGCAAGTTTTAATTTAATACCTCCAAGAGTCAGCCTCTGAACTTACAATATTAAAGTTAGCTTTTCAGGCTTTAGACTTATCTGTGGGGGGATGACTTTTAAAAAATGAAAGTATAAACCAGATCTCAGAGAAAAGGAATTGCTATTTATGGAGTCAAGACTTTGTGTTCCCACTAAGAATACATTTTTCTCCTACCTAAACTTCATATGGTTTGAATGACTTAATATCATGTATTATCATTTCTTTCTTCAGATATGATAAATCAAAAATTATTTGTTATAATCATCTTAAGGGGAAATTAGCCTTTGAGTGTAATAGAAAAATTCAAAATACAACACCCAAGCACCACAAACTGGCATGGGTTTCTATTATGGAGCGAAGGCATTTACAACTATATTTATGTCAATAAAATATTTTATTTATTTATTTATTTAGTATTATTTATTATTTTTTGAGACAGGGTCTCACTCTGTTGCCCAGGCCAGAATGCAATGCCACGATCTCAGCTCACTGCAACCTTTGCTTCCTGGATCAAGTGATTCTTCAACCTCAGCCTCCAGAGTAGCAGGGACTACAGGCGTGAGCCATCACGCCCAGCTAATTTTTCTATTTTTTGTAGAAATGGGGTTTTGCCATGTTGTCCAGGCTGGTCTTGAACTCCTGAGCTCAAAGCGATCTGCCTGCCCCAGCCTCCCAAAGTGCTGAGATTACAGGCGTGAGCTACCACACCCGGACTAAAAGATTTTTTTATTAACAAGAATTTGCTTGGAAATGTATTTTTCACTAGGTGTGACAGTCAATTCATGATATTGAAAATATTTGTTGCTTTAAAATTTAATGGAAAGGACATATAAAATAATATGAATTTCAGAGTGCATTGAATTCCCAAGCAGTTATCTGAAAACCAGTGAAGAGATGTTTACTGAACACAGACCTTGGGGAGTGTATCCAATCCCATCATAAATTGTACTTACCTTTTCTATTCTCAGCACCAAGAAGAACTTAGAGTAGGTGATGACACCCCTTTATAGGGTGGGGACTGAGGGTAGCTATGGTTATTCACGGGATTAGTAACTTGGCATTAAGATGGTTATGGCTCTTCCTATCCTTCCATGTGGATCCATTGTTTACTGATGACCCAATTTTCCTTGACTCCTTTCACTCTAATCAGGCAAGTTTATTTAACATCCATACTGTACAACCATTTCTTTTTTTTTTTTTTTTTGAGTTTTTTCCCCATCTATGACCTCCCATTACCTACCAGCTGGGCTTTTACCGTATTTTCTCTAAGTAGCTGTTAACAACAACAAAAAAATCCTACCTTGCAATGAGAACTTTTCAAATGAATTACAAGAGAGAAACACTTTCCAACTGATCCCAGCTTAACTAAACAAGCAATTCTCCCTTCATGCCCTTCCCCATGGGCATGTAGTGCACATGCTGGGTCAGCTGCCTGTAAGTCATCTATACCACTTCACATTACCTTAGATTTCAGGAGTCTTAGAGGGAAGAAACTTAATATCATCAGAGGAGCTGCCATCAAGCTTCCCCTTGAAGTCCCCTGGGATGAGGAACTCATTGCTTCCAGCCAGCTCCCTCTAGTTGGCAGTTATTGCTTATATTGGTCTAGACATACCTCTTTGGGAGCTCCACTCTCCAATTGTAGCGTTACTATCTGGGGCCACATGGAACAGATCACTAGTTCTTCAAGTATTTGAGGCCAGTCACCAATCCTCTTTAAATCTTCCCTTTTCTGGGCTAAATAGAGTCAATGTCCAACCATTTCACTATGTATGGATTCCAAATCCTTTACTCTCCTGGTCATGCCCTCTGGACATGTTCAAAGGCATGAATCAAAGACAATATGACAACATTGAGAACAGTATTGCCACTCCCTGGTTTAGCCGAATCACACTTAACACACATTGAATGTGCACACACCTACTTAAGTGCGTATTCTGCGTTATGCCCATGGGATGCAGGAAGAAGGCACACACTACTTCCTCACCTCCCCTTCAAAACACAACTATCACAATATGGAGAAGGCTTCTCAGCCATTCATATTCTATTATTAAGGACAAAGAGGAATGAGGTTGTCATTTTTTTTTCACAATACATGATACAAAGCTATGTTTCAGGTCACAGCTAATATGCAGGATAATAATTATTATTAATTTTTAACTTTATAGATCACTAGAGAAAAATGAGGAGCTCCTGAAGAGACGTTTAACATCACATCATATTTCATCACACGCAGGGATCCCGTGTGGTTGCAGAGCTTTGCTGAATGAAAGCAGTTTAGCAGGAAAGAGCAATGGAAAACAGTATGTCAATGGCCAAATGTGGTGACTCTAGGCATAACTATAACTCTAGGACGGGACTGTGTTCGTAACGAATACGTATCAAGATATGCTTTCCATCAACTCTGTCAATGACCATCATTTTCCTCTTGCTCTTTCCTGGACTTCTTTCCCTTCCTCACTAGGATTGGCTGGAGTCTGGAGTTAGGGTCTAGATAAGGGCAGAGACCTCTGCTTAAAAAAAGCAATCAAGAATCAACAAAGCAAAGATTGGCTGGGGACCACTTGTATTATTGACTGAGAATATCTAGGTGATGTACTCCTGTTTGGCCACCATATATTTCTTTTGTTTCTTTATTTCTTTTTTAGAGACAGGGTCTCACTTGGTCATCCAGGCTAGAGTGTAGTGGTGTTGATCATAGCTCACTGCAGCCTTGAACTCCTGGGCTCAAGGGATCCTCCTCCCTCAGCATCCTGAGTAGCTGGAACTACAGGTGCATACCACTGCACCTGGCCAATTTTAATTTTTTCTGTAGAGACAAGGTCTTTTTATGTTGCCCAGGCTGGTCTCAAACCACTGGCCTCAAGCAGTCCTCCCACCTCAGCCTCCCCAGTGTTGAGATTACAGGCATGAGCCATGGCACCCAGCCCATATATTTCTTTTATTTGTTCATTAGCCAACGCTATTGAACACCTGTCATGTGCCAGACATTGCAGTAGAATTGAGCCGTTGGGAAACATAAAGTTGGCAGGAGACTCAACCATAAGAAAAATAATAATTTAGAGAAAATCAGTGTCATATATTATTGATTGGTTTTTACACTTCTGGGGGTGGAATTTCTTGACTGACTCCAAGGACAGAGTACTAAAGATTTTTGCAGATGTTGTAGAATATTTGAAAAGGTAGCCTTTGGGGTGTTATTTTTGGAATCTAAAGAGGAAAAGCAAACAGATTGTGGTTGCTTATGATAGTGTATACTAATCCAGTGCCCTCTGTGTCCTGGTAGAAGTCTGGGTTGTCCTCCTGTCTGGCAGTGAACAACTTCATAACTTAAGCAGCCCTTGAACCCAGGTCCAATAAGATGGTTGTATTTTGGAGCACGGTAAGGCAAGACATGTCACGAAGAATTGTACAGTGTTAAAGATGAGTTTCAACTCAATTATAAACCAGCTGTAAAATAATTTGCTTTTGTTGGGAAGATTTTAAAAGAGACAAAGAAATGAATGAAGAATGAGGCTGTTTTCATAAATGGTCTTATAAGCAGCCAAAGTCACAATTATGTCCAACTGGTACATAATTTATAATAAAAGGTGGTATTTTAAGCTTTGTTAAGTGTGGCATTAATTGCAATTGAGAAGTGAGAAACAAATCTGTTTTGAAAACCTTCTTTTAGAAGAATGAAACAGCTTTTGCCACCCCAAGGACAGATGCATACTTCATCACCAAGTTCTCCACTCCAATTTAGAATACCATGGCATTATTTATAAGGAACTATCATCAGAGGAACTGAAAATTCCTGTATTTCAATTACATACAGAGGATTCCAAAGAATGAAACTGCTTTCCAGGGTATCAGTTGCAAAGCACACTTCCCAGAACCAAAAATAGGGTTCTGAATCTCAGTCCCATGGAAAAATGCAAGAAATTCCCTGGGATATCATGCATGTGTCAAAATTTAAAAGAACAAAGTATCTCTCTTTTCTGGGCTCTGAAACCTATCATTATGCCTCTCACCTTGGATTTTGTAAAATTTACCCAAATATGGTCAGGTATGATTACCTACCTTGAGAACTTTGTCCTGGAAATGCATATTCTTCTAACTATTTTTGGAGAGGCCCAGATGCTCTGGGTCAGGAAAAGCAGAGACAGAAAAACCATCTTTCAGTAGACCATATACATTTCCTTATATGATCCTTTATCAATCATTTTCTATTAGTGTTGAATTTTCAGTATCATAGGCATAACTTTAAGACTCATTATGACCCTTGGAGGAGGCAGGAGGTATCTAATGCTGCTTCATAGCATTTTCTGAAACAACTTTCAACAGCAGTTTTAGAGAGAGAAGCCACAAAGGTACTAATTGTAAAGACTCAGAGGTCCTCAGCTGTAAGTCCATGGTTTTAGAGATGAGAAAACTGAAGTCCAGAGAGGCTAAGGGACATATCCAAGTTACACCACAGCTGTGGAGGGATACAATAGAGACTCAGGTAGGATCAATTCCTGGAGGATAAAATTTTGGGGTGACAAGACTATTGCTGCTCCTTTGTAACCTAGAAATATACAAAAGGTAAAGCTTATGCCACTGGCCCCAGGGCACATTTCAGTGGTCTCAGTGGGGACCAAGGTTTGTGTAGAGGACCTAATAAACCCTAACTGTGTTAAGGATACATCTTTTCTTCTTTAAATAGAGTGTTTAGTTTATGTAGTGGTTAGGGATTGGAAAGGCACACACATCACTGTCCTCCTTGGAATTTTGGCTAGAGGGATTAGATGGGCTGAGGTGTTCCCTGTAGTTGTTCTTCTGACAGGTTCTTTGTTCCTCACAAGGTGACAGCATTTCTGGAGGTCTCAGCACATCAGGGTGCAGTACTTATGCTGGACCAAAATCACTATTAAATATGAGCAAAGGAGCTGGGCACGGTGGCTCATGCCTGTAATCCCAGCACTTTGGGAGGTCAAGGCATGAGGATCGCTTGAGGCCGGGAGTTTGAGACCGGGCTGGGCAACATAGTGAGACCCTGTCTCTACGGAAAAAAAAAAAAGCCAGGTGTGGTGGCATGCCTATAGAGCCAGTTACTAGGGAGGCTGAGGCAGGAGGATCACTTGAGCCCAGGAGGTCAAGGTTACAGTGAGCCACGATCGTGACACTGCACTCCAGCTAGGTGACAGAGTGAGACTCTGTCTCTGGAAAGATAAATGAATGAATGAATGAATGAATAAATAAATAAGTAATTGCAAAAAGATTCTGGACAGATGCATCTGAGGCCAATTTGCATTCAGACAAATGGAAGCATAAGTTTATATTTTGTCTGCACCATTACATCTTTTCTGGGTGGTTTCCTTCAATGCACAGAAGAAGGAGCTACTACAATGAAAGGGGCAGCGTGATGCTGAGAGTCTAATCGGGGAGAAAGACATTTTAATCTTTATGAGTAACATTGTCTAGGCCCACTTTTTAGAAAGCAGTTTTTAAGATGTAGTTTCAAGAATCCCAACCTATTTGTCATTAGATAAAACAATCCTGAAAAATGCTGGGTAGATGGCTTGAGAGCCAGCCCTCTTTTCTCTAATTATCACTGACTACCTTCTCCCCATTTTCCCTCCCAGTTAGGACAGGCAGGGCTGGAAAGCTTCTGTGAATAAATGGCTCTGTGATGTCAACCCAAGCAGGGCTCTGAGTGCCAGACCTCATTTGGTAGTAACTTTCATTTGGTAGTATCAGAGCCTCAGAGATGTAGCTCTGATATTCCTTTTCCTTCCCGGGCAAATCTCGTCACTGCCAGCCAAGAGTATCCACTGGTACCAGTGGGGGAAGGGCCTCTCTAGGTGACCTGCTCACCTGGGATGGGAGGGAGCTGGAGGAAATTTCTGCAAAGACATGAAAATGAGCACAGGACCTGATAAAGAGTTTGGATATTATGCTGGAAATGATGGCCACTCCCACATCTTCTTAAAGCTGGAACGCTACTCTTTTCAACAAGACTCTTTTTTTTTTTTTTGAGATGGAGTTTCACTTTTGTTGCCCAGGCTGGAGTGGAATGGTGCAATCTCAGCTCACCGCAACCTCTGCCTCCCAGGTTCAAGTGATTCTCCTGCCTCAGCCTCCCAAGTAGCTGGGATTACAGGCGCCCGCCACCACACCCAGCTAATTTTGTATTTTTAGTAGAGACAGGGTTTCTCCATGTTGGTCAGGCTGGTCTCGAACTCTTGACCTCAGGAGATCTGCCCAACATGACTGCAAGTAGTAAAGTCCTCCTTCTGGCTGGGATTTCTGGATGAGCATATGAGGCAGCTACACAGCGCTGCTTCATTTTGACAAGGTGTTTTCAGTCACCTTGCAGACAGACTTTGGATAGTTTTCCCTCTCTTTCTTTCCATTTGGTTGAGGGCAAATAGCACTTTTCTAATGTTAGCACCACAGCGGACTGTGCTGAGCATTGGCGGCTTAAAGTCCTGGATCTGACATATTATTATACTTAACCTCTCAGCAGCTCAGTTTCCCATAAGTAGAGAAAGATGACAATAATAATACCTTCCTCATAAAGTATAGTACTAAGAATAATGGGCCATCTAAAAATGTCCACATCTGAATCCCCAGAACCTGTGAATATGTTATTATCCATGGCAAAAGGGACACTGCAGAGGTGATTACATTAAGGATCTTGAGATGGGGGGATTATACTGGATTATCCAGGTGGGCTCAAGGTAATCACAAGGATCCTTATCAAAGGCAGGTAGGGGCTACATGGTGGCTCATGCCTGTCATCCCAGTACTTTGGGAGGCCAAGGGAGGAGGATCACTTGAGGCCAGGAGTTTGAGACAAACCTGGGCAACACAGCAAGACCACATCTCTACAAAAAATTTAAAAAATTAGCCAGACATGGTGGCACATGCCTGTAGTCCTAACTACTCAGGAGGCTGAGGTGGGAGGATTCCTTGAGCCCAGGTGTAGGAGGCTGCAGTGAGCTATGATTGTGCCACTGCACTGCAGCCTGGGTGACAGAGTGTGACCTTGTCTCAAAAAAAAGGAAGGTAGAAAGGTCAGAAAGAGATTGGAAGATGCTACATGTCTGGCTTTGTAGCCACAAAGTCTATCTAAATAGACTAAATAGATAGACTTTGTCCTACAAAGTCAGATGTCTAGCCCCTACCTAAATAGACTTTGTAGGCAGAATCTACTTAGATAGGAAGAGGGAAACTAGAGAAAAATAAACAGAAAATGTCCTATCCTGTTCTCAGCCCTGTATGATTTTTTAAAACAGGAGTACAGCTTGTCTCACACATAGCATAAACCTTAGAACTCTGTGTATTAAGATGGCCTTGCTGTGTAATGTTTTCAACAGATACTCTTTTGCAGATGGTTTCAAAGACTGGCACAGCCATGATGGCTATTAGATGAATTAATTTAAAGATACCCATGACCAAGTTTTGGGGCTTGGGGGCCTTATTTGAAAATTTCATTAAAATTCTTAATTGCTTACAGTTATATTTCATCTTAAGTCAGTGTAATTTGGTTTAGATGTGCAACTGGCGTTTTTTCCATGGGTGTCTTTGATACATCTCCAGGAACTTTGCTTTCAGAGAACTATCCACACTTGGACTCATATAATAATGCATTCTCCTTTCCTTTTCTCTGTCTCTTTTTTTTAAGATGGGGTCTCACTATGTTGCCCAGGCAGGATTCAAACTCCTGGGCTCACAGGATCCTCCCGTCTCAACCTCCCAAGTATCTGGGATTACAGGCATGAGCTACGGCACCTGACTCCTTTCCTTTTCTCTTAATAGCATGTTCTTTATAATTTCCATTGAATTTAATTAATTTTTATTGCTTTCCTAATTCTCCTATAAAAATTTTATCTTCCTGCTAATCCCTTTTCCCTGTTTTTCAGTGTTTATCACAATGTGTAAAAATGGAACTATTTATATGTTTATTTCTCTAAGGCTTGTTTCCTTTTCTAGCTTGTAAACTCCAGGACAGTAGGGATAACGTCTGTTCAACACTCTATACCCACAGCCTAGCACACAGTGGTCACTTATCAAGCACTGCCCAATAAATAGACAGATAAATTTGCTTTCGAAGAAAAAACCAATCAAAATTTATAGTAATGTAGACATTTGATCTCCCCTGCATAACGTTACCTTTAGATCAGCAAAAGGTTTTGTGAAAGCTCACAGAGTACAAAAGATGAGCAATTTAAACCTCAGACTAAATGCATGTGATTACAAGTTAGACTTGTTACCGCATATGAAATTTTACCTTTCTGTGATACAGAATTTTTGTTTTGAAGTTTGAAAAGGGATTAACTCTTGCTAAGAAGAAGGTGAAAGATTTTGTTACACTAGAAAGCCAGAACGCACCACCCCACCACCCCCAATACCAGCAAAGAAAAAAAAAATCTCTAAAGCAAACCTTTCTGGAAACTGTAGGAAATAAGATTAATAAAGCATAAGTGCAGTGAATGTACCAAAACTCTGTTAATAGCATTTTTCTCACTGATTTCTAAAAAACAAACAAAAAAGAGATAATTATTTGATCCTATAGGCTTTGTCTATTGTTACAGATCGATCATATCTTTTTTTTTAAAATAAGCTATTCACTATATTTTTTCTTGCTTTCTAAATCTTGTCTCACTGAATGTATTAGAATGAGGGAGAAACAAATAGAACAAACCAAAGTTATGGAGAAAGTATGTGTGTGAACTTTATTTCATCATGAGAAAATTACTTCTGTGCAGTAACAGAGAATACTGATATCTATATGATGATAGGCTTTTCTTTGTATTCAGATACATACCTTATATTTGTACACAATATATAAAATTCATGGAGGAAATTAATTTCTACAGTACAGTTTCTTTGTTGGAAGAGAACTTGTTCCGTTTGTTTCATCTAGAAAATGACCCCCAGTTCTGTGACTGTGGTACCAAGGATCGCAGTTCCAATCCTGTAATTTATTAAATTAGACACCATAATCTTATGAACATTAAAATAAACTGAGGCGCTACATCCTCCTGCAGGATGAAACGAGAGACATAAGTGCTCAGGCTGTTATGCTAATAACTGATTTTTACCAGAATAGTATGATTCCCATGATGTATTATGAATAGAAATAGTTTTCCCGCAGATCTGATAACACATATTAGCAACATTGCTACAAATTTCTCTCTGCTCTGCAGGCATGCACTTCACTCTTCAATCAAACCACCTTGTACACACATGGGAAATGAGGCCATCACCAGCAAGGGCCTTCTGCGTTGCATCTAGGAAAGACTCTTGGAGGGCTTTAGCAGTTAGTATGGTATTTTGAGAAAAGAGGCAACTGCTCTCAAACTGATAGGTCATCCCTGAGAGAAGGTGCTAAAATGATAATTCTGGGGGAAGCTGTAGCTACCACATCACTGTACTCCAAATGGGAACAGGTCATGTGGGCATTTTCCCTCAGCATATCCTTCTCTTGGAATAGCATCACTTAGACTGACAACTGCTCCCCAAAGCACTGTTTTCACGGCTAGGGGCCTTTCATCCTTGCTGTAGGATTCAAAATTGTGCTTGTTTTTAACCATGTGAAGCATTTTAGGGTGACTGGCACATGTTGAGGTTTGTGGGAAGTGGGAAAAAAAACACCACCATAGTTCTTTTAGCTAACATCTTGAACTTGAACAAAATCAACATAATTAGTTCTGCAGAGGGAAGTTATGGAGAATCCCGGTGAGGTGGGGGGGTGATTTCTTTGATTAAAATGACACCCCAAAGTGTCAGAATGCTTTGGCACCAGCCACAAATACCTCCTTGTAGGTTTAATTTCATGTGTCTTGCTTACTCTTAAAATGAAAATGTTAAAAGCCTCAGAGGTTATATCTGGCCATCAAATTCAAGCCTCTCATCTGAGACACATTACTTGTCTTTGATGACCAAAATATTTAAAGTATAGCTAAGAAGCAAAAATTCTCTAGAGATGAACCTTGTATGGTGGCTCTCGGTAGCCTAGCCAAGACTGAAGGGACTGGCAAAGATGAAAATGGCGGGTAATGCGAAGTTGCTGGTCTCTTCCTGTTTGGTGCCCACAGGAAGTCTCAATCCTGGTGCTGACGGCCTCCGCTTTGGGTATGAAACGGAGGCAGTCTAAGTGGGTAAGCCAGGAGCAGCCAACAGGCCCTCTCTAAACAGCTCTAGCACCCCACCACCCATTTGAAACACATTCAGTCATACAAATCCACGACTGGAAAGAACCTAGGTCCCACCCTCAGAACAAGCAAGTACTACAGAGTAATTTAGAATCATCTGGGCAAAACTGGCACATGATGTGTATCGGTGGAGAATGGGAGCCTGCTCTAGAGCCTAGATACATTTGTCTTACACACCA
Organism: Homo sapiens; assembly: GCF_000001405.40. Lineage (NCBI taxonomy): Eukaryota > Metazoa > Chordata > Mammalia > Primates > Hominidae > Homo > Homo sapiens. The sequence goes on from NC_000014.9 coordinate 50,997,751, forward strand.
GGGGCACATTCAGGCCTTCATTTTTCAGCTTCTTCAACTGCAGCTTATTTAGATTGTTATCAAAGGAAGCCGCCGGCCCAAGCCATTGGAACTGCCGATGTGGAATCTTTGGTTTGATCACATCCACATACCATAGGCTCTCTAAAGGCAGGAGAGGAACAGCGGCTCTGTGCAGAATGCAGAGCAAGTCATGGAAACACTTCAGGAATGTGGGCAGTGGTGGGGTTACCTCCGGGCTTGCCAGCCACTTTAGATGCCACGCAGTTCTCGCTCTGAGGGATACTGCTGAAGGGCCTTACCCTCAGACGTTTGGAGGACCAGGGTCTTGCTGTACGGGCTGACTCCTGTTTTGTTGAAGGCCTTGACCCGAGCGTTGTATGTGCTGTTGAAGTGAAGACCATCCACAGTGCACATTGTCTCCTTCCCCACATACACCTCCTGAGAGTCAGCAAAGAACAGGACAGCACTTAGCCTGCCCCCTTCTGAGGGGCGAGGGAGGCAGTGTCGCTCAGTGGTTAGGAGCAAGAGCCCTGGTGTCATTCTAATCTGGATTTGAATCCTGTGAGATATTGGGCCATTTAATTTACCTTTTTAGCCTCAGTTTCCTAATCTGTAAAATGGGATAATAATATCCACCTTATGAGGTTGGTGTGAGGATTACTTAATGTTGTATATGCAGATTAGCGTCATGCCTTGTATTTAGCATGGGCCAGGCAGCCTAATGAATGGTAGTTATTAGCAGCTAGGGCTTAAAAAAAATAAAACTGAGTGCTTATAGTTCAGATTACACTTATTAACTTGGGATTGGTACAGTATATAGCCCCTACTGAGCTCCTTATCCATCAGTATGGTTTGTAAAAAACATGTTTGAAACCATGAAAACAGGAAGGTGGTCTCTATCCTATGTTTAGAACTCCGCTGATAACTTCAGAACTGTCACAGAGATTACACTCCAAGCCACCGGGGATAGGTTTTCATCACAGTACAGAGGGAAGGGGGAGGAAACAGGGAAAGGAGGAAGAATGACATTTCAAAGGCTTAAAATAAATCCTAGCATAATGCGTCTTTAGCATAGGTTAGGCATTTGCCTCCCTCTTCAGCTGTACACATTGCAAAATTATGCTGATGTAATGAATAAAAATAATTTGCATTCAAAGCACAGCCTTAATATGACAACTCTCTGGTAGGATACTAAGAAGACCACGGTCTTGGATCACCCATCAATTCATTACTCCTGCTGGAATAACAAAAATTGGAATATTATGTCCTCTCATTCAGTGCTTCTCAAACTTTACGTGCATATGAATCACCTGAGGATCTTGTAAAAATGCAGTTGCTGATCCAGTAGGTGTCTGGGGTAGGGTCTCGATTTTGCATTTTTAACAAGTTCCCAGGTGAAACCAATGCTGCTGGGGGAGGACCGCACTTTTGAGTAGAGGAAAAAGTCAAGACAAAATAAGATAATTATTTAAAGAATTGGGAAAACCGGGAGAGTTACTTTCCCAGGAGAAAAAAAAGATAATAAAGGGAAAAGAAAGGCCCTGAAAATGACACAGGCACTGAAAAGGCAAAGTCAGGAATGAGAAACTGACAAATAGGATTTTACACACACACAACACACACACACACACTCTCACACACACTGCAAAAGACATGAAATGGAACCTGAGGCCCTTATCTTGGAAAGAAAGAAATTAGATTTTATCATGCCAATAAATCAACATATATGTAAATAAGGCTTCTCTATCAAAAGAGAGAACCTTTGTCCTTGAGGAGAATTGTAGAAGACAAGGCCCCTGCTCTCAAGTACTTAAACCTAGTGGGGGATCAAAAACACATTCAGGAAAAGGGGGCCTTGAGAGGCTTTGCTCTTGAAAGCTAGTGGCTCAGGTTTGGCTATTGGTGACCAGAAGAAAGCCTCATCCTCACGGGCCTGAGGTTTTTTTAGACAGGGGTCTCCTCTTCATCAGTGCAGGAACTGGCCTCAGTCCCCAGAACGGCTGCTCCCTTAGGAAGCTCCAAGCATCAGAACTTCCAGGCAAGACTAGGGTGGAGAGGATGGAAAGTAGGGTGGCAGGGAGAGGATGGATGAGAATGAAGCTCTGTATGAGAGAAGCAGACACATGCCGGCAGGTGGTGGCACATGAATCATCAATCTGGTGGTACCACAGCTGTGTCTTACCAGGAGGCCATTCTGTCCTGCCTTCAGAGGGCAGCATGAGCTTCTCAATGGGGATAGGGCTCCCTCACCTTGGGAAGGTAGCAATCTTCTGGTACCAGTTCTATCTGGTGAAAGGCCCAGAACAAAACTATAGAACTGGGGAAACCTTTGCTAGAAAGGTTGCTTAGAATAGGGAAGCTATAACAGGAGACCATGTCAATTAAGAGGAATGCCAATCAAAGACATTAGAAGCTGTGGATTGCAGAAATAAATCTTGGACAACGGTTAATTATATTATTAGCAATAAGCAATGATGGTAATAATAATAACTAATAATGAACGCTTGCTATGTTCTAGGCAGCATGCTAAGAATTTTGTATGAATTATCTAATGGACTCTTAGCAACAAAGCATGAGATTCACGCTATTGTTATCATCCCTCTAGTTAATAAATGAGGACCTGAAGACTCAAAGGGGTGATAATTAGGCATTGTCCACATAGCTAGGGTGGAGGAGACCAACTTGAATGCAGGCAGTCTGACTCCAGTACTGCATGTCCTGTCTCATAAGAAGGGTAGGGCAGTTTCAGAGACTGCTCCATCCACCTTCACGGTAGAGGGAGAAAGCAGGCTTCAGGTGAAGGGCAGGCAGGCCCTGCCAGGATGGCCTGTCCCCAGGAGAGATGGGGAAGCCAGCCCTGAGACTCCCTGGCAGGTCCTCTGACAGAGTCACTGCTTTGGGTTAACAAGTACGTAGTGGGCTGTCTACTGACCCGGAATTGACCACCGTTGCCATCATCCAGCTCCAGAATGTATCCATCGGCGGGCACCGTGGACAGAGGTGGCTGTTTCCAGGACAACGTAGCGCTGTTGTTGTGGGTACAACATTCCTCCAGCTGTAGGATAGGGGTTGCTGGGACTGGAGAGGAAGCTAAACAGAAATTAGTGTAACTCTGGCTTCTGTTAAGCTGCAGATATTCCAGTATCTTAGAATGACAAGCATCCCCCTGATAAACACGTGGTTAGAAGTAGCCAGAATGGGGTGCACAGGGGAACTGAACAGGATCCTTCACAGAGTCCCCAGGAGTCAGACTGGCTCCTGATTTGCTGTGAGGCCATTTTCTAAGCGCACAGTGGCCCTTCCCACCTTCATTGTGGCTGTTGGAGGGGAGACAGGCAGATTCACAGAACTGTGTTCTCATCCCCTTGAACATTGAAGACATTATCCCTAAAGGAAATGTTTTACATGGAGGCTGGGGTTCCAGTCCAACCCACTAAAGCATATTTAACTTATAACGTGCCTGAAGCTGTGCTAATAATTTTTTTTTTTTTTTTTTTGAGATGGAGTGTCGCTCTGTCGCCCAGGTTGGAGTGCAGCGGCACAATCTCGGCTCACTGCAAGCTCCGCCTCCCGGGTTCACACCATTCTCCTGCCTCAGCCTCCGGAGTAGCTGGGACTACAGGCGCCCGCCACCACGCCCGGCTAATTTTTTGTATTTTTAGTAGAGACGGGGTTTCACTGTGTTAGCCAGGATGGTCTTGATCTCCTGACCTCGTGATCCGCCCGCCTCTGCCTCCCAAAGTGCTGGGATTACAGGCGTGAGCCACCGCGCCCGGCCGCTGTGCTAATAATTTTATCATAAAACTTATTCTGAGATTGAAACCCAAGTTAATAAACCAGAGACTGCCTATTCTGAGAAATAGCTCTGAAACCACTACATTTCCAATATTCCATCATTTTTTTTTAAAACCAGTGATTCTACTCCACGTCTTCTGCACGTAAGTAGCTACAACAGTGGATTTTTGAAAATTTGGATCCAAGTGAGATCACAGTGATCTCTCCGTTTCAAAACTTCCGAGGAACCTGATGTCATTCTCTCAAGGTAGCTATACCTCGAAAACAGCACTAGGTCAAGTCTACTCATTTTCAGGTATAGAACACCCACTGTGAGCCTGGTGCGTGGACTAGGGGCCTGGAGCATGACAAGGAGGCTCAAGATGTCTTTGCAGCCACGTGAGAGTCTGTCATGCTGTTACGAGTCAAAACACCACCCTCCACATTTTATACTGTGACTCTTTTCTAGTACTTAAACTGCAAATTAGTTGAGCCTTCAGACACACATAGAAATATTAGTTACTGAATAATCCCAGTTCTTCACATATAAACTTAATATATGTAGTTGGGAACCATGGTTTTGTGTGTGTGTGTGTGTGTGTTTTTCTTTTTTTTGAGACGCAGTCTCGCTCTGTCGTCCAGGCTGGAGTGCAGTGGCACGATCTCGGCTCACTGCAAGCTCCGCCTCCCAGGTTCGTACTATTCTCCTGTCTCAGCCTCCCGAGTAGCTGGGACTACAGGCCCCTGCCACCACGGCTGGCTGATTTTTTTTTTTTCTTTTTGGTATTTTTAGTAGAGACGGGGTTTCACCGTGTTAGCCAAGATGGTCTCGATCTACTGACCTCATGATCCACCTGCCTCGGCCTCCCAAAGTGCTGGGATTAGAGATATGAGCCACCGTGCCCGGCTGGGAACCATGTTTTTGCCAGCTGCTTAAAAATTTTTTTTCAGCACCAAAACATTGATTTATTACTATTATTACTTTAGTACTTTAATAACAGGAGAGAACAGCTTGGACCATATCCAGGGACATTTAGATGAACAAATGTTCATCATGGAACACCTGGTATGCTGTACCAAAATTGGACTCTGTGTCTTGTGCACTGAATTAAATCTATGCCTTGTCAGTCATCCCAACCAAAACAGTGTTTAATTTTACAGCAGTTTAGAAAACAGGTTCTATGGCAGATAACCTAGAAAACAAAAGCAGTGACTGTAACATAAGAAATGAGAAGGTGAAGCCGGTCAATTGTCGTATACTTAAGAAAACACTGTGAGACATTACAATAAAACCATGTCTGAGCTACTAAATCAAACATAGCTAAATCAAAATTAGTGCCTGTTAAAACTGCAGGCAATTGGTTTAGGAGAAGAAATCATGTTTTAAGCTTCAACGGCACAGGGTTTGGATGAAATCTTATCAAAGAGCTACAGCTACTGCAGGCTCAGAAGCCCCAGAAATCCAGATTTGGAGGAAAGGAAATAAATTCATTGTCTTGCTCACTAAATAAACTACAGGACTGGTTGGAAAGAGAAGGACACAGAAGACATAATGCCTTCTAATGAGAGTATCTAAACATAAATAGGCATCACCCAGGAGTCGTAATTGCAGGATTAACTTTAGGTCATTTTAACTACTAGGGACTTTCCTTTTTATTTTAAATTTGTTTTCTTTATTAAAATACATTTTTAACATATTTACTACGGAAGATAAATATAACAAGTTTTGGGAAACCATTCTTCAAAGGGCTTGTAGAGACATGAATGATTCCCCCCGGGGGGTATTTATTCTTAACTGTCCTTATTAGTTAGCGCCCACCATGAAACAATTCCTTATGCTCTTATTTCATTAGCTCCATATTAGTCTTTCTTTTTTCCTTTGTTCATGTTTCAGGTAAGTCTACATTTCATCAATTACAAAAATCAAAGAATAAGATCACAGATGGTTTCAACTTAAATCATGCAAATGCTTACAATGTCTCTGATAAGAAACTCAAATGTACCTGTGTAGACATAGGTATAATTAAAAAAGTAACTGAAATACATGATGTCATGTGTAATTAAAACATCAGAACTTAATTTATAAGCCCTTGGTGGATACAGTTTAAAAGACCAAAAGGATAAAAAAAAAAGGCTAGACTCTCAATAATCTTCAGATCTTGATATTGTCCCAGATTTAGACAAATTAGCAAATGGACAAAAAGTCAAAGGGAGTGGAGAGGAAAAAAAAAAGAAAGAACTAACCCAGAGATATTTGCATCTGTCTGAATCTATTCCTCCATGTGCTGAGAATTAGTTTTCCGTTTTCCTTATTTACCCCCAGTGATGTTGTATATAAAAGGTGAATGTGCCAAAATTACAGCCTCATTAGCAGAAACTCAGGCTGACATTCTAGAAAAATATATTTTATAGTGGGTGTTATGTTATCCTATTTAACTTCATTAGGCACAAAATAAATGGTCTACTAGAAATCCAAAGTACTTTCCAATTAATCTATCTTTTATGGTTTGGAAAAGGATAGCATTACAGTTTCTGGACTGAAATCTAAGGAAGAGCATTGTGTTTTACTGGAACTCCTGTTATTGGGGCTGTCATAGCTATATTGATTTTTACACTTTCTTGATCATTCTGGGGCAGCTTTTGTTTTTTCCTTAAGAATGAATTTCCCCTGACCTGATCAGGGTTCCAGCATTTATCCTTCTTTTAGCCTGTAAAATCAAGCTTTAGGCTAAAAATTCTTCTCTTAAAATACAAGGGGGAAGCTATTCTCACTGACTTCCTTGAAGAGGTCTGGCGGAGCTGTGGTTCAAAATTAAATTTTCCAGTAGCAGCTTCTTATACCAATGTTTTCAAATGTCTTCCCTTTTTAAGGCCACTCTATTTCAAATTCTATCTCACATTTTATTTGTTTAATTTTTTTTTTCAGTGATCTTTCAGATTGTGAACACTCACAACCATCCAGAATTCCTCTGTGAAAGTACACAGGAGTGTGGCAGGGACAAGTGAGAAGAGAAGCTGGGCTCCCAACCTCAACAGGGAACACTAATCATAAGGGATGCTTTCAAGCACTTTACTGAATGCCAGAGAGTGTTGTGAGAGGTTTACAGGTATTCACTCATTTAATTTTCACAATAATCCTATAAAGAAGGTATTGCAATTATCTTTATTGTGCAGCTGAGGAAATGGAAACACAGTAAGGTTTTACAGCTAGTAAGTGGCAGGACTGGCATCTGAAGCCAAGCAGCCTGGCTCCAGAGGCTGTGTGCTTAGCATTGCATCATACTGCCCCTCTCCAGTCCGGTGTTTAGAAATAGTGTACTGGAGGAAAGTCTGCACGTCTAATTCCCAAAGTTTCTTTCTGTTTCCTATAATGTGAACAATAAAGATTCCCCAAATAAAGATTCTACCTTCACAACTATGGTGGTTGGGAATGCAATTTTACTGTGTTATCTTCTCTGAAGGCTCATTTGTAGACTGTCATTCCCCTTTATGGTGGCTGAACAATACAAATGGCATCTGAGGAAAGTTTAGACTTTAGCAGAACTACAAGCTGTTTCTGGAAAGCTATTACCGGTACACTGTTAAAGATAACCCTGAACGCAGGTTTTGAGTCCATGCATTTCAGGCTATCAGCATTAACAGATTACATGCAAGTGTGTGTGCTCATTCCATCCCCGCTAACCCTCTGGCAGCTTTCCCCCTATGATTTATAGGGGACTCTATTCAGATCACACTGTCCTTGCCCATGACCTTGGTGCATACTCAGGGCTCTTATATTCAACTTGAGTCAATAAAAATAAATACACCCTTAGGTGAGTAGAGGCACTTAAGGGGATTAACAGCCAATGGTCTATGTGCTAAAAAGGCTTGGTGAACTGTTAGGTCATTGTTTCGTCCTGGTTCAGAATGAACAAACTGGCATTTCACTTCAGTACCATGACTCATGAATCTTGGGATTCTTTGTGTACTTAGACAATTCTGGGTTAATATTTATTGGGGGAGGAAGTAGGTATCTGAAATCTATTCTCAACCAAACAGTAAAGCCCTTGGCTGACTAGGAGAAGACTTAAAATTTCCTTCCTATGACCTGGAAAAGAGCTGATCATACAACCTTAGAATTAAGTGGAAAATGTTTTTTTAATTACTCTCTAATAAAAGTAGAAGACAAAACTTAATATGTTGTTTTCTATAAAAGAAAAGTCTGAAAGACCAAATGCCACTTCCAGTTTTCTGGAAAGAGGGTAAGATGATTTTCTAATCAAAATACAACCAGAAAACGTGCCATTACAATTTAGGGATATTTGAAAAAAGGTACCAGCCTTCTCCAGATTGATCCCATTGCTTGAGGGTGGTGTGGAATCAGAATGGGTCAGTTAAATCCGTAGCTAATAAGAGAGTAAAACTTTAGATAGTGCATTCTTGCTGAATAGCAGCTGGTCTGAGTGAAAATACGTAAAAGCCAACTGCAAACCTACTTTCTTTTTTATCAACAACAACAACAAAAACAACGGCAACAACAATGGCGTCTATGATGAGCTTTTGAAACCAGAGATGTTTGATAAAATTCTGAGTCAAGAAGTAAACAGATATTTTAGTTATGATTTTGAGTCAGAACTTTAAATGCATACTTTAAGTAAATTTGAAAATATTTTAACTTCCTCCTGTAATCAACTTAGCACAATTAGAAAATACATATTGGATTACATGTATTGTTAGTTTCACAATGGACGGATTACTTTAATACCACTCCAAATGCTACTTCTTTCTTTGAGGTGCAGTTTCTTGACATATTTTTTACTGACAAGTTGTGAAAGGGCAGTTTATTAAACTGACAAAGAATATCTTTAAAAAATAAGAAGATGAACGCCACAACAGGAAGAGTTGTGTATATATTAACAGATATTACAGAGGCCAATAGAAGTCTGAACTCCAGCCAATCAAGTTCTATTGTGTCATGACCTTTGGCTTTTTCTTTCCATCGCAAGCATCTGACAGATGAAAATTATTCAGATTCTAAAGAAGGCTAGGCTCTCACTGAATTAATTAAACTCAATGAGCACAAAGCAAAGCATATAAATTAACCAGGCAGAGTGATAATAATCAGAAGTAAATTAAATTAGACAAAGTGTTAAAAAAGAAAATGAAAATGGAAGACTATAATCCAGTATTATACCAAATGGCCTGTTAGGTTAACTTCATGAATCATTGTTCTGTTTTTTGTGTGGTTTCAGATGGATTTGTGCTGGGAGAGGGTTCTGCGTTTTGGCCCTGAGAATACTTGGTATTCTCTGCTGTGTGTGCAGACTTGAACAGACTGGACAAACAGCCTTGTCCCTCTTACTTTTGTGCGCAGTCCTAAGTGGCCAAGTGACAGTGCTTTAGAAATGTGGTCTGTGATGCAGAGAGCATGAACTCGCAGTTCCCATACCCAGTGAAGGGCCTGTTCACTCCAGCTCAATCTCTACCATCCTGCCAACTGGCCTGGACTCCACCGTGAGCAGATGGACATGACTCAGGAGGGCAATGAATGGGGGAGGAGAGGATTTTGACAGATGATTAAAGCATTTCAAAACCCTGAGGCTTTTACCCTCTAACTGCCTCCTCCTCCTGCCCCCTCACTGAGGCTAATTGGGTTAGCTCATTTTTTCCTCTTTCACCAAAAGCCTTTCTATTGCTCTTTTGTGACATATTTTTTCCTTTAAGCTACTTGTGACATACCCTTCAGTGATTTTTATCTCATTGAAAGAATTGGGAATAGAGAGAGGCTGATCCAGGGGGATTTATCTGGGGCTCTATATTTTATTAAGGATGGGTTTATTTTACAGGCTACCACACTGGTATTAAAAATATTTTTTTAAACAGCAAGAAAGAATTTCTGCAACAAAAATGTAGATTTGTTAATATTAAGAGATGAATTCACTTATTCCCTGAAGAAGTGGCTCAGTGTGGCACCAGCTTTACAGCACAAACTAGAAGTTGTAGGAGTTGGTTCTCTAGCCATGCTCCCTGACTTTGAATCCTGGCCTTGCCACTCACTAGCTGTGGGAGCTCAGGCAAGTAACCCAGTCTTCCTGTGCCCCAGTTTCTTCAACTGTCTACTAGGGTTATGAGAATAAAATGAGTTATACGTAGAACACTTTGGAGAATGTCTGGTTTGGTTAGCACTCAATAAATGCTAAACATTTTTCTTACTGTAACAAAGCATACTTATTTCCAATCTATACACTATTTCAAAAATTTTTGAAGCCATCTTCCCAAAGCAACACATATTAAACCAAAAAAAAAAAAAAAAAGGACAAAATAAGAGAGAGCAAAAATCCATTAAAAGGCTGAGAGATGTACACATACCAAGTACAGGAACGCATTTAACTGCATCATGTGGACCCTAAGTAGACAGCCCTAAGACTTACCGCCTTATATAATCTCTCTTTGATAAAAGCATACAGGTAGATTTTTCTTAAGAAACAAACCTTTTAAAGCACTGAATGCTAAGAGTCATTTACTATATGGATGCTTAAATCAGGAGTTGCAAAGAGCAAATCAATTTCAATCTAAAAAATCAGCAAATGACAAAACTATAGAGATGGAGAAAAGATTAGGGGTTTCCAGAGATTAGAGTTGGTGGAGGGGAGGGCTATGACTTTAAAGGGGTGGCAGGAGGGAGATCTTCATTCTGTATCCCGATGCAGTGGTGATTATAGGAATCTGTACATAGGATAAGATGGCATGGAACTATACACACACACACTGTTAAGTGTCAACTTCCTGGTTTTGATATTATGTTATAGCTACAAGATGTAACCATCAAAGCAAGCTGGGTAAAAGATGAACAAAACTTCTTACTATTTTTGTAACTTCTTGTGTATTTCAAAAGAAACAGTTAAAAAGAAATATTTTTCAAATGGGTATTACACTGCCATAAAAATGTTGTTGCATGGTTGGCTTGAGTTGTTATTTTTCTTTGAAAGAGTTGTTTTCCTTAAAATATTTTCAGCCCCCACCCAGAATCTCAAAGAGACCTTGCCATATCCCTTAATCACATAATCAAATTTTAAAGTTTATATCAAATTTCCATTTTCCTTCCAGGCTTGCATTTTTCTGCCAGTATTGGCAGGCCAACTGTGATCCTCTCAAATTCCCACTGATCCATGCTCAACCATTTGCTTACTATCTCTATCCATGTGGAAGCAATCATTTCAATTCTGGACTCCCCTGATTTATATCAATATTTCTGGATTCCTTTCTGTACCAAGATTTTATTTATGTATTGTGATGATCTCTTTCTCTCTCTGCTTTCCTCTTTTTGTGTCAGCTGTTCTCTGGTGCTGAGCACTTGAAATCTCTAAGACTCTCAAAGAGGCAAGCATTGAGTTGATCTGAATTTATCCAGCTTGCTGAAAGGTAGGTCACACATTTATAAGGATACATTTTCATTACATAAGTTAGAAGCCACTCCATATTCTTGTTACATTAGCCAAAGGGGTACTGATCCTGCTTCAAGCACCAGCATCCACTCAGGATGTTGCTCTCTGACTTGGGGGATGCAAGGACATACCTTTCACTTGCACGAAATCCAGCTGGTGGATGGATTGCAGCAGAGGGCTGTTGTCCAGACTCAAGTCAAAGTCCGTGGTCATCCTTGGAGTGAGTGTGCCTTTACCCCACTGATCCTCAGTCAGGTGCACTCTTCTTATGAGGGCGTCAGAAATCTAATCAGATAAAGAGGACCACAGCCTAAGAAATACACCACCACACTTGAAACACAACACTGCCCCTTGGCTCTCCAGGAGCATTACTCCCAAACTGCCTTGAGGACTCATACTCTGACTGCCTCAGTGCTGTTGGTGAGGAACACCCCATTAGGACTAGGGTGACTCACAATTCATCAAGCAAATCTGAACACTTTTGTGAGTTGGGGGGCACTATAAATAATTAGCAGGTGTTAACTGATTTATTAGACAAATCTGAATATATGATCATGCTATTTATGACAGATTTACTAAATGCCAACAACTTTAAAGGATGGTATGTTGGAAACTAGTTAATTTCTATTAGAATCAATAGCTCAACCCTTCTAATTTAAAGTGTGGGTATCCTATAAAGACTTGGAAATGAGTTTCATAAAATAGTTTAGTGAGGGTGCACATGGAATTTCTCACATTTTAAGCACATCATCTTCATGTGATTATCACTGTATTCTTTGGTAGAAAGCTCTTTCATTTCTTATATTCAATCGCTTTCTGTCACTCTTAGCCAGTTTAGTAGAGTGTGACTTGGAAGAGATCTACATGTTCCTTAACAAAAGGTTCCTTATCATTGGGATCAAAGCTTAAGTAAAATCCAGCTTACACCATAGCATCTCACTAAAACAATTAACACTGAAGAATGAGAAATCTCTGCATTTGAGAAATCACTGACTTTCTGGCCAGCAGAAGGTGTCAAGAAGGTAGACATCTTACAAACTTAGACACTTAGACATCTGACAAAACTGCCCAAGAGATATTAATGAATAAGGACCGAATTCTTGGGCAAGGCAATAACTCCACTTTGAAAGAACTTACAGAGAATTATGTTTTCATGATTAAACAAAAGAAGAAAAAGAAGCGAAAAAAAAAAGAAAAAGAAAAAGAAAAAAGCCCATGGACCTCTCAGACTTGTAGTACATGGTGCCAGAGACTTCCGGGAAGTCAGTGGAGTTTATTTAGCCGGCACTTACTTCCATGTACACTGCAGTGTGAGGTAGGTTCTGTTATTGAGGGACACAGGCCCACCCAGGGCTGTTGGAAGTCTGACTTAAGCATCCTAGACTATGTCCTATGGGACATTTAGAATCTGACGCAGAAACTAGTTAACTCTTACCTGCAAAAAACCACTAGGATCATTTTCCTTAATCACCTCCAAGCAGTACTCCATGAGACCTGTGGTCTGGCGCAATTTCACTGTGCAGTGAGAGATCTGATCTCGAACCACCTAGGATTAAAAAAAAAACAACAGAACAGTCCAAGATGGCAGAGGGTAGAAGAGAAGCAAACTGGACCATTGGAAAGCTTCTTCAAACCAGAATCCATTCCATTCTGGAATGGAACTAAATTTATGAGAATATTTTCTGGCAGTGTCTGCTGGGGATAAGGGCTCTGGAAGACAGATGGGATAAGATTATCAAAGGAAATTGGTAACAGGACCCATCAGAAGGGAAGGCAGGTAGATCTTGGAACCCTAGATCTGGTGACCTTGGTGCATCAACGAACACCTTCCAAAGGTCACTTTGCCCTGCACTTTTCTGTGAAGCTGACTCTGCTGAGCGATGTTTGCTGGGGGGTCTGTGGAGGAGCTATAGTTCCCCAAGATGCTGCTGCAGCTGTGCTTGGTGACACTGTCCACCTTCAGTGCCCTCTACTTTACTTGTAAAGAGCAGACATCACCATCTGAACCCAGTTCCTTTCCCTTCCTGCCCCTCCCCACAGCCCCACGGTCAATTGTTCTGCATCTTTTTCCTTGCGTGGATGGTGGGGGACCTGGAAGGCCAAGGTGGAGCTTGGGAGAGGTAATGAGCTAATGAAAAGCTGAAGAAAGAAGACGGATGCAGAATTAAGTTTTAAGAATAACCCACTGAAACCACTGCCTCATTTGGAGAGCAGTTGTAAAGGCTGCTCATTTGCCAAGCTGTGAGTCTGCTTTAACCTAAATAGGCATCTCTCTGAGCAAGCGGTTTCTGCTTCTAAGAAGCTGTCTGTGCTTGGTGATGAATGCATGACATTCCTTGAACAGTTTTTTTCTTCAGAGGCATTTGTCATTTGTGTCCTCTGCTCAGTAACCCAAATCTTGAATGCCTATATATTTTTTTATTTCCAAAGATGGGGTCCTCCCATGTTGCCCAAGCTGGTCTTGAATTCCTGGGCTGAAGTAATCCTCCTATCTCAGTCTCCAAGTAGCTGGGACTACACTGCAGCTATCTTTGAATGGTTTTTGAAGCGTAAAATTGAAGAAGGGTTTTCCAGGAACCATAACTACTCACATCCCCAATATTTATACTACTTTGCAAAAGCCTAAAATACATCTAGTGTTTTGGATTTTATGGATAATAGCCAAAAGAGAATCTAATAATAATTATTTTAAAATGTTCCTTGTTCCTTCTTTTCATTTTTGGTTATAAATTTATTTTCCATTAAATATTATTTCATCCACTTTCCAAAACAATCAGGAAATAGATGAGAAAAAGCAAATACTCTTATCATTCTAGTGTAAATTTTTAAAGTACTTTGACATTTCTTTTTAGTTTTTCTCTGGAATCAGACTTATTTATCGTTGCAGTCATTGTATATGACAATTTTACCTTCCCTTTCCCCCAACTTAATACTGTATCACAGGCAGTTTTCATGTTGCCACAACCAATGGTTACAAAAATATCCCATTGAGTGGGTAATCTTAATTTGCTTAATCATTCCTGTTCTCTTATTATTGGGCATTAAATTTCTATCTAATATTTTGACAACTCATTCATTCATTATTTCTGATTTTTTTGTTCTTAATGTGTTATTGTGGCAAAATATACACAGCATGACATTTTCCACTGTAACCATTTTCAAGTGTGTAATTCCGTGGCATTAAGTACTTTCACACTATTGTGCAACTATCACCACCATCCATCTCCAGAACTTTTTCATCTTCCCAAATTGAAACTCTAAACCCATTAAACAACATCCCCATTTCCCCTTCCTCCCAGCCCCTGGCAACCGCCATTCTACTTCCTTTCTCTATGAATTTCACTATGCTAAGAACCTCTTACATAAGTGCAATCATATAATATTTGTCCTTTTGTGACTGGCTTATTTCACTTAGCATAATGTCTTTGAGATTCAACCATGTTGTAGCATGTGTCAACATTTTCATCTTAAGAACAAATAATACTCTGATGTATGTATATCGCATTTTGTTTATCCATTCACCCATTGATGAATACTTTTGGCTACTGTGAATAAAGTGATTATAAACACGAGTGTACAAATATCTTTGTAAGTCTCCGCTTTCACTTCTTTGGGGTATTATACCCAGAAGTGGAGTTGCTGGATCATGTGGCAATGCTATGTTTAATTTTTTGAGGGATCACCATACTGTTTTCCATGGCAGCTGTACCATTTTACATTCCCACAGCAATGCACAAGGGTTCCAATTTCTCCACATCCTCGCCCACACTTATTATTTTCTGATTTTTAAAAATATAGCCATCGTAAATGTATAAAGTGGTATCTCATTGTGGTTTCAATTTGCATTTCCCTAATGACTGGTGATGCTGAGCATCTTTTCATACGTTTATCGGCTGTTTGTGTACCCTCGCTGCTAATCAGGTCTTTGCCCATTTTTAAAATTGGGTGTTTTTGTTGTTGAGTTGTAGGAGTTCTTTATATATTCTGGATATCAGTCTCTTATCAGATATATGATTTTCAAATATTTCATACTGTTGGGTGGGTTGCCTTTTCACTCCTTGTGTCCTTTGAGACACAACTATTTCCAACTTACCTATATTTTCTTTTGTTTCCTTTGCTTTTGGTGTCATATCTGAGAAATCATTGCCAATTCCAGTGTCCCAAAGGGTTCCCCCTGTGTTCTCTCCCAGGAGTTTATAGTTTTAGGTTTTGTATTTAGTTCTTTGATCTGTTATGAGGTCATTTTTGGATATGGAGTTAGGTAAGTGTCTAACTTCATTTTTTTTTTTTTTTTGCATGTGGATATCCAATTTTCCCCACACCACTTATTAAAAACACTGCCTTTTTCCCATTGGATAGTCTTAGCACCTTGTGAAAAATCATTTGAGCAAGTATGTAAGAGTTTATTTCTGGATTCTATTCTATTACAGTGGTCTATATATCTGTCTTTATGCCAGTATCCACTATTTTGATTATTGTCGCTTTATAATAAGGTTTGAAGTTAGGAAATGTAAGAACTTCAAATTTGTCCTTCTTTTTCAAGATTGTTTATTTACATCGCCCAATTTTCTGATAGATGATTTGTTACTGCTTTTTAACTTTTAATAATAATTAAAAAGGAAAATAAAATGTAGGATTTAAAATCTCTTTATTGTCACTGGTGAAAGGAACCAACTCTGATGGAAAGATTATTTTTGTGAGTTTTGGGGGGATCAAATTTAAAATTCACTGGTTGATTTATTTTCTTCTGACATCCAGTATGCCTGACAACCACCACCACCATATGTTGGTCTGGGCTCAATGAATACAAATTATTTTATTTTTTATTCATAAAATAACAGGAAGGTTAGGCTTCCATTTCTTGGGGAGGAAAACCCCACAAGTAAAACATTTAAAAATTAAAGAGAGGTGACCTACAGCTAATATGCTATTCCCCTCTGCTGTATGAGGCTGAACTAACTTGTTTCCAGGATGACATTTTTATATTTTGGTAGCCAGTGTATTGGTGCTGCCAGGTAGCAGACACCTCCACAGTCATCATTTCATCATCCAAATGACATCTGCCCTTGACTACAGGTACTGGAAGTCCGAATAATAAGGACAGATCAAATCTGAGCACTATAACCCAGAGTCAGTCTGCTTTTGAGATAAAATAGACTGAATTGTTGTGTTTCCTTTCCAGAGGATTCAGTTCAATGATGCATTCATGTACTGAAATAAATACATTACTCAGTCCTCATAAAATTCCACATTTGCTTCTATAAATTTCCTTATCAAGCATGGTTTATTGGGTGCTGAAGGAGCTATCTGAGTGCTGGGGCTCTCTGCTGACTCTTAAGAAGCTTAATTGTTGCACTGCCAAAGAGCCGGGGAGTTTCAGCAGGGGTTTGCAATTGGCTCCTGCATTCTATGACTCAAGCTCCTTGGAAGGACTCAATATTCTTGAGTTCCTGGCTCTCAATCCCTCACTCTCGCTACAGTTGATTTTGGTCCACCTTTTTTACATTTTAATCAACCATTCACAATGATCACAATAGCTTGTGATAAAATCACTGCGAAAAATTAAACTATGGGGTTCCCAAAGAAGCATTTTGGGTGCCCTGTAATTAACTTAGAGTTTCTGAATTAATTTAGCAAGATTTCCCACATTATAGAAATCAGGCAGATTACCTTAAATCAGATCTTTTAAGAGTATAAATACTTTCTCTCTAGTTGTCTTTATCAACTCTCTTACTTGCTATCTTCTTCAACTTGCGTTACTCATACCACATTTTGTGATCATTTATTTCTACATTGAGTTTTTCATAGAAAATGATTCCTGGAAGCCAGGCCACCTCACTGTTGTCTTTGAATGACACATTTCCGTGCTTTGGCTCTGATGTGCCAGAGAACCCCTTGGCATCACGTATGCAGTGGGCTGGATTCAAGAGGTCCTTTTCTCAGGGACAGGGCAAGTTGCAGGAAGGACACAAACAGGGCCTAGGAGAACAGTCTTCCTGCTTTCATCTGCACTAAAGCCTAAACCAGCTCCCACAGGACAGTGAATTAATCTGCAGTCCACAGTTTCAGAGAAGGCTTTTAAAATTTTATCAGCGGAGCCACCATCTGTTCTGGATGGCAAGTGTCTATTGATCATTTGAACAGTTTTATTTTGTTAAGTGGCAAATTTATAAAGGTCATTTCTTGGGTCAGGATATGACACTGATATCTACTGGTTAAAGGAGAGTCTGAAGGACTGTTGTGTCTCTTTGAATTCTCAGACATTGTCAGTAGCACAGAGCAACTCAGGAGAGAGTACACAATACACAGGTAAAATTTTGTCCTGCCTGTTCACAATTACATTCCCATCACTAACAGACCAATCTCCTTCCTCCAGGCAGTTCATGTGACACAACCAGAAGCAAGACCTGAGGTTAATTAGGAGAATTTCATGCTTAACCCAACCATGACCTTGACACCTTCCCCCACCTCCATTTACCTCTCCATTTTACATGTGGTTCTTTTAAAATTTTTCTTTATCTTTTTTAAATAAATGCTTTTTTCTTTCTTTACTTTTCTTTTTTTTTTTTTTTTTTTTTTTTTTTTAGATAGGGTCTCCCTCTGTCACCCAGGCTGAGTGTGGTGGCACACTCACAGTTTACCACAGCCTCAACCTCCTGGGCTCAAGTGATCTTCCCATCTCAGCCTCCCTGGTAGCTGGGACTACAGGCACATGCTACCCCACCTGGCTAATGTGTATATTTTTGGTAGAGATGGGGTTTCACCATGTCATCCAGGCTGCTCTTGGTGTCAAGTGATCCTCCAGCCTTGGCCCCCCAAAGCATTGGGATTACAGGCGTGAGCCACCACACCTGGCCAGTGCTTTTTCCTATAGTACTCTCTCTCATCATAGGTTTTGATGGGATATCACTAATGAACTGCAGCCTAAGTAAACACTAACATTCTTTCTCTACTATTTCAAAAAGTTCTTTCTTAAATATAAGCTATGCCTTCCCATTATAGTTTAAAACAATTTCCCCCAAGCATAAGGTAATCCTTTAATCCTTTTTGTTTAAGGTCCGGTACAGTTGTCTCCTCAGTATCTGTGGGGGATTGATTCCACGATTCCCTGAGGATGCCAAAATCCACAGATGCTCAAGTCCCTGATATAAAATGGCATGGTACTGGCATATTACCTATGCACATCCTCTTATATACTTTAAATCATCTCTAGATTATTTGTAATACCTAATACAATGTAAATAGGTATTATATTGTATTGTTTAGGCAAGGGCAGGGGTCCTCAACCCCCGGGCCGTGGACTGGCACTGGTCCGTGGCCTGTTAGAAACCGGGCTGCACAGCAGGAGGTGAGCGGCGGCCACCTCCTTTCAGATCAGCAGCGGCATTAGATTCTCACAGGAGCAGGAACCCTACTGTGAACTGCGCATGCAAGGGATCTAGGTTGCCCGCTCCTTATGAGAATCTAATGCCTGATGATCTGAGGTGGAACAGTTTCATCCCAGAACCATTCCCCCCCACCCCCTACCCCCCTGCAGCTCTCTCTCTCTAATAATAATATTAATAATAACATATCATTAATAACACAATAACATTATGTTATTATTAGCATATTAATTATATTAATACTAATAACATAATTTAATTATTACTAATAACATAACATTAATGATACTATGCCATTTTATATCAGGGATTTGAGCATCTGTGGATTTTGGTATCTGCAGGGAATCGTGGAATCAATCCCCCACAGACACTGAGGAGACAGTTGTACTCCATGGAAAACAACTGTCTTCCATGAAACTGCTCCCTGGTGCCAAAGAGGCTGGGGACCAGTGGTTTAAGGAATAGTAAGAAAAAAGTCTGTACATGTTCAGGAGAGACTTTTGTTTCCGAATATTTTCAATCCATTGTTGGTTGAATTCATGGATGCAAAACCCATGGATATGGAGGGCTGACTGTACTTTTAAGATGCAAGTTTGAAGTGTTTGTTCTCCATGCGTCCTTTTGATCAGGAGGGAGTTTCTATGTGTCCCATTGTGTCCTAAAGCATGATGACCAACTGATGCTTTGAATTAACTGTGTGAATTAAAGGGGAAGTGCTTTGGCTGTTAGATCTTTCTGACAAAATAAAGAATTCTCTTGTTTTTTCCAAGAGTAGAACATTATCTACCATTTCATTGTCACGTTCACTAAAACTTACAGCATTTAACTTAAAAAAGAGCATTTTAAATTTCTCACATGCCACCACTCTCCCTCATAGTTTAAGGCAAATATTTTCCCCGTTCTCTTGATACCACCTTCTATACTAATGTTATTAATTTACCCACACTGGCAAACTAATCACTTCAAAGGCAAGTCTGAGGCTTTGCGGTTTTAATCGAGAAAAGGATCATTTAGGCCTTTAAATAAAACACACACCTGTTTTTAGGAAGTCTTGAGATTTTTAACAGTAAAGCTGTGAAATTTCTATTCTAGAAGTGTGAATATCACCAATGCCTTACCAATAAACATGGAGTGGAATATGCAAAGCATGCTCTTAATGTATAGAATACTGTATCCTCGTACAGAGAAGTTAATAAAAGAAGAAATTCAAGACATTGGGAGAGAGAAGCATATTGGGCAGTCCCAACCACACAGGAGAACATTTACCACTGAAGGTGGGTTGCAATAAGAGTGAAGCAGTATGATGTTTTGTAGCATGTGAAGTGTAGCAAGGTATAGTGGATTACTCCATCTCCTCAAAGTATGAGTTAGGTGCCTTCTGGAGGTAAGAGGTGTCACCCATATCTGGGTTGAAGCAAAGAGTACTAAGGAAGCTCTGAGACTGACTTTGATTGGCATTGCCAAAGTGAGTGGGGGGGCTGTTCAGGGGTGTGATTTCTAACTTAGAGGAACTCCAGCTGTGTATGGGGCTTCCTCGTGATTCCATGGGTAGCCTGGGCACCCTATCCCATACAGTCTCTCTTGTGATTTTTGCTCCTATGTGGTGGGAAGCAGAAGACTGCAAAATATGCCAAATGAAACTCTGAAAGGAATTCATCATTCATGATGGGCTTGTAATCAATCATAATTGTGGTTAAATAATTAGAATTGGCTTCTACAGACTTCTGCTGAGGGCAGTTGAAAGCTTCAAGTTGTTCCAGTGTGCCTAATTTTTCCAAATGTCTTCATTGTAATGGAATAACTGAGTTCTTTGTCATTAATTTTACAGGGATTGAGGTGGTTCTTGGCTTGAATTAGTTGCTTTTTTTTTCTAGTAATGACTGTAGCCAGTCAAATAGTATCTAATTATTTTTAATTTTTTTGTGAGCTGGGATGGCCTGCCTGCCTGCCTGCCTTCCTTCCTTCCTTCCCTCCTCCCTCCCTTTTTTCTTTCCTTCTTTCCTTCCTTCTTTCTATCCTTCCTCCCTCCCCCCTTTCTTTCTTTCTTTCCTCTCTCTCATCTGAATCAAAGGATTATTTGCCTGTCATAAAACGATGGCAAAATAGCTGCAGTAAGCAGTTCATATGCCAATAATATCCGTAACGTAAATTTGTGTTCTTAATACGTGATATAATTAATTTTTGGCAAACATAATGGGATCATAACAGGCAATACATGGTAAATAATAACAAAGATAATGGTGAAAAGAATGATAATTATTCTAACAAAACTCATAGATTACACTAGGCCTCAAAATCAAGCATTCTACAGATAGCTACAATGGGCACACGGAGGCCCTCAGTAAATATTAATATGAAGACTGCGCAACATGGTAAGCTTTCTCATCAGCCCTCAGCATCCTCGCTGAGTAATTTTGTTGGTATGTTAAATTTACCAACCACACATGGAAACTGAAAGCTAGAATTTTTCCCCAGAATCATTTGGAATAACTGTAACATTTTTTTTCTTTCAGATTATCTTAGAGTTCAAAGGTAATCAAGAAAATACATATCGCCTCTTACTATTCAATGTGTGAATTCATTCTAAAATATTAGAGAGAACACATTTAAGACAATTTCAGGGTTATGTCAAATTGTGAATGTTACATAAACAACAAATAATTTTCAGATATGTCTTTGGGCTTATCAAGAGAAAGTGGCATATGTAAAGTTTCTGAAGAAAGCATAGATTTCATTAATGGCACAATTTAGTTTAAGTGTTGTCATAAATTCCCTGTGAGGAGCACAGATAGGAAATGTAGGCTTTCTTCAGCTAAAGCAGACCTGGGAAGGATGTTAACACAATGGACAGACCAAGACAAGAAACCTGGAGGTCCAGTGTGCTCTGCTCACTGTTGGAATACTGCCCAAGTAGTTCCAAATATGAGTTAGTAATATTTTTATTGGAAGCTCAAAAACACTTCTTCCCTCAGTAGCTTTCTGACATTCGCATTAGTTCACCACATTCTGAAAATAGATATTTGGCTCCCAGCATCTTATCAAACCACAGAGTAGTATTAACTATAATTTACATTTCAAACAGTTTCCCTCAAACATGTCCACATCTGCATATGTCTCCAAAGCTTTTTTGCTTTTTTTTAGCTCATCAAACTTTGTGAACTATTTTATACAATGATCAATTATGAACTCATGCCACTAAAGAATCTCCCAGGTTCATGGATAATAACACCAGTGTATGAGCTAATTCTAGGCTATGAATTATGGTATCATAGAAAACAAGCCCCTGGAAACTCTTCTTCAGGGTGTTGAATGAAACCATATTTCCAGTCATTCTCTCTCAATCACAACAATAACAGTTAATATACATTAAAGATTGTGCTAAGTGCTTTGCAATGCCCTATGAGGTACCACTTCCAGCCTTATTTTACACACAGATGAAATAAACTTTTGAGCCACAGACTTGCTCAAGATGAGAAACCTAGTAAGTGAGAAAGTGTGTCCTCTCACCCCAGCCTCTATGACACAGAACCTGGGCTCTTTACCACTCAGTTCCATCTTGCCTCAGAACCAGAACTATTAAATCTGTTCAAGCAATCAGTGCTTTCAGAGAGGGACATGAGTAGATTATAAAGACTGCGTAAGTACACACTCACTTTCCAGCATTCCTAGTTTTTTGGATTGCTCAAGGAGAGAGAGTTGCCCGAAAAATACACACACAACTCCTCTCTTTGTCAGCAAAAAGCAGGCCCTCAGAGAACTCAGCCAAAGGGAAGCGGAAGAACATAAGATTACCCCTGCAGGACAGTGAGTGATGGGTTAGCCAACAAAGATAGAAAGAAGTACTGTGCTTGGCAAGTGATGTCTATAAAAGGCCAGTCTTTTCTCACAAATCTGAGTAGCAACAAGAGTGACAAGAAAGGGAAAAGGCAGGGGGAGAGGAGAGCGAGCGAGCCGTGGAGGCCTGTATCAGTGGTCATGACAGTGTGAGTGGCACTGGTGGCTGTTTTTGGAAGCAATGACAGATATAATCAGCTGAAAACAGCAGAAAAACAAATCATTCGAGATAGAAGACAGAACAGCTTTGCTGCTATGGGGGACAGCCAGCCACCTGTCTCTGGTTTCTGCAGTCCTTTGAGGTCTGGGCAGGAAACTCCAGCCTGGGCAGGGTGGAATGAGGGCAGGCAGCTGCCTCTGCTCAGTGGCCCCCAAATGCATCCGCATTCCCTGCTGGGGCAGCCTAGCCAGTACAGATGGACCATCAGAGGAGGGAAGAGGACATAGTCACGCGATGTGGCATCCCAGCGATGCGTGAAAGCCATTCCTGGGCAATGACATCTGCAGCCACAGCACAGTCCTTAACTGATTTTCACACAGTCCTGTTCTGCAGAGGCAACACTAAGCAGGAGGGCAACGGGGCTTCTCATGCCTTCTGCCATTCTTTGATAGGGATAAATGATGCATTCTCAATCATCAAAAAATTCCTCCTCCAGATTGCTGCCTTTATGTCTCTCCCATATAGAAAGGCTGGAGTTGCCCTACCATCACCATGTGACTGTCGCAAACTGTTCACCATGTTCTGTTAAAAAGTGCCAGGAAGTGTTCGCAATGTTTCAAAAGAGATATTTCCATTAAGAAGAAAGTTAAAATGTTATGGCTAGGTACTTAAATAGTTGTTCCACTATTTAGCGGGGAAAACTGTTCAGTTTCATTTCCCAAAGACATTTGTGGTTTTATTTTATACAGTTCTATGTGATTCGAATGATATTTTGAGGACTGCTATAACAATAAAAGTTTTGGGTTTCTGAAGGGTGCTCAGATTGAAGGGCTATAGTGACAGTTTTTTAGCAATGTTAGGCCAGGTGCTGGATACAGAAAACATCCCTTGGTCCTCAGGCCTAACCAGATGGAACAAGACCACAGTGCACATGTGCTAATCACCCACTTCTTCCCTGACAGCTTTGCCGATTCCTGCAGGTAGGAATGTAAATGGTCATTAACACACACTTCCTACAATTTGGACTGCTCAGGTGCCAGCTCTTGAGGTACTCTGTGACCGTTTTAACTGCAAGTAATTTTGCCCTGTCAAACTTCTATGACATTGGGCACCTCTCTCCTGGAAGCCCACTCTGTACCTATGTTGGAGTCAGCTGTGGGTATAGCTTATCTCTTCCATTGAACTGTAAACTCCATAAGGGCAGAAGTCCTTCTGAACCACCTTCATGTCCCTGCCTCCTCCTGCTCCCCTGCCAGCACTATGAGCGTAAGACCAGACCTCATTTCTCCCTTCATCCTAATGCCATATCAACACTGCACACCACATACCCACCACCCACCAGTAGCCACTCTGAAGCCTGCTGGCCACATGTGTGGGCCTCAGCTGATTGTCTACTGCTGGACCCCTTCTGGTTTGCTCTTCCCATGCATTCATCCTTCCTCTCACATCTTGTTGCCCTGCACCAATGGGGTGATAGATGGAATATCAGATGTCTCCTGGAGGACCAGTCCTGCCAATAGGGTCCCATTCTAATAGCCAGTTGATTCCACCATGTCATGACAAAATTCTTTACAGCTTCCAACTGTAAAGTTCACTTGAGAAGTTAAGACAAATCATGCTCATTTTCTAGAAAGTACAGATTCTATTTTTCAATTCAAAAACACATTTTTTTGCCTGTGTATGGCCACCCTATCCAAAATTTCCACCCCTATCCCCAGTACTCACCATCCTCTTTTCCTACTTTTAGAATTTTTCTTAGCACTTTTTACTAATATACTCCATATTTTACTTACTTATTGCTATGGTTTGAATATCTCTTCCAAAACCCATGTTGAAATGTAATTGCCATTATAAAAGTATTAAGAGGTGGAGCCTTTAAGGAGTGATTAGGACATGAGGCCCCTGCCTTCATGAATGGACGAATGCTATTATCTTGGGAGTGGGTTAATTATCATGGGAGTGGGCTCCCAATAAAAGGTTGAAGTTTGGCTCTTATCCTCTCATTTCCCATGCTCGCCTGTCCTTCTGCCTTCTGCCATGGGATGATGCAGCATGAAGGCCCCACCAGAAGCCAACACCATGCTTTTGGACTTCCCAGTCTTCAGAACCATGAGCTAAATATAATTCTATTATTTATAATCACCCAGTCTGTGGGATTCCGCTATATCAACATAAAATGGAGGAAGACACTTATCTTGTTTATTATTTGTCCCTCTTGATAGAATATAAGTCCCATGAAGGCAAGAATTTTGATTTCTTTATTATTCCTATGTCCATTGCAGTTCCTGGCTGAGAAAAGTCACCCAACAAACATTATTTGGGTAAATGAAGGAGCAGGTAGTGAATGAAGGGAGGTGTCTGTTCCTTTCTGGCCAGACCACTGGCTACCCAAGGCTGTGGGCATCCTCTCCTCCTGTCCATGGGAAGGAATTCTCCCAGCCTGTCCATCATGCCCCTCGGGAGCCTGGCTTGTTGGCTTTCTGCTCTTCCCATGATGCAGCACTCACCTTCAGCTTGTGCTCATGCTCCTTGTTGACGCGGGCCAGCAGCTGGGCTTTTCTTCTGTTGAGGGCATCGATGAGGGCATCACATTGGGCCACCAGACAGGCTTCAAACTCCACACTGTTCTCCTGTGTAACAGAGCACATTTCTCAACTGCAAGCTGCTGGGTGCCTCAGGCTGCCAGAGAAAACAGAGCTCCCCCATCCTGCTGAAGGGAATGAAAAGGAACTCTGTCCACAATGCACATTTGGTAATTTTAAAAAAATAACTGGATAAACTTTATTCTACAGTGGTCATGTTTTGCTTTAAATTTAGATTAAAAGGGATAAATATTTATCACTTAAATTTATCAAAAGGAAATCATCTCCACAATTTGAATTCTATTAAGCAAAACAAAGCTTTAGTTCATAGAGTTGTTTATGAATGTTTTTGAGGGCCACATATGTTCAGCTATGTATGGTGGAAGCTGGCATTCAAAAAGGCAATGAGGAGGGAGTGGGGCATTGCTGAGGCACGAGAAATCATTAAATTCAAAGGAATAAAGAAGAAAAAGGATGGCACTGGTCTTCAATATTAACAATAATCCAATGAGAACAGAAGTTTATAAGAATAATGGGTAAAAGTACTTGCCCCTTTCATTAAGGAAAGCAAATAGTAGGCAGAAAAAAACAATCAATGTGTGTAACAGGGATCACCCTGCCATAAAAATCAGATATGACCCAACACCTTGCAGGGGAAAGGCAACTTCATACTAAGTGAATTATAGCTTCCCTGTGATGTTTAAATTAAATGCTGGATATAACCTTTTTATTTGATTTAAATCTGTACATGCCATAGACATTTATTTTAAGCAATTCTTTCAATGAGTTATATGCAGTTATTAAGGATAAGCTTTTCAATGAGTAATATATGCAATTTTGCATATATATGCATAATCTGAAAAAAAGTAATTTACAGTAAACGAAAGCTAAATACTCACATATACGTTAGTAATACTTAAAAAACACCACCCAGTTGAGTAAACTGTAAACTTTTGGGGCTGGCAAGAAAGGCACAATTTAAATTTATTTAAGGCACAAATTTAAATTTATTACCAAAGTCATAAAGAACTGTGTCTTTTTATATAATAATCAACTGGTAGGCATTTAGTAATTGTTTTCAAATGCAAGGTCTTCGTATAAGGAATGCATTAGTAATTGCTTGAGCAATGCTAAATTTTGGCTTTCACGGCAATTGCTTTTGAACTCTCAGAGAAGGCCTTTGGAAAACATCATTTAAGAGCTCTCTATGCCACATGCAGGGTAATATTGGAGGGTGGGGTGAGGGGAAACCTTCTCCTTGTAAGCTCTGTCACTGATTTAGAGCAGAAAGAAAGCTTTGCTCTGATGAAGAGGCCCGGGCAGAGGCAAGCCTGGGGCTGCACATTTTATGCCAGCAGAGTAAAGAAAGAACTGATTGATAAACTCCATTGCTTTGGAAAACAGAAGGAAGTATACAAAACTGCTAGGCTGTTAGGGAATCAAAAGTTTAACATGGGCATGTGTGCCAAAAAAAAAGGCAAAGAAATCAGTGTGTAATTCTTTGAAAGGGTGGCTTACATTTAAAAATCCATTTCTACCTTGACATGGTTAAATATGAACTTAGGCAATTTACTGGAGGCCAGAACTAAGGTTATTTCTGTGAGGCAAACCTCAAAACATAAGAATGCTAAACAGTACAGAAGGTCATTATTTTACTGTCTTATACAGTTTATGGTTTTTCTCCTTCAGCTATAGTGGAGAATTTATGAGCTCTTAAATGCTGGTTGAATTGCTGGTCATTGTGTCTAGATAAAGCAATCTGAAATTATAGTTGCCAGGGGATCATGGTTGAAAAATATTTAAATGTCTAAGCAGAGGAGAAGCATTATTGTGGGTCAGGGAGGAAGAAAAGAAGAAAGAAAGGCAGAAAGGGAGGAAGAAAAAAGAGGAAGAAGGAACAAGGGAGGAATGAAAAAGAAAAAAAGGAAGGCAGGAAGGAAATGAAGGAAGAAAAGAAGAGAAAACTGTGGCCTGTTACCATTAAATGATACAATTATTACAAGGTGTTTTGGAAACCTACAAGGTTTTACAAGCTCAACAATAAGGACCCTGAGTTTACAAAAAAATAGGCCTCTTTCTGAATATTCAGTAGTAGAGAATTAGGACCTCAGTGTGGAAGACAGGAACCAGTTGGAAAATCAGGCTGTGTTTCCGGCTTGTTGGCAAAAAGTAACTACCTCAAGAAGGGGTATGTTTGAAGTTGATCTCTATGTGTTTGTATGTAAAGAACAACAACAACCACAAAATAGGAATTTTCCCACGACACATAAAAATAAAAGAGGAGAAGGAAACTCTCCCGCCACACAGTTACGTATTAACCGGCGGGTTTCCTTGCGTCCCAGGTAACACCCATACCTGGATCTGCTGGACCATGTTGCGCAGCTGTACCAGAAACTCCTTGGCTTCTTTGGCCCTGTCTGACAGTCCGTTCAGCGCCTGGGAGAGCTGGCTCTGCAAAGACAAAGAAGGAAGCCATGGAGCTGTAATCACAGGATACACCAACAAGGCCAGCGAGACTCAAAACTGAAGAGTCATCAACCTCCTCAGATTCCTCTTGTCTGAGGTTGGACCTTTTTGCTGGCATTTGTACAGGTAGATTCTGGTGTCGAAACTCCCTGTGCTCCTGAGTAGTTTCTCCTTGGAAGCAGTGAACACTTCTGGCCACAGCAGTCAAAGGCCCTCACCAGCTGATATCAACCTAGAATTTCTTCATCTCCTCCTTCATTGATTAATTAAACAATCATTTATTGAATACATATTTGCTAAGGACTAAAAAAGCAAAACAAAATAGTGAGTCAGATGATCTAATTCTTATCAACGTTACTTAGCACAAAGGGCTATTGGTCTGGGTAGGGCAGAAAGAATAGAGTAAAGAACAGGATGAAGGAAGGGGTAGGTACTGGTGTGATCCTCTGGGGCCACTTAAATATAATCACAAATTCAATGGGCAGGATGACATTCCACTCCTGCCTCATCCGTGTCCTCTTCCTTCTCCCAAGTACAGCCCTGCTGCCCTAGCACATTTGTGTCCTCTCCTCACTAGCCTCCGACACCAAGGCTTACTCTCTTTCTTTCTTCCCACACCACCCCATCCATACGAGGAGGCAGTTCTGCTGGGTTGGCAAGGTGTCCAGGTAGGTACTTGCTCTTCCAGCCTCCTCGTCCGCTGGGGAGGCCGTGGTACACAATCCTGACGGACGACACCTAAGTGGAAGTCTGCTGGGGACTGGAGGGGTCTGAGAAAGCTTTTGCTTTTCTGCTGATACGGAACCACTGTGATTGATGCAGCCTCTCCACTGTGGTTCCTGACTTTAGGATGGATGTGATGTCTTCCGGCTCACATGAGGAGAAGGCCAATAGGGTATGGGTGGAGGGATGGGAGGGGAAGGAGCTCGGTTCTGATGGCATCTTTGAGCAGCTGAGTCAACACCTGAAACCTTCACCACTAGCTTTCTTGTTATGTGATAAAAATTAACTCCTATTCAAGTCACTGTTCTGGAGTTTTCTATTGCTAGCAGGAATTTATATCAAGTATCACTGTACTTGATACAAATTCCTTCCCCTCCTAGCAGTCTGGGTATACCCTTCCGTACCTCAGGTACAGAGACAGACTCCCTTTCCTGCACTGTCTTCTTTTCAAATTAAAGCCTATTCTCCTTGCCAACACAATGATTCATCTACCCTTTCCTTTCTGTAAAAGGGCAGAACCTTAAAATTATATCTCTTGGTGCTGTGAATGCTTTTCTCTTATATTTGTCTTTTAAATACAAAGTTGGGCACTGACTCTCTAAAAATATGCACACCAAATGCTTGGTTGAGGCAATGTGGGATGGTAGAAAGAATATAGGTTTGAAAGGGTGCAGATTCTCGCTCTATCCCCTATAAGTGTGACCTTGAGAAAGTTACCTTTGTCTGAATTACTCCAATGGAAAAGGTGGGAAGAACAGTAATACTTTGTAGTTGGGTTATTGTGAGGGTTGAATGCATTAATCAATGTGAAAGCTTCTGCTAGTTAAGGGAACAATTCTGAATTCTGAAATGCTGCCAGTTACTGGCTGTTCAACCCTTTATACATTGTTTTACCTCATCCATAAAATCAGAGGAAGAATACTATTCTTGGGTTTTGTGGGCATTGCATAAGATACTATATCTAAAGCCCAGAACCCTATTACCCTACTGGTGCACAGTGCATGATGCGTGCTTAATAAATGCTGGCTGTTAACTTTTTTTTTTTTTTTTTTTTTTTTTTTTTGAGACAGAGTCTCACTCTCTCACCCAGGCTGAAGTGCAATGGTGTGATCTTGGCTCACTGCAATCTCTGCCTCCCAGGTTCAAGCGATTCTCCTGCCTCAGCCTCCCGAATAGCTGGGATTACAGCCGTGCACCACCACACCGAGTGAACTTTTGTATTTTTAGTAGAGATGGGGTTTCTCCATGTTGGCCAGGCTGGTCTCAAACTCCTGACCTCAGGTGATCCACCCACCTCGACCTCCCAAAGTGCTGGGATTACAGGTGTGAGCCACCGTGCCCAACCAGCTGTTAACTCTTATTTGTTTTCTTCATTCTTGCTCACACAAACACCTGCTGACTGGAGGGATTCGCAGGACAGATTCCTGGAACAGGGTCTGTTGGAGAACATTTTCGATCACCTGTACTTTGCTCTATGTATTTAGGCTCCAAGAGGCAAGACCAACACAACTGAGTAAGATAAAGCTCAAAGTGAGCCTACAGTTGCAAAATTCTTTATGATTGGGTCTCAGCTACAATATTATTTGGAGTAAAAGTTTCTCCTCAATAACTATTAATATTTCCAGGAGCCCAAGGGATAAAGGAGGGAAAAACGGTCTCATTTGGAAGAGCAGGCAATAATATGAGAGGCATATTTTAAAGAAGAAATTTTTTTTCATTGTTACTTTAGAACTCATATCTTTTTTTTTTCCTGAATGAGTAAAAGTTTGCTGGACTACCATAGTTTTCTTCCTCTTTTTATTATAACCTATGTTTAGTAACCACACTTAGATGTTTCAGTACAGAAGTAAAATTGATTTGGTTACACAGAAGTGAAGCTGCCTGGTGTCTTGTATTCCAACCTTGCAATTAATTGTGTCTGTATAAGACAGACTTGATACCCATAGATTTTTTGACCAGTTGCTGCTGTATACTTAGAAATACAATCATTCCTAGTAGTAGACAAAGAGTTTTGGCCCCATCTAGTCCCAGGATTTTATATGACAAAGCAGTAAGTGAACTGCAAAAATCAATTTATTTCCAATTTCCTCTTTGTGTTTATGGTCCGTCCCAAGAATGCCTTCTACCTGGCTGATGATTGTTCTGGTATTTGATAAAAAATTGCATTATAAGATAAAGATCTAGAAATCATTCTCTTAAGCTTTGTCCACTTGTAGAAATTGAGGAGACAATGAAAAATCCTGGAAAACTATCACTAGAAAGTGCTCTTATTGTAAGGATTTATATGCACATTGTTTTTATAGGTTGGTATTTTAATCACATTTATAAGCTCCATCTGATGTAGAAGAACATTGTTATTGACTGATTTTGTTTCCCAGATGCATTTAAATTCCTACTCTGTGCTAACAAAGATGTTCTGCATTCAGGACCACAGAGCAGTGCTGGAAATTTATGACCAGAACAATGAAGATGCAAATATGTAGTATGTGTTTTCATCACGGCATCTTTGGTGGTACAAGCAGTCATTTAAGGGAGAAAGGTACGTTCTAAAGCTGTTTATAATGCCTAAGCAGTGACATTCGGATTTCTTGGATATTTGTTTTCTAGGTTACTGAAAAGGTGTCACGATCTGAAGGTGAATGAGAGGAGAAAAATGATGCAGCTGAAGCCCTGATCTCCAGTCAAGTTGTTCTTGGCTGGGAGCATGCTGAGAATCACCGAGGTCTCCCAGAAAGATGACAAGTTGTTCAAGCCTGAAGGAGAGAAACAAAGAACTCTGCCTCCTCCTTCCCTCCTTGCGTGGCTTTCGTCCTCAGCTTCCACCCTGACCCTGGCTCCCCTTGCCTCCCCAGGAGGGAGAGATCAGGCACTTACCCTGGGACTGACTGTGGAGGACGTTTCAGGACCTACTTCTCACGCTCAGCAAATGGGTAATGCAATTCAATCCATCCCGCCCAATGCCTGACTTGCCCAAGCTGCTGAGTGTGCCCAGGCAGAAGACAGTATCTTCTTTCCATTTCCCACTGTAAACATTCTTCACGTGGCCTTTTCCCCTCAATTCACCACAAATATTGGATAGCGATAAACTGGGACAAATGAAAAGAAGCTTTCTGGCTGTCTCGGATCTGAAGTTACAGGCACAGGATGGGTCAAAAGGGTCACTCGAAGAGTTGGTACAAAACAGAGGAGGCGGCAAACAAGCACTGGCAGCTTGATGGCTCAGAAAATGACCCAGCTGCCTCCCCGGGCGTGGGGCACCTTCTGGTGCTGTATCACAGTGCATGCCATTCAGGCACCGCAACACCACTGGGCCCAGGAGCCAAAGCCCACTCCCGCTCCTTCCCAGGTACAAAGATAAACACAACACTCAGGAAAAAAGTGATCATTGATGCAATGGGACTTTGAGGGAAGGCCGCCAAGGAGAATAACAGTTTTTCTGATGAAATATTGATCTCTGGGTCACATTGCTCAGCAATTACCCATTGCCGGTTACTCAGTACATTGCTGACATAGTACAATCAAAAAGTGTAAGCAAGAAATTCTAATAATTGTAAGCAAGAAATTCTAATAATTGTAATACATTGGTCATTTCTTATGAGCCAGGAACTCTGATGGGTGCTTTCAATGCAATCCCAATCACCTCCCTGCCATTTTGCAGAGGTGCCGAGAGGATACCCCTGAGTGAAGGTTTCACCACTCACATACGGAACAGCTGGAACACAAACCCTCATCTGATGGCAAACTCATGCTCTTTGCTCCAGCCTCCCAAAAAAAGAGAATTCTCTCACCCTCACAGGCCAAAACAATTGTTTAATTGTTTAATCCACGGTGAGAGCATGTACAACCAGAGAAGGTGAGAGGATGACTATGATTGATTATGAGGTGGTCTGATTATGCTTAGCAGCCAGATAGTATGTAAATTACAGCATGACTAGTTAACCTATGAAACATTCAACTTTTTTCCTGCATGAAGTTTTCTGGTGAATTTGAAAAAGTCCCCTAAGAGAGGAGTCTCATGGAGGAGGGAAGAAGCTTTGGATTCAGGTCCACTGACAACTTTGTCAACTACTGGCCTAAGATCTTGGGCAGAGATTGGGTGAAGTGGGAATTAAGTAAAGGAAGGAGACCTCACAGAGTGACTGGTACTTGGGGAACCATCAAGCTGAGCTGTCCAAGGGTCCTGATTCCCCCTCTAGGAAACATTTCTATTCCTCCTGCTTGCACCTTTAGTGCCTGCAAGAATGGATCCCTTCTCCGGTTTCTCTGGTGCTGGAAGATCCTGGATATACCCCAACCCCAGTTCACTATAGTCAGATGGACAGGAATCCTCCAAGACCAGCTGGTCTGCAGATGCCAATTTATCTCTAAGCCCAGCAAAGGGCTGGCGCAGTGAACAGGCTATGATTTGCAAAAGAGTAGCTGGGCCTGGGAATGGAAGCACACAGTATAGGGACAAAGGATGTGTGTGTGTGTATGAGTGTGCATATGGTGTGTGTGTGTATGAGTGTGCATATGCCTGTGAGTGTGTGAAAGTCTATGTGTATGTGGGTAAGAATGTGAGTTTAAGAGTGTGTAAGTATGTAAGAATGTGTATGTGTATGTATGTGATTGTATGTGAGATATGTCATCAGTGGAGTATGGGGAGGCTCTTGGCTTTGGGGGAGGCTCTTGGCTTTGAGCAAGGCTGGTATCAGAGGAATCTTATGGGTAGGGATTTGCTCCATTAAACTGCTGCTTATTGTTAATTGGTTATAAGAAAGATTCGAGGCCGGGCGTGGTGGCTCATGCTTGTAATCCCAGCACTTCGGGAGGCCAAGGCGGGCGGATCACTTGAGGCCAGGAGTTCAAGATCAGCTTGGCCAACATGGTGAAACCTTGTCTCTACTGAAAATACAAAAAGTTAGCCAGGCATGGTGGCGGGCGCCTGTAACTCCAGCTATTCAGTAGGCTTAGGCAGGAAAATCGCTTGAACCTGAGAGGCGGAGGTTGCAGTGAGCTGTGATTGCGCCATTGCACTCCAGCCTGGGCAACAAGAATGAAACTCTTTCCAAAAAAAAAAAAAAAAAAGAAAGAAAAGAAAAGAAAGAAAGAAAGAATGATTCTATCCTTGACCAAGTTATAGCCAGGGTCCTCTGAGCCCTCTTCTTACCTAGGCCTCAACCTTGACCTATAAAGACTTGAAGAAACACACAGTTTCTAACAGCTCAAGGCTGAATTCCTAAGATGACCCCAGCCTCCCTTAAGGTACCTGTCTGAGAAAATTCAAGGCTGCCAAAAGAATTCGATGTTGTTCCATTGAATACCTGAAGAAAGGGACTCTATCTGCCAGTCTCTGTGAGAGGGTAGGGGTCTAACTTCAATAAGCACAAGTTAGCACACCCAGATGGATTTCATACAGACTGATTTTCCCCTTCCTGATTTTTGGAATTTTTTCACTTCTGTAACTCTGAGCCCCTGCTCAACCCCTTTCCTATTCCCTCATTCCCCTTGTAAAGTGCCCAGTCACCTCTGTACAAATCGAAGTTGAGTTCAGTTCATGATGTACTCTTTTCCCTGTTGCAATTGTATACTGATTAAAATCTGTCCTTTTTACACATTAAAATCTTTCCTTACCACTTTAATTAGTGTCCAGCTAGTTAGTGACAGTTGCTAGCCCTGCCACTGACCCAGGGAGAGCAGGGCAATCTCTGGGCAATGAGCTGACCCTTCAGCAGGCCAAGGTTACCTTGAAGGATAAGTGAGGGAGCACATCACCAAGGATACAAATTCCTCCACCTAAGCCAGCACATCTCTCATATACTAAACAAATCTCACCATTTGTATTGTGAACCTGACTCTATGAGCTGTGTGGAGGGCAGAAAGGAGGAGGGCTCTGTGCTTTTATTCCAACACACTGTTACATAGAATCCCCTTTCCCATTCTTTGTTGTTAGACTTGCATGCCCAACCACACAAATATTCACACCAAAAGCTAATGCATAGTGACATTTACCTCTTTTTAAATAATAATTTAAGTCTAAACATGCTGTTTCATTCTTTGAACCACAAAAAAATGTATCAGACATGCCATTATTCCATCAGATAGTAGGAATTGGGCCAGACAGAGCAATGGGGACCAACATGGCATTGGAGTTAACAGGATAGACTTCAAAGTCAGATGAACTTGAGTTTCAGTGGTGGCATTTCACTAGTTGTGTGATCATGGACCTATTACCTAACTGTAGTGAATACTGTGGTGCTCTACCCAGAATATTCTCTCAAAGACTATGCATCCTTCTCCCAGCTGCAGGGAATATCAGCTGTTGATAGATTACCCTAGGAATTGCTCTTGGCCACAGGGAACTAACTGCCTTACTGAAAGCTATGTCCCCTTCTGGGGATGTCCCATGGCAAGTGAATGGCTGGGGCCCCCTTGCTTCAATTTTGGACAACCCTGAAGAACCATCCCAGATCTAGAACTTGTAGTAGGATTGGTTGAGGCCATTGCAGGTTAGCTTCAGCCTCAGTTCAATCCTGGCTTCCTCACTTCCAGGTGGATCTACCAAGAGCACACAACAACTAACTATCTCTCAGAGTCTGTGTCCAGGGAACCCAGTCTAAAATACTAAGCTTCAGTTTCCTCATCTGCAACATGGGGATAATAAGAACCTACATCCTAGGACTACCATGAGGATTACATGAAATCATGTATATAAAGTTATATGCAATGCCTAGCATATTGTTAAAATTCAATAAGTAGTACAGGTTGAATATCCCTGTTCTGAAAATCCAAAATCTGAAACATTTCAATGAACCTTTCCTTTGAGCGTCTTGTCAGCACTCAGAAAGTTTTGAATTTTGGAGCACTTCAGATTTCAGATTTTTGGATTAGTGATCCTCCACTGGTAAGTATAAGGTAAATATACCAGAATCTGCAACACTCAAAATCTGAAACACTACTGGTCCTAATCATTCTGGATAAGAGATAATCAACCAATGTTATTTTTATTTATTTACTTATTTATTTATTTGAGATGGTGTCTCGCTCTGTCGCCCAGGCTGGAGTGCAGTGGTA
This sequence comes from Homo sapiens, assembly GCF_000001405.40. Lineage (NCBI taxonomy): Eukaryota > Metazoa > Chordata > Mammalia > Primates > Hominidae > Homo > Homo sapiens. The sequence continues at coordinate 51,033,152 of NC_000014.9, forward strand.
CGATCTCAGCTCACTGCAACCTCCACCTCCCGGGTTCAAGCAATTCTCCTGCCTCAGCCTCCTCCTGAGTAGCTGGGACTACAGGTGTGTGCCACCACACCTGGCTAAATTTTGTATTTTTAGTAGAGATGGGGTTTCACCATATTGGTCAGGCTGGTCTTGAACTCCTGACCTTGTGATCTACCTGCCTCGGCCTCCCAAAGTGCTGGGATTACAGGCGTGAGCCACTGTGCCTAGCCCAATGATGTTTTTATAGTAAGAATAAAGTTAAAATATACATACATAAATCACGAAAACACTTTTGTCATACCATGTCTTGACTGAGGGTTTGGTCAATTACAATTATTCAAACAGTGGGGTAGACTGTAGTATCGTTCAGAACAATTTGCTCTGGTCCCATTTTGTCACATGACTTGCAGTGCCTCCTGCAGATGGAGCATGTGTCCCTACTCCCTTGTCATCCTTGGCCATACGGCTTGCTTTTCAGCCTAAAAAGGCACTGTGATTTTCTGCTAGCTCTTTTGCTCTTCCTCTTTGTCACAAGAATCAGTGGTGTGCTGATAAACCAGCTCTCAAAAAACAGAAACCAAAACAAATTTTTATCTGTAGAAATCATCTATTTATTTTAGAATATTATAGATCAAGCAGATAAATAATAAGCAAGAATACAGGTTGTCTGAATAATCCAATTAACAAGTTCAGTTGTATTTATATGAATGTATTCCAAAGGTTTATATTATGCATATTCTCTTTATATTATATATAGAAGAGAATATACCCATTGAATGTTTACCAAAAGCTATCATATACATGTATCTGTCCACAAAATAAGTATAAATGCTAAAGAATAGAGATTCTGTGAACTAGATGCTCTGACCATAATCTATTAAAACTGGTAATCCATGACTTTTCAAACTGGTAATCCATGACTTTTCAAACTGGTAATCCATGACTTTTCACTTCCTCTTCAACAGGCCACCTGAATTTTCCGAATTGTTTTCCAGTTTTTGGCTTCTAAGGCTTTCTTGGTGGTAAAGCCCACCTTGATTACAAACAGTCATCAACAGTGAGAAAAAACCACATTTGTTTAACACACACTTAGATAGCACTCTATGTGCCAGGACCACTTCTAAGTGCTTCACAAATAAACCCAATGAGAATTTAGGCCTTAACTAGGAAAAGAGCAATAAGAAGTTTTTGAAAAAGGGTCCCTTCTCCTCCACATACTGATAATTTTAAGAGGTAAATTTTAAAAAATGAGATTCCGTTCTTTGCTTATCAGATTACAAAAACAAAATACAAATGAAAATATTTAGAGTGACATACAGGAAAGAAGTACATTCATCACCTTCAGCAGGAGTGTGCATTGGATTGACCACTCAGAAGGGCATTTTGGGAGTATGATTTTTTAAATCCTTTAAATTTGAAAGTTTAACGCAGTTTCACCTCGGGAAACAGGAATAATCAAGAATGTGTTCAAACCTTTGCTACATGAATTTCATTTCAGCTCTTTGCAACAAGATGGAAACAAACTATTCTAAAATAGGAGATTAATTAAATAAATTATAGAGACCTATACAGTGACTTACACTACAGTTTAGCAGTTAATAGCATGGATTCTGGCCCCAAACTACCTAGTTCTGAATCTCCGCTGTGTTTCTTAACAGATTTGTGACTTTGGACCACTTAACTTTCCTTTCCTTAAGTTTTCTTGTCCTATTCTATCACCTATAAAAATTCTGAATAATAATAGTACCCATCTTGCTGGGTTGTATAAAGCCTGGGCAGGCTACCCTGGCACATAGTAAGTGTAATCTGAGTATTATGTAGCTATTGAAAGGGGGTAGTAACATATTTAGTCATATGGGAAAATATTTATAACACATTAAGTGAAAAGAACAGATTTCAAGATAGCAATAGATATATGACATGACAAATTTTGTTGACATATAGAGACATGCATTATCTCCATATAAATGTATGAGATGTTTCAAAGGATACACATTAAGGGTTAATTATCAAGGCTATTCGTAGTGTATTTCTGGTGAAATTCAGGGCTTTTTTTCTTCTTCTTAAAGTTCTTTTGATTTTCTGATTTTTCTGAAATGAGAATGTTCTGCTTTTGAAATAAAGAATAAAAAGTCATTTCTTAAATAAAAAAGCCTTATTGACTGTATAGATCTAAGTGGAAACTTGAGGGATGAATAAGAAGTCTATCCTTTCTTAGCACTAATATTTGAGTCTCTGAAAGAGTGCAGTCAAATCATTTTTATATGAAAAATATTTATCTGATTTTTCACTTTAATACATACATTTCTAATACCATGTTTTAAATTATTTAGTGAAAAAACACTATTTGTAGAACTGAAATTTTCTATCTAAAGAACTGAAAATAATTGGATCTCAAAACTGTTTTGCTTATCTTAAAACTGTTCCCTGGTAGTTTCAGACAAAGGAGAACGCTATACCACCCGGAAGAACATGGTGGCCCAGTGTGGACGTGAAGGCAGCCAGAGAGATATGTAGAGAAAACAGCTTTCTGGAAAAAGGACTCATAGACTGCTGGTTAGGGCTCTTCGAAAAGAAAGGGTAGCATGTGCAAAAAGGAGATCTATTCTGTAGTCCATCTCTGGAATGTAAAATCCAATATTTACACAAAGGCTTAGCCCAAGGAAGGCATATTTTTGAACCTCAGTTGTAAATACTTGGTAACTGCCTAACAACGCACATAAAATGGTTTAGAATACCCACAGAAAAGCATGCTCCCTGACAGAGCCTTGTACAGAGTAGTAGTGACTTCACAGCCTGTATCTTTGCCACTGTATTAGTTTCACGCCTTCAATCACAATTGCTTGCAAGAATTCTATTGCCTCCAGCACTCTAGGTAAAAGCCACAGAGACTTGGCAAATCAATTTTCCCCCAAGAAACGATGAATATTGTGTGAGGCAACAGTTTCTTTTTGCCATGCCCCGAGGCAAAAAGTGGCTCTTCCACCTCATTGCAGTGAAAACCTGCCATGTTGATGAGCCAGCCCACGGCACAAAAAAGCCAACATCTCTTCCATATTAGCAACGTCATGTTGGTAGTGTAAAATCAACTATGTATTTACACCATAGAAATTGGCAAACACTACAAATAAGAATTTGTTTTTGTTTTTTTTGAGAGCCGGTTTGTCAGCACACCACTGTATATACTTCAAGCTTGTCTGACTCGCCTTATTTTGTTACTGTTCATTTTGTTTTGTTTTAGGCTTTTAGCAGCTTGAAGCCATGGATTTCAGTTTCTGTCTCTAGTGATAAGTGGAAAAGGGGAATGGGGAAAGGGGCTTTACCAGCTCAACCAGAAACAGAAACTAAGAACCCATGCCAGTATTCCCTCCCTTGGACAACCCTAAATCATCTCTAGATTACTTATAATACCTAATACAATGTAAGTACTATGTAAATAATTGTTACACTATACTATTTATGGAATAATGACAAGGAAAAAAGTCTTGACATGATCAGTACAGGCTCAATTATTTTTTTCTCAAGTATTTTCGATCCAGTGTTGGTTGAATCTATTTACGCAGAACCCATGCATACAGAGGGCTGACTGTATATCCTCTCTCTCACTCTCTGGTATAACTGCCCATCATTTATTTTAAAACTAGATTTGTTTTTAACTTAATCTGACAGTTTTTCCCCTTATCACAGGGAAATTTGGGCTATCTACATCTATTGTGTTAACTGACATAGTTGGCTTTATTCCATCCATATTGTGTATATTTCTAGTTGTAATAAACCATTTTTTCTTTTTACCTTTTATAGATTTATATTTCCTTTAATAGCTTAATTCCAAATTGCCAGTTAATTTGGATATTTTGCTATGCTTCTCCATTTTGCAAACTGTTACCTTACTATCTTTCATCCCATGTAAACCAAGATTTGTCCATGATTAAGTCAAAATTAAGTAACTGTGATTCCCCATCACCTCACTACATTCCTCAAAATGCTTTACTTACTAGTTACTATCTCTTGGAAATTAAGAAGCGCCATTCTAAATAACTCCGAGATCAAATAGGAAATTAAATGTATAAATTATCTAGATATTAATACAGAGAGCCACTTTATACAAATGTATTGCTTTTAAATATGATTGTGTAGGTTAGCTAGGAAACCCAAGTGCAACATGGTTCCCACTAGGAATACTATTCTTAGATGGAACTTGGAAAAACAGGAAAAATTATTTCCCTTTTCCTTATCCTGCATGCATGACCTAGACCCCTGATAAAAACAAAAACAAAAACAAAAACAAAAAACCTCTCAGCCTCTCATACACTTTAAAAGCTAACTCACAATGGTGATCAGATCAGAAAAGAAAGAGGGGGCTTTTTTTGCACTTAAGTGCAAACATCCAGGATGGCTCTGGTGGACTGTTGTTAAGTTCTCAACATCCAATAATTTCAGGGTGTCTTTATTCCAGTATTAAGTTACAAATTTCATTTGGAAATTATTAATTAATAATGAAATTTATAACTTAATACTGGAATAAAGACACAGAGACTCTTTGGCTCTTTAAAAAAATTTTTTTTCAAGAACATGAAAGCAACTCCTGTATCTAAGATTAAAGTCACAAGTTGCCTTTAAACTTTACTGGAAGATAAATACAACCAGCGGCGTTACCATCTATTCCTTAGCCTGCAGGACGCCTTGGGAGGGTAAAAGCCGTTCTTGTTACATGTACACCATTAAGCAGCATTAGTACATGTTCACTTCAAGGGAGCACCTGTGGCTCAGCAGCAGCAACACTGAGAGTCAGGTTCAGCCAATGGAATCAGGGTGACTGGGTTCAATCTCCTGCATGTGAATTCTGCTTCTTGATGCCGTAGGCAAAATAATGGTCCTCTAAAATGTCCATGCCCGAATCCCCAGAACCGGTGATTTTGCAGATGTGATTAAAGTTATAGACCTTGAGATGGAGAGATTATCCTGGATTATCTAGGTGGGCCCAATTTAATGACATGAGTCCTTAAAAGCAGAGGAACTTTCCTGACTGTGGTCCAAGGGAGATGTGATGACAGAAGAAGGATCAGAGAGAAGCCACATTGCTGGTTTTGAAAATGGAGGAAGGAAATGGATTCTCCTTTAGAGCATCCGGAAAGGAACTCAGCCCTGTTTGTTGGACTTCTGACCTACAGGAGTGCAAGGTAAAAAATCTATGTTGTTTTAAGTTGCTAAGTTTTTTGTACTGTTTCATGGCAGCAATAGAAACCTAACACACCTGAGAAGGCAGTTGGTTAAGAGCTGGATGCTTACCACCTTTGGCGGTGGTCGGATTGCTTCACCTGATATTTTGTAAACCTGCTCAGAATATGCATCTCCTGGTCTCCTTTTAAGTTGGAGAGAGGAAAGCCTTAGAGGAAAGGCAAAACGACCACAAAGAATATAAAGAATCTGGCCCACTACAACAATGTGAACACATTTCAAGGTTGAATTAAGGAACAAGAATGGGGTATTCAGTTCTTTTCATCCACATGTGAATTATGTAAAGCATCTGACCACCTGATGAACTAGGAATTCTGTGAGACTGAGCTGGTTCAACAGCCCCTCCTGCCAATCACCAAGAGTGAAGCTTCTCCGTCAGTCTGGAATCAACTACTAAGTTTCAATAACATCTTAAAAGTTGGGACAGGGAGGAGATTTTAGGTTTCTTCAGAGCAAGTGGCTATGGTTCAGTTCAGAAGCCTAAAGTGATGTATGTTTTGGATACTAAAGTGGTCCATTCCAGCTTAACTGTTCTTATCATCAGCTAATGTCTTCCCCTGAAATACCAGCTTATTTAAACTTTTACTTTACATTAGAAAAAGCTACAGTTTTCTCAAAGGCACGGGGTCATTAGAAATGCCTGGGAAATGTTAATCACAAGATCTGAATTTAGAAGGCCTTACCAGGCCTTTACAACACCGATGCAAAGATTGGCACAGCTTCTTTAAAAACAAAGGGGGGCACAAGTGAGAGACCACTACCCAGTAGTGGACTGACAATTTGGAGTGCTGGTCAGCACATGGAACATCTAGACCCTCACATGTTGCTACTGAGAGTGTTAAAATGGTAAAACCAATTGGGAAAACTGGCTCTTCCTAATAAAGTTAAACGTATCCCAACTCTATGTGATAGCATATGTCCACGAAAGACTTGCATACGATGTTCATAACAGTTTTATTTATAATAGCCCCAAGCTGGAAACAGCTCAGATGTCTACCAACAGTAACATGCATAAATAAACCGTGTGTATTCACGCGATTCAATACTGCTGAGCAACAAAAAAGAGGAAGCTAATGATACATGCAAAATGTGAATGCTTTTAAAAACACTATGTTGAGCAAAAGAAGCCACACAGCCAAATAGTACATGCTGTATTTAAATGAAGTTCAAGAACAGTTTGATGGCGATGGAAGGAGGCACCAGGTTGACTGGCAAGTGTCATGAGGGGATTCTCTAAGGTATGGAATGGCCTGTCTCTTGATCTGAGTGGTGGTTACACGAATAATTTTTTTTAAGTTTATGTAACTGCAAACCTCAGATTTGTATATTTTATTATAAATTATATTTTTAAATAAACTTTTTTTTTTTGAGGCGGAGTCTCTCTGTCACCCAGGCTGGAGTGCAGTGGCGCGATCTCAGCTCACTGCAAGCTCTGCCTCCCGGGTTCACACCATTCTCCTGCCTTAGCCTCCTGAGTAGCTGGGACTACAGGCGCCCGCCACCACGCCCAGCTAATTTTTTTTGTATTTTTAGTAGAGACTCTAAATTTAAATTTAGAGTATTTTTAGTAAACACGGGGTTTCACCGTGTTAGCCAGGATGGTCTCGATCTCCTGACCTCCTGATCCGCCCGCCTCGGTCTCCCAAAGTGCTGGGATTACAGGCGTGAGCCATTGCACCCAGCCAAACTTTTAAATATATAACAGGATAAAGTATATGCGGATAAAGTCTCTTTATTAAGACCTTAACTGTGCAAGAAAAAGTAAATATTTCCTCGGATGGTCTTATATTTTCAGTTGGACCTCTGAATTTAAATAGATATCCACAAAATCCTCAAGCCACTTATAATTGACCAACAGAAATAGTTGACTGAATTTTCTTTAATATTTGATGCTGGTGCCCCTCACTCAGAGGCTGTTACTGCATTTGCTGAAGACTCTACCATCTCTCATGCCCTTCTCCTCTGGCTATGTTGTCACCTTTTCTTCTGTTGCCTGTACCCGGCAGCACCCGACATCTAGTCCCATGGTAACTGCCTACTCTGGTCTGTGCGCCCTCCCACAATGACATAATTTTATTTATGCCTACTTTGAGAAGTGGCAATTCCTCAGAGGGATCAGGAGTGACTGGAGCCCTGGAGTGAGGGATTGGACAACATGTATCCTCTGCTCATACTTTTACCCACTCTGAGAAGTGTCCTGCTTTTTAGAAAGGTTCAAATGCCGTAAAGCTTGTGGTACACATCTCCCATTTCTAGTCAACTCATGATGCCCTAAGTTTTTAAGAACTTGTGTGTAGATGTGCATGGTTTCTTTACTTTGATTATGAGTTTGAGAAGCGTGTGAACCTTTCATATTAATGATGAACCACAGATTCCTTCTCTGTTAGTACTAACATTACATTTACAAAGCCTGAATTTAAATGACCCTTAACTCTTCCGCTTACTACCACTGCTTCAATTATTCTGAAAATAAAATACAACCTTATTCTAATATCTGATCATTTTCACTGGCAAAGGAGAAACTCTCTGAGAGATCTCAAATAGCTTCTATAATAGATTTAGGTTTTTTCATACCTAGTGTTGAAAGGCTTATTAGGATTCAGTACTTATAGGTCAATTTCCTTCCACAACAAAATTAGTAATAACTGTCAATATTATTCAGAAAAATGAATTTAAGCCACGTCTGATTTCTTTTCACCTTTTCCCTCAGCATCGTTGTCAATCCATTTCCATGCAGTGAATTGCAGCTCCAGCCTAGGGAAAATAGGAATGGTTTCCATGACAACAGTTTTCTCTCTGCTAGTTAGAATCTAAGATTTGACTCCCATGAAAATAAATCTCACCATGGGAATTAGTTGATTTTGTAAATGACAAAATAACTGTGCAATCATTTCCAAAGAAAAGGCTGTGATAAGCTTGCACATGCAAGGGCGGGTTACACGAGGTGATTGCTGAAGCTGCCGCTAACATCACACACCCAGAACAAAGTGCAGGGAAATGCCTGCTTTGAGCTGCAGCCCACTCTGCTCCTCGCCCAAGTGTGAGCCCACAGCCTGGCCCTCTTAGGAATGTCAATGATGTTTCAATCTCAGGTGTAGGGAATAGGTTTTAAAGCATCTCATAGCAAATGACAAGGATTAACCCCCAACTGCCTTTCGCCTGATTTCCAGCAACATTAGTTCCTTGAAAAGATGAGACTCCCAGGGCAGTTCTTAAGGCAGCCAGTATGGTATGAATTTAATTTCTCATTATCTATTTCTCTGTTAAGATTAGGTGCTGCTATTGTACAATAGCACTCTTTTCTCTTTACTATTATTTCTTCTTCTGAGTAATCTGTCTTATTTTATTGCTTAAAAATACATAGAACCATTTTGTTTTAAAAAATTTTAAAGCCTAATATGATGTTAAGTGTTTCAAATAATGTTTAATAAACATGTTTTCCCAATAACATTTATATAAAGAATAATGCCTACTTGTAAGAAAAAATTGCTATCAATCTAGTGGTATAAAATTAATAAACTGAATTCCATGTAACCTTGTATCGCCGAATCCATTAAGCCAGGGTTTTCTTCAGAACAATGTGGCTCACTGCTGGAGCAGGAAGCTCTGTCGGAGTGAGGTGGCATCCTCAGCACAGGTCTGAGGGGGATGAGTGCATAGTTTTGAATAAGGATGTGAATATTCAAGACCATGATGCAGGCCCTCTGCAAAATGCAAAGTTGATAGCTAAATCAACTCCCTCACTCCAGCATGATGATGCATTATGCTAAGTGAGCTGGTTTTTCAAAGCCGTTGCAAGTATGTGACAGAAATCCCTCAAGACCCAGCCTGTCGTTGTCCCTACCCAGCAGAAGATAGTTATGGCCAAATCTGGTAAAGCCTGCATCTCCATTTTGTGCACTTCCCTTGTCCCCTCAGCCTATCCTCTGGTGCCAGTCTCCTCTTCCTTCCTCCTCTCAAAGCTTAGGAAGGATCTGAAACCTGTCACTTAAGAATGATTGGCCAAATACCCCATTCTCCTTTCAGTGAAATTCACTCACATTAAAATTTTAGCTAAACCAAAGATTTCCCTTTTAAATCTTTTATTTCTAGTTGTAAAGTGAAATACTTTGTCTGTAGTTAAAGAAGTAATTTTCATTAATGTTGAGAAGAGAGGGAACAGTTTTGGTCAGGAAAGGGGACCTTAAAATGACATTAATTTTACCCTGATGTTACAAAGGTAAACCCGATATTATCTTTTTAGGATGAAGTCTCTCTTTTCCCATCCCTTACGTTGAACATCTTCTTCCTTGGGGGAAGAGCATCCCTCTAAGGTCATGGAGGCTTAGTCTTATTTGCAGGTAGGGGTGGAGGAACTGGTGTCCCTTCTTCATGAGCTTTGCCAGGACCCCAAGACTAACCTACTCTGGTACAGACCTGCTCCTGGCAGTTCCTCTTATTCCAGATCCATTCTCAACCTTCTCTGGGTAAACACAACCTCCCCTGCCTCCTTTAACCTTCGTTCTACTCTGTTCTAGGAATGTAGGTATGTAAATATATACATATACATACATGTCTCTATATATCTATTCCTGGCATAAAATGTTATCCAAGCTGGTGGTTAATAATGTTAATAGCATAACTTGCTTATAAGAGGTCCTAAAATGTATACATGATATAGTGTTTCTTCCTCTGAATTTCTAAGAATGTTGTTATTGGACTGCTTTGGTTTTGTGACAATTGTCTTCCCAAATGTCTTGTACTTAGAATATCACCTTTTGCTCATTTCTATTATATATTTTGAATGACAGAACTCAGATATGCTAATGGATAATTAACTGGAGTTATGTATAAAAAGAAGAGAGGAAGAAGGAAAAATGGGGAAGGAAAGAAAGCTCAGAGTGTATAGACTCTATGGCCTTGAGAGCAGAAGGCAGCTGAGACATGCAGCCGGAGGAAGGAGTTTCCAAAGGGGGTCGGCGGGGAATAGTGGGAACAATGAAGGGAAGAGAAAGGTCAAGAGATACACAGAGAATGGAGAACAAGTTGGAATCAAATATTAGGCCAGCTGGGGTAGTGCTGAAATGCCTGTTGGCCCCATAAACACACTTAAGCAGTTCTATCTACAGCCTATCTGTGGCCCAGGAAGCTAATTAGTGTGTCCTCACCTAGGACCAACTCTGAGGGACTAGGGGAGAGTGATGTCACAGAAGTTTATATGAAATTTGGATGGGAAACTAAATATTAGGATTCATGACCTAGAGAACTTTTATCCCTTTCTATGGGATATGCACAGAGTTAACAGAACTGTGCAGCTCACTAATTATATGAATTCTTTTTAGTTCTCTAGCAGCAGAATGAAACTGAGAAGAGCTGGTAGCCGAGATATGTGTCAATGTAGGAATTTTCCAGAATTTCCTTTCCAAAGGCATAGGGCAGTGGTCCTGTTTGGTTTAACATTTTTATTTTAATGCAGTATAGAAAGCTTAAAGCTCAAGAGGCCAAATACATGTGCATACGTTTAAATTATTATTATATTAAATCTGGTCATATTGATTCTTACTGAATCAATGCATATATTTAAGTTAAATGACATATTTAGGATCCAAAGAGAATCTGATAGACTGGAGCAATGGTCTAAATTGAATCAGGTTACGTGTTCTGTCCATGATGAAATTAAATTTTTAAACAATTTTTAATTTGTTTTTAATTTTTAAAAATTTAAAAAATTTGCACAAGTACTAGACTGTAACATGTGATTTTACAGAAACATGTAAGAAGATTTAGTGATTTCAGACAGCAGATTCAACAGGGGTCCACAGAGTGATATGGATGCAGAAAAAAATTAGGTTGCACTGATGAAGGAGATATCCTTTGGAAGGGTCAACAATCCAAATTGTTGCAGGGGCTACCAACTGCCTTCTAAATATCCAAGAAGAAAGCCTCCTCTTCTTCCATCCTAACCCATCCCTATATTATTCCAAGCAGCAATGTACCTGGCTAAAAATAATTTCTGAACCTCCTCTGCAGCTAGGATTAGCCACTGAGATGTAGATGATGTTTTTGAGAGGGGTTTCTGAGAAAGTCCTTTAAAGGGAACTGATTCAGATGGGTGGTGTTGGTGCCATTTTGCCCTTTCCCCATTTTATTCTTTCTGCCCTCTGAGTCATGGCCTTAACGACTGGAACTCAAGCAGCCATTTTGAACCATGAGGCAACTTAGAGAATGGAAACTTCAGGCCAAGGATTGTGGACCAGGAAGAAGTAACCTAAGTCCCGGATGACAGTGCAGCCACTGTATGCTGACTTCCTTTCATTGTATTTATATTATGTGAGTGAAGAATAAATCATGAGTTTAAGCCAACCTTGTTTTGTTATATGGCTAAACCTAATCTAACTTGTACAAGAGGCCAGTAAAAAAATGAATGAGATGGGCTAGATAAATAACTGCCACTCCCACCACTCCCTATCATCTCCACTAAGTGAGAGTTTCTGTCGGCAGTCATTTTTGTTTTGTTTTTTTCTTTTAAGAAAGAACAATCCAGGCTATCCTAACATCAGCCTAATATTATAGCTGTAGTATACCTTAGGGTTGGTGAGGATGGTGTTGAACTGGATAATTTATTTGTCTAAGAGGGCGGTTGGTTCTCAACTTCTGTTGATTGTCATGTGAAAATATGGAAAAAAAAATCAAATACTGCATAGTCTGACATTGTCGGGAGCTGTTCAAGACTCATTGGTGGGATTGCTTCAGCCTGCAAGCCACCAGCTGCTCAGCTGGTGAGCTGGCGTCTGTGATGAGAAATCAGAGACTCCTTCCCCTGTGAGCATCATGTCTGGTCCTGGAGATCCTCCTCTGAGAGGAACTGAGATATATGGGACAGAGTGAGATATCAGAGTCATCTCTAAATATTTGAAGAACACAAAATTTATCTTGTGTGTCCCTGTGAGGGTGACACTCAGACACATAAAACAATCTTTCTTATGACAAGACAGATTTCATTTTAACGTAAGATAGAACTTTCACCTTTTAGAGCTACCAGGATGGGCTGCCTGAAGAGGGGCTGAGTCACCTGACCCTGGAGGTTAGGGACAGGATGTCAAGTTTCAGTTGGAGTATTGTAGAGGGCATTTAAGACCTCACTGGTGTGGGTTACCTGGAAGGTCCCTTCCAACTGGATGTCCTATGATTCAAGGAACAATGTAGCATAAATCCACATTGGTAAAGAGTAAATGTGAGATTACTGTCATTATTGTGGCATTGTTTGCTTTATCTTTAATACCTTCATTAAAAGTGAGAGGGCAGATCTAGTAATCTGGATGTTTGTCAGAAAAAGGAAATTCAATGGCCCCAATCAGATTCTTCTATGAGCTTGATTATAACAAATAGGTCCATTATTTGTAATAAATAATTTTTTTCATTCACCTTTCTTTGGTCATTAAAGACAGACCTCAATTCAAGTGCAAAGAAGCAACAGTATGCGCAAGGAGGCATGTTCATGGATTTTTTGTAATGGTGAAGAAAATCCAGGAATCAACTTCAATTCCATCAACAGAAAAAAAAAGATAATAAATTGGAGAATACCCAAACAGCAGTTACAACAAACGAACCAGTGCAACACACATTGACGTAATGTATAATACTTGAAAATATAATGTTCGTTGGAAAAAAAAGCAAATTGCAATACGATAGAGAGGTAAAAATGCAGGCTTTGGAATGACCGCGTTTTAGAAATGGAGGACAGTTTAGTAGTAGCCAGGGATTAGGGATGGGGACAGGGGTGATGGGGTGGGGGTTGAACCAGGTTGGGTGGGCTAGAGATAAGTAGGTGTGGTTACAATAGGGCAACGCAAGGGACACTTGTGGGGCTGGACCTAGTTATTATCTTGACTGTGTGGTGACTACACAAACTTACACAGGTGATAGAATCATTTTGAACTCTCTCTCAACACACACATGCAAATGGGTACAAGGAAGATTGGGAAATGGGAATAAAATCAGTGTACTTTATCACTGTCAGTATCCAGCAATATTGTTACACTGTACTATGGTTTTGCAAAATGCTACCACTGGGAGAAACTGGGAAAAGTGTCGAAGGGATTTCTGTACATTAATTCTTACGATGGCATATGAATCTACAGTCATCTGAATTCGAAAAGAAAGAAACACCACTTCAAATGTGAAAAGCCTGGAAAATACTCTTGGTCTTCTATTCTATAATGGAGAATTTTAAAAATTTCATTCTCAGAGAAAAATAAGGTGAATTTCATTAATAAAATGACCTTAAAAGCCAAGGATAAAGAATGCAGACTTTGGAACCAGACTCCTGAAACTAAATTCTGGCTTTCCCATGTATTACCCGTAAAACCCTGGGCAAATTAAAAACTCTATACCTTCGTTTCCTTCTTAGTAAAGTGGAATAACAACAGGATCCACATCATGGAGCTGTGAGGATTAACTGGCTCAATATATGTACAATGTTTTCAACAGTGCTTGGCATATCTTAAATGCCAGGAAAACCGTTGGCTCTTATTATATGAACATTATAAAGTTTGAAACAGGTGGTACTAGAATATGGAAACATGTATGTATAGTAAGACTGTAAAGAAATGCATAGGAGTGATAAACATAAACTTAAGATAGAGTCACCTTTGAGGATGGGGACGGGGATACATGGAGTGTCATTTATCTGCATAGTGTGTTGTTTCTCAAGTCCTGTGACGGTATCTGCCTCTGCTTGAGCTGGGGTTGACACTTGTGTTTACCATGAAGGTCCTATGTGGCTTTAAGTCTCTGGGCCTTTTAACATTCTGTCCCTTTTTTCCTAGAATTCCCTTTCCCTGTCTTCCCAGCAACTCCAATGTCATCTTTCAAGCCCTAACTCAAGCATTACCTCCTCTGAAACTCTGTCCTTGACTTGCCCCACCCCAGGTAAGACAGTCAGTCATCACTCTGACAGCATCTGGGCCACGGCATTCATTTCATCATGGCTGTTTCCCACTGGAGCTCCTTGAGGATAAGGACAGGTGTGTGGACCCATAGGTGACTTTTGAGGAATGAACACAGAGCTTAGAAAACCATTCGGTGCAATGAGGACACCATAGGACTGATTTGTTCCCAGAGATATTATAAAGTTAGAAACCAAGAGAGGACACTCTGCAGCAAGTTATTTGACTTACCTCTGATGTAAATGTTCATGATGCACCTAACACTTGCAAGGCAGTGATCCAGACTCTGCAGTACAAAGGTAAGTAGGATAAGGCAACATACCCAAGGGAGGTATGGTCTAGTACAGGAAAGAAACGCATATAACAATCTGTATCAGGTAAAAAAGAATATGGCCAATGAAGAGGTGCCAACCCAATGCTATGGGCAATGCACCTTAGAAAACAAGAACAAAGCTTTCAATTGGGGGAACACACAACTTTTAAACACAAATTTATACTTCATTCACATTAAAAGAACAATCCATTTTTAGTATAAATATTCTCATACAGTTTATCTTTTTAGAAATCTCCTTAGCAGTGAGCCAAGTTCGCACCACTGCACTCCAACCTGGGCGATACTGTGAGACCCTGTCTCAAAAAAAAAAAAAAATCCCCTTACCAAATCCGTTAAGTGCATAGTAAATGCCCTCCTTTAGGTATGTAAAAGTAATGTTTTTGGCTCTAATTAATAGCTTGCTCCAAGGTGCCATTTCTTAAATTCTACTCACACAAGACTATTCTCAATGTTAGAACAATGAATATACAGCTACACCAAGTTAAACCCCCAACTATCTGAAAGTGCAGAGGTTTTCAGGGTTAAACAGTTTCCTAAAAGCTTTGGGAAAATTCAGTGCACGGGCAATCTCTGCCTTGTGAATGTCTATCTGTACAGGCTTTAGAGGCTGTGCTGATACCATGTAGCTCTGTTCCTGAGATCAGTCCTGACAGTTCTCAGCTTACAGACCCTGTGGATAGGAGCCACATTCATTGTGATGGTCTAGGAAAAGACAGTGAGCATGGTATCAGGATGCTGAGTAAGTGTTTCTTTATGCTTTCTTCTTGATGGAGCACAGTTAAGAAAGTTCATGTGTTTGTCTGCCTGTCCATCCATCAAATCCTGAGTGTGTCCTAGTGAAAGTCATTGGTTAATTACTAGTGACATAAAGGCCAATATGACCCAGACTCTGCCCTCAAGAAGCTGGGGATCCTAGGCACATAAACAAATAAAAGTGTTACTGTGCTTTCATAGGTGTGTGTCTAGGGTGTCGTGTAATCAATGAAAGGAAGCACCTGGTTCTACTTTGGGTGAGGTGGTTTAACAAAACATCCCATCTCGGGGGCCGGGCGCAGTGGCTCACGCCTGTAATCCCAGCACTTTGGAAGGCCGAGGCAGGCGGATCACGAGGTCAGGAGATCGAGACCATCCTGGCTAACACGGTGAAACCCCATCTCCACTAAAAATACAAAAAATTAGCTGGGTGTGGTGATGGACGTCTGTAGTCCCAGCTACTCGGGAGGCTGAGGCAGGAGAATGGTGTGAACCCAGGAGGCGGTGCTTGCAGTGAGCCGAGATCGCACCACTGCACTCCAGCCTAGGTGACAGCATGAGACTCCATCTCAAAAAAAAAAAAAAAGGAAACATCCCATCTTGGCCTTATCATTTACATGAACATAGTTTAGTGTAAGCACCGTTATGTGGTTTTCTTGTTCTTTTTCAGATGGAGTCTTGCTTGGTCACCCATGCTGGCATGCAGAAGCGCAGTCCCGGCTCACTGCAGCCTCTGTCTCCCAGGTTTAAGTGATTCTCCTGCCTCAGCCTCCTGAGTAGCTGGGACTACAGGCATGCGCCATCACACCCGGCTAATTTGTTTTTGTATTTTTAGTAGAGACGGGGTTTCGCCAAGTTGACCAGGCTGGTCTTATTTTGTTTTACAGATTGAAAAGATTATACCAGGTCTCACTGTGACTTGCAGTACTGTGAATGCTTCTTAGCAGTTAGGGTCTGTGCGTGCAGTGGAGTCTTGCCTTACCTAATCCTTTCAGGCACATCTACTACAGGGCTGCCACGATTGCTCAGCACAACTCAGGAATGACCTTCAGAAAGAGTTACCATCCATTTGTTTGTTCATTCCTTCATTCAACAAATATAGTGTATGTGTAAGTGTAATAATATATAATATAGGCCGGGCGCAGTGGCTCATGCCTGTAATCCCAGCACTTTGGGAGGCCGAGAGGGGTGGATCATGAGGTCAGGAGTTCAAGACCAGCCAGGCCAAAATGGTGAAACGCCATCTCTACTAAAACTACAAAAATTAGTTGGGTGTGGTGGTGGGTGCCTGTAATTCTAGCTACTCGGGAGATTGAGGCAGAGAATTGCTTGAACCCAGGAGGCAGAGGTTGCAGTGAGCCGAGATTGCACCACTGCACTCCAGCCTGGGTGACAGAGCGAGACTCTGTCTCAAAAAAAAAAATAAAATAAAATAAAAATAAAAAGATTATTATTATTTACAATAATCTGGGCAGAGGAAATGGCTCTGGTATGTGTAAAAGGTGACAAAAAATGTGTGGCTGGAGGGGTTGGGTGCATTAAGAGTGGAAAGAAAGGAGTTCAGAGTGACAAGCTAAATCACATAGGGATTTGTAGGCAAGAAATTTTGGAAGTAAACGATGCAGAGCCGTGAGACAGTTTTTAGTGGGGGATTGATATTGATCTGATTTACTAGTTACATACAAAGAGTATTAAATCACCATATGGCCATAGGACACCCTTCTTACAGAAGACTGTATTTTCCAAAGATGGCCATACCTATGTATTTATCCCTTTCCAAATGTGCCTGATATGGTTTGGCTGTGTCCCCACCCAAATCTCATCTTGGATTGTAGCTTCCATGTGTTGTGGGAGGGACCTGGTGGGAGATAATTGAATCATGGGGGCAGTTTTCCCCATACTGTTCTCGTGGTAGTGAGTAAGTCTCACGAGATCTGATGGTTTTACAAGAGGAATCCCCTTTCACTTGGTTCTCATTGCCTCTTTGCCTGCCACCATGTAAGACATGCCTTTCGCCTTCCACCATGATTGTGAGGCCTCCCCAGCCACGTGGAACTGTGAGTCCATTAAACCCCTTTTTCTTTATAAATTACCCAGTCTTGTGTATGTCTTTATCAGCAGCATGGGAACAGACTAATACAATGTCTTTAACAATGTGACCCTCCAACAGCAGAGGGTCTATGTTTCCCCTCCTCAAAACTGGGCAGTGGCTTGGGACTGTCCCAACCAAAAGAATATGACAGATATGATCCTATGTGCCTTCTGAAGCCAGGTCATAACAAGAATACAGCTTCTGGCTGGCTTCTTCTCCCTCACTCTCTCTGTTTTTCCCTCCATCCCCCTCTCCACCCCTCTTCCTTTCCCTCTCCTTTTCTCCCTCCCATTTCTTCTCCTTGGATGCTCCCCATTGGATCTCAGCCAGCACCAACCACCTTGCCAGCCACGTGAGTGAGCCACCTTAGACAGGGATTCTACAACCCTACTCAAGCCTTCAGATAACTATAGTAGCAACTGGTATCTGAATGCAACCTCACGGGAGACTCCAACAGAACCACCAAGCCAAGCCAAGATGCTGCTGATTCCTAAGCACAGAAACTGTGAGAGATAATGAGTTGTTTTTAGTTATTAAGTGTCTGAGATCTAGATTTCAGGAAGGCTTTGTAGTTCAAGGTAAGGATCTTAGATTTAACTCTAAGCATGATGAAAAGTCATTGCAGAGTTTTAGTAAGGAATTCATATGTTCTGGTTCACCAGTTACAAAAAAATATTATCATACCCAGATAACTATAGGAAACCTTCGTTGTTCCTGAAAATTTCCTATATCTTTTGTCTTTGCAAGAAAGGAAGAGAACAGTGAGAGAGGGGAGAGAAAGAGAGCTCAAAAGACACAGAT
Source organism: Homo sapiens (assembly GCF_000001405.40). Classification (NCBI taxonomy): domain Eukaryota; kingdom Metazoa; phylum Chordata; class Mammalia; order Primates; family Hominidae; genus Homo; species Homo sapiens. The sequence continues at coordinate 51,051,306 of NC_000014.9, forward strand.
TGAAAAGAGAGCAAGGAAGGAAGAGATGAGACAAAGAAGCAGGAGCAGTTATTCTTCATTCCCTCTCTCTTTGGCCTGCCCAAGGACCCTCAGAGGACCTGTGAACCTCTTAGCCAAAACTAGCACTGTGGAAAAAGGGTGGAAGAGGAATTTGGGACAGGTCGGGTGAGGGCAGGCAGTCTTACCTCGTAGGCCTTTGCTACATGTTAAGGATGGGAGATTTTTACACAAAGAACCCAGGAAGAGATGCATTTATATAGCTTGTTATTGTGGGTGTAATTAGCAGAGGAGTATAATGCAATTAGCTATTAATAAATCACCCTAAACTGAGATTGATAGTGAGCTATACCATGGGATACCCAAAGAAAAAGATGGAATAGGCCGGGCGCAGTGGCTCACACCTGTAATCCCAGCACTTTGGGAGGCTGAGGCGGGTAGATCACTTGAGGTCAGGAGTTCAAGGCCAGCCTGGCCAACATAGTGAAACCCCATCTCTACTAAAAATACAAAAATAAGCCAGGCATGGTGGCATGTGCCTGTGATCCCAGCTACTAAGGAGGCTGAGGTGAGATAATTGCTTGAACCCAGGAGATGGAGGTTGCAGTGAGCCGAGTTTATGCCACTGCACTCCAGCCTAGGCAACAGAGACCCTGTCTTGAAAAGAAAAGAAGGAAAAGAGAAGGGAAGGGAACGGAAAGGAAAGGGAGAGGAAGGGAGGGGAGGGGAGGGGAGGGAAAAGAAGAGAAGAGAAGAGAAGAGGAGAAGAGAAGAGAGAAAAGAAAAGAAAGGAATAGTCGAACCATCCAGACTTAGGGTCTTTTATATGACAGGCACAATGATCCAGCTACTGGATTCCATTAACATCATTATCTGACAACATTAAATTAATTATCTCAATATATATTTTTCCAAAATCATTAATATGGGGGAAAACGACCTATAAATAAATGTTGTAAAGCAAACTACCAACTCCCTATCACTTGAGGGGACGCCTTAAAAATAACAAAAGAGTCAAGGTCGGCGAATATAATAAGAAATTACTTTATAGTTAGTAACACCTCTTCAAAAACCTTTTTACCTCCTATTGTATATCTGTAGGAATTCCTCTTCTCCTGGGAATTAAATTTGATTATCAACAACCCCAGCCCCTGGAGTTATTTATTTTTGGCTGTTGTTGCTATTAGCGTCATTTAATTTATGTTTAATCCCTATGGATTTGATGTGAAATGGGAAGGAGACAGTGATCCTGATTGCCTGAAGCAGCACAGTCTGTCTGACATTTCATCTTTTCAATGATATGAGCCTCTGATTTAAAGTAGGAATTCTGATGCAGGCAGAGGCGGCCAAAATTCTATAACATTCAGTTTAGCTGCTGGCACCATGCATGCAGACCTCATTACTTACACAGATTCCTTTTTAGCCCCCTCTTTTTGACTCCAGACACAGACGTCATTGCCCATAAATCACTAGTTGTTGTGAGTTAGAGTTTGGTAGGTCTCCTCACTTTACTGGTGCACTATACGAGCCCCATACCTCATTGCTGCCACTGATGGAGAAAATTTGCCATTAGGCCAAGCATGGTGGCTCATGCCTATAATCCCAACATTTTGGGAGGCTGCGGTGGGCAGATCACTTGAGCTCAGGAGTTTCAGACCAGCCTGGGCAACATGGTGAAACCCTACCTCTATAAAAATGTACAAGGACAACAGCCAGGTGCGGTGGTGGGCACCTGTAGTCCTAGCTACTCCAGAGGCTGAGGTGGGAAGATCATTTGAGCCCAGGAGGTGGAGGTTACAGTGAGCCGAGATTGTGCCACTGCATTCCAGCCTGGGTGACAGAGAGAGACCCTGTTTCAAAAAAAAAAAAAAGAGAAGAAAACTTGTCATTTTACTATCTATAGAGTAAAAACAAAAGAAAAACGCAAAAAGAATCTTAAAAAATGTCTTACACAGAGCACTTTTATTTCATATTTATGAAATACTTAATTAATGATAATAAAATGAGTTTTATTTTAGGTCCTCCCACAGTATTTATCAAACCTTAAGAGTCCTAAGATGAGTCAGTGCACACTCATGATAGGAGATGCTTCAACTCAAATGCAGAAAAGTTCATTCAGTACTCAGTTTGTATCAGTTTGTAGTTCACACTCTGAGAATGTCTCAGACACACAAGCTCAACTATAAAACTGATCAGAACAGGTATTCTTTTTTTTTTTTTTTTTTTTATGCGTTAACATTACATTTATTTATTTATTTTTTTTTACTTTTTAATTTTCTTTTTTTTTTTTTAATTTTTTTTTTTTTTATTATACTCTAAGTTTTAGGGTACATGTGCACATTGTGCAGGTTAGTTACATATGTATACATGTGCCATGTTGGTGCGCTGCACCCACTAACGTGTCATCTAGCATTAGGTATATCTCCCAATGCTATCCCTCCCCGCTCCCCCGACCCCACCACAGTCCCCAGAGTGTGATATTCCCCTTCCTGTGTCCATGTGATCTCATTGCAGAACAGGTATTCTTATGGATGGTAAGAATTACAAATTATTGCCCAAAGTAAAGACTAACTATAAAATGAAAAGAAATATATTATGGGTAAGAGTGAATCTACAATGGTTTTGCTGTCTTAAAATCACTAATAAAGCATGTTATCAGTTTAATCAGCTACCATCTCTAAAGATAGATGAGTGGCCAACATTAACTTTTAAAATTGATTATCTTAAAACTTAGTAATTGAAGTCCAGAGGCTGTCACAGAATTAATCTTTCTTTAGAAATCATTTTGACATCATTAAAAAGTTAAAAAAAATTTTAGAGACAAGATCTCATCAGGCTGGCCTGGAGCTCCTGGGCTCAAACCATCCTCCCACCTCAGTCTCCCCAGCAGCTCGGACTATAGGTGTATTGCACCACGCCCAACCATTGACATCATTTGAGAGCATGATTTATGACTTATACAGAGGAGAAAGAATTGAATCCTATTTATACTCATTTGTTGTTGTTGTTGTCCAGGCTGAAGTATAGTGGCTCCATCTTGGCTCACTGCAATCTCTGCCTCTCGGGCTCAAGCCATACTCCCACCTCAGCCTCCCGAGTAGCTGAGACTACAGGCGTAGGCCACCATGCCCAGCTGTTTTTTGTATTTTTTTTGTTAGAGATGGGGTGTCATTATGTTGCCTAGGCTAGTCTGGAACTCCTGGGCTCAAGCAATCCGCCTGCCTCAGCCTGCCAAAGTGCTGAGACTGCAGGAATGAGCCATTGCCGCCGGCCAATGCTCTTTTTTGTTTTTTTTTTAGAAGGAGTTTCGCTCTGTCGCCAAGTTGGAGTGCAGTGGCGCGACTCACTGCAAGCTCCGCCTCCCGGGTTCAAGCTATTCTCCTGCCTCAGCCTCCGGAGTAGCTGGGACTACAGGCGCATGCCACTACGCCTAGCTAATTTTTGTATTTTTAGTAGAGACGGTCTTGACCTCGTGATCCACCTGCCTCGGCCTCCCAAAGTGCTGCGATTACAGGCGTGAGCCACTGTGCCTGGCCTCTTTTTTTGAGACGGAGTCTGGCTCTGTCGCCCAGGCTGGAGTGCAATGGTGCTATCTTGGCTCACTGCAACCTCTGCCTCCTGGGTTCAAGTGATTCTCCTGCCTCAGCCTCCTGAGTAGCTGGGACAACAAGCGCGCGCCACCAGGCCCAGCTAATTTTTGCATTTTCAGAGACAGGTTTCACCATGTTGGCCAGGATGGTCTTGATCTTGACCTCGTGATCCGTCCGCCTCGGCCTCCCAAAGTGCTGGGATTACAGGCGTGAGCCACCGTGCCCGGCCCTTATACTCATTTTTATATTCATTTGGTTTATTACTTTGAAGTTATGATATTGTTATTTCATTAAATCTAAAAGCCATCAACTGTAAGACACACCATTATTTTATATTCCAATAAGAAATAAAAGCACGGCCAATTGAAACATGAAAAAATGTTTTCTTATCACGTTGATTACAAGATATATCCTTGTATTCCACATTGATTGCAAATATTATAAAATGTGTGTGGTAGGTAGAATAATGGCACCCCAAACATCATGTCCACATCCTAATCCCTGGAACCCATAAATAGGTCACATGGCAAAAGAGAATTAAGGTTGCAAGTGGAATTAAGGTTGCTAACCAGTAAACACAGAGACTATCAAAATGTAATCACAAGTCTCTTAAAAGTGGTAGAGGGAAGCAGAAGAGAGTCAGGAGGGGATGTGACTACGGATGAATGGTTAGAGAGAAACAAGTTTGCTGGTTTTGAGGATGGAGGAAGAGGCTATGAGCCAAGGAATGTGGGTGCCTTCTAGAAGGTGGAAAAGGCAGGAAAATGGATTGTCTCCTAGAGCATTCAGCTCTACTGACACCTCGATTTTAGCCCAGCAAGACCCATGTCAGACTTCTAGCCTACAGAATTGTAAAACAGGATAAATTTGTGTTTGTTCAAGCTACTAAGTTTCTGTGATCTGTTATGACAGGGATAAGGAAACTAATACAATGTACATTTTAGAACCCATGAATACAATATAACTTGCACAAATTTGAAGTTACAATATTTATGTTTTACTAGATATATAAATTCATGAGCTTTATTAAGCTATTATTCATATAAATGTTTTAGACAATCTTGAAAAGTATAATGATGCAATCCTCTGCCACAGAAGACAACCTTCATCGGAATGTATAAATTCAGATAAGTATGTCCAAAAACTAACCTCACTACTCAATACTTCACCCATGTCTCTGATGTTTAGTTCACTTCTATTTATTACAGATGTACAAAAGCAAACGTCTACAATGGTACAAAAATTATGCATATGGATTAATAATCTTTGATAAGAAATTACAATAAGAAATTCAAATATTCTAAAACTTGTAAAGCCTCTGTAACCAGACCAGAAATTGGTCTATAATCAGCAATTCTTTATCCTGCAAGAGAATGAAAAATATTAATTGGTATTTATTTGTTTTTCAAATTAAAAAAATAAATTCATTGTGTTAACTGTGGGTCCAACCCACTAGAAAGTAAGTCTATACAAACATATGGTTTGCAACTATACTACTAAATACAAAGGTGAATTTCTAAAAACAAAACAAAATAAGCAAATTTATCATGAAATAATCCCCAGTGGCAGATATGCTATACTCTAGATCCCAGAGCTCATAATCTCAAATATAAAACCTGACATTCAACAAATAAGTCCAACATTTTCCAGGCAGTTTGGAAATGTCACTTCACATGTGCACAGTGAGCTATCCATCAGAGGGCACCCACTCTGAATACAAAATGAATGACCCAGGCAGGTGGTTTGCATCAACAGCTCAGCAAATCATCTAAGAAAACTATTCTTTTGCTATTCTTAGGCCATTATCCTTACTCCCAGTTTCACAATTCCAGGATCATAATTGCAACTGGCCCAATATCTTGATATTTCTGTCTGACAGTTTTTCTTCTTATATCTTTCTTTTCTCTATCATTGCTGTCTTGTCACACAAATACAATTTGCTGGAACCTTTCCCTTATCTTCCCTCAAATCAAAGGTCACTGTTTCCAGCTTCTGGAATCATGAGGCAGATATTTATTAAGGCAAAATAGAGATTTCAGGCAATATCTTGTACCTGTTAATATTCATCTGATTTGGTTTAGCTTCTGCCCATCAGAAAAAAGAATGAATAAACGAACCCATCTCCTATTCATTAACAAAATCATACTGGAGCCTTCTTTTTGAAGCATTCATTTGGGTAGCCAGCATAGGCTCTCAGACATTATATCTGCATGGCCACAGATGCTGTGCTCTCAGCTCTCCAATTCTTATTTTCATCACCCTAAAACCCCACAATTCTTTGGTAGACATTGCTGCTCACTATTTCAATGAGAAGCAGATTATCTGAGTGGCTATTGAAGCAAATGACTGAGCTAATGAATTGTTCTATTACTGCTATTAGCCTGATTATTATGAGTGCTGCTTTTTACAGAATTAAAATGCTGCTTTTGTCTTCTAAAATAATCCAAATTACCAAATTACCAAAGTAATTTACAGATATTTCCTTAATTTTCTTCAAGAAGGTTATAATGGAAGTAATATTATGTCCTCTTGTATATAAAAGGATTTGTTTTCTGGAAGTCACCATAATTAGTATTATTAAAACTTGAATTTCCTATCTTTTATATTGTATCTGCTAAAATAAAAGATACTAAATTGAAAATAATTTTTTGTCATTCAGCAATTTTCTAAAAATTTTTAATCTTTAAAATCTGCTTGCCAACTATTTATGGTCCACCCAAAATATGAAATACATAGGCAAAAATATTATTGCACATTATAAATTTCAGAAGCCATGAAAATCATGTTTTATTTTCTTCTCTATTTTTGTGGTAAAAATCAAAATCATGGCCTTTTAATCTGAATGTATTCATCTTTCTCTAGTAATGTAGCCTATTGACTAGAAAAGTAGGTCAAGCTTATAAAATCCCTATGCTTTGATTTTTGAGATGAAAACATTCATATAAGAAACAGGAGGTAAGTGGAAAAGATGTCTACAGAGCCAAGTCTGTACACAAGTTTATCCACTAAAGATCAGTTAAAGACAATTTATTGAAAGGATAGACTTTTGGGCTCTTATTTCAAGCCAGTTTACTCTGATTTTAAATTAAATTCTAACAAACCCGATTATTTAGCTTCTAAGTCTTCAACTGATTGAAAATAATGCTTCTATAAACAGATTATAGTAATCTGACAGCCTATCAGTAACTGACAGCCTATCAGTAAAGAGACTGAAAAACAAATGAAAAATTAAAGAAAAGTCCCATGGTAATCTAGCAGCCTAAGCCAGCACTAGTCAGTCTCCCAGAGTAGTCCTGAGAGTGTCCCTGCATTACAGGATGGCACAATCATGGAACTCAGATCCAAAACCTAAGTTCATTCCAGACATGACCCCTTATTATCTGAACATCCTTGAGCTAGTTACTCAGGTGATGTGAGGCTCACATCTACAGAATGGAAAAGGTATTTCTGCCTTGCCTACTCTAACGACATTCTTGGTTGGGAAGCCTAAATGAGATCTAGTAGTATTAGCTAGGTCATTGATTCAGGTACTTGTGAATTGTCTTCACCCAGAATAAAGACTGCATTTCTTAGCTCCTCTTCAGCTAGGTGTGGCCCTGAAACTGACTTCTGGCCATTGAGATGTGGAGTGGGGAGTGGGACATGCATCCTCCAGGCCATACCCTCCCGTCATCTGTTCCCACTGTGGTAGTGAGAAGGCCACTGGGGTGGTGCGCTGGTGAGCCACCCTGGGCCAGAGGATGGCCCCAAGACCACAGCTGCCTAGACCTCCAAGGATGGCTTCAACAGAACAGATATACTCAGCTGTCTTTTACGTGAAAGAAATAAATTTCTATTACGTTTAAGCCCCTTCAATTCAGCTACATATGGTGTGACTCACTATCACACTAATTCAAAATGACAAATGCTCTGAAGATTATGGATGGGATTTGTTATAAGCTTTTGGAAGAATAAGAAAAATATTGCTGATTCTTAAACATAGTGAGTTATATTCTTAGCTCTCCACATACAAGCAAGAATTCTCATGTAATGTTTTGCATTTTTCTTCAGGGACTATAGAAGGAAAGAAGGGTTGCGGAATCTTGGGCTGACTACACAGTTTCTCTAAGTTCTTTAGGGCAAGTTAGAGAACAGGCCTGTAAAGGAAGAGCTAATGAAAGGGAGGCTTAGTCTGCCAGGCCTATGACCAACCCCAATATCAGCACGAGCTTCCCTGCTTTGCCCACCTCCACAATGGTCCTGGGAAATCAGTTCTTTCCTCCAAGGAGGGAAACAGTGAAACACCGATCAGAAAACAGAGGAAGGGCAGAGATTTTTCATTCCCCCAAACAGCACTTCAATAACTTTCCCTCATGTTACTATGGTTACCACATGACTTCTGAATTAGTTTCTACAGAAACAGCAATTGTGGAAGCAGATAGGCTAGCATTTACCCAGGTGCCTTCATTAATAACAGGAAATGCAGGCCATCCCTTAAAATATACAGATGATAGGGTAGTCTATTCTTTCAACATTTACTTTTTTTTGTATTTGTTCACCAATTTTCAAATTGGAAGCAAAGCATTGGGAGCACAATGAAGAGAATGAAAAAACAAAACAAAACAAAACAAAACAAAAACCTGCTTGGCTGGGCACAGTGGCTCATGCCTGTAATCCCAGCACTTTGGGAGGCTGAGGCAGGTGGATCACGAGGTCAGGAGTTCAAGACCAGCCTGACCAATAGGGTGAAACCCCATCTCTACTAAAAATACAAAAATTAGCCGGGCGTGGTGGCACACACCTGCAGTCCTAGCTACTTGGGAGGCTGAGGCAGGAGAATCGCTTGAACCTGGGAGGCAGAGGTTGCAGTGAGCCAAGATCGTGCCACTGCACTCCAGCCTGGGTGAAAGAGTGAGACTCTGTCTCAAAAAAAAAAAAACAAAAAAAACACAAAAAAACAAAAAAACTAAAACAAAACAAAACTCTGCTCTATTCTTCTACTAGGAATATCTGACCATCAGTGAAACTTCTTTAGAATATTGGCTACTACCACGGCCCTAAAACCAGGTTGCAAATAACGCATTAAATGGAAAATATGATACAAATTGTTTCTTAAAAAAGTGTTTTATCCTAATTTCAAGGTTTCTGTAGGTCATTCATTCCAAAAGTAGATTCCACCAAACTGGGAGTCACAGATAAATCACCTCCTGACTGGAATACTTCAGAATTTATAATGGGCTTTCTAGCTTTCTGTTGTTTCTTTCCACAGACTGTAGTTGGCTTCTAGGATAATATTTCAGAAACAGCATTTTCGTCATATTATTTATGTGGTGAGAATCTCAACATTCTTATTTTGTAATTGGTCAATTCTTACCACCTTAGCCTAGCTGTCAAAGTCTTATATCAGCCTAACTTCCTATGACCATTTAGCTAACCCTTTACTCCCTCAGTATTCCTTAGGGCAGCATCCTAACATTCTCTCCGTATGTCATAATTTTCTTATATTTATACAACCACACAGTATGTATTCTGTGTCAGCTGCTGTCACTCCACATAATGTATTTGAGACTCATTCTTATTTATTCTCTTATATTCATTCTCTTTTTTTTTTCTGAGACAGAATCTTGCTCTGTCGCCCAGGCTGGAGTGCAGTGGCACGATCTCGGCTGACTGCAAGCTCCACTTCCAGGGTTCACACCATTCTCCTGCCTCAGCCTCCCAAGTAGCTGGAACTACAGGCGCCTGCCACCACGCCCGGCTAATTTTTTTGTATTTTTAGTAGAAACGGGGTTTCGCCGTGTTAGCCAGGATGGTCTCGATCTACTGACCTCGTGATCTGCCCGCCTCGGCCTCCCAAAGTGCTGGGATTGCAGGCGTGAGCCTCTGCACCCAGCCTATATTCATTCTCTTATAAGAAGCAGATTGATTCTTACATGATTGCATATACCATGACAGCATTTGTATTGCTGAATAGTATTCCATTAACTTTATGAAAAATTGTCAGCTTTCCAAAAATCATTTTATTTTCCCACTAGCAATGGTAGAAAATTCTAGTTACTTCACATTCTTTCTAACATTTGCTACTGTGAGTCTTTTTCATTTTAATAAGTTATATAAAATGGCATCTTATTATGGCTCTAATTCACATTTTCTTGATAAACAATGATGTTGAGTATGTGTTCATGTCCTTAATGGCATTCCTACATTTTTTGTGAAGTGTCTGCTCGAGTATTTTGTCATTTTAAAAAATTGGATTGTTGGCTGGGCGTGGTGGCTCACGCCTGTAATCCCAGCACTTTGGGAGGCCGCAGCAGGTGGATCACCTGCGGTCAGGAGTTTGAGACCAGCCTGGCCAACCTAGTGAAACCCTGTCTCTACGAAAAATATAAAAGTTAGCTGGGCGTGGTGGTGGGCACCTGTAATCCCAGCTACTCAGGAGGCTGAGGCAGGAGAATCACTTGAACCCAGGAGGCGGAGGTTGCAGTGAGCCGAGATCACACCATTGCATTCCAGCCTGGGTGACAAAGCAAGACTCTGTCTCAAGAAAAAAAAAAAAAAAATTGGATTGTTGACTTTTTATTGTAAGGATATACATATTGAATTTAAGTCCTCTGATACATGTACAATTTTTTCCTAGTCTGTATCTTGATGCTTAAGCTGTAATTTCTTTAATTTTTTGTGGTTAGCACTTTTTGTGTCCTGTAAGAAATTTTTGCTCATTCCAAACTGAAAATATATTCCCCTATATTTTCTTCTAGGAGCTTAATGATTGTAGCTTATACTTTTAGGCCTATGATCCAATAAAAATTAATGTTTGTGTATAAATTGAAATAGAAGTTGAGGTTCTTTTGTTTTTTATTATGTATTCATTTATTTTTACATACACAATCCAGTTGTTTTAGCAGCATTTATCCTACTCAGGGTTCTGTAAGCTTTTTGGATCTGTGAGTTGAAGTAACTCTTCATCTTTGGAAAATTCCAAGCCATCATATCTTCAAATATTTCTTCTGTCTTATATCCCCTCCCCTACTATTGCAGGACTCCAGTGATATGTATGTTAGGCCATATGATATTATCCCACACGTTTCAGACCATCTATTCTGTTTGTATTCACTTTTCTTTCCTCTTACTGCTTCAGATTATTTCTGAAGTGCGTTAGATTATTTCTTCTTAAAGTTCACTGATTCTTTCTGCCGCTATATCCAGTCTGTTATTAAGTCCAATAAATAAATTATTTATTTATGATATTGTGCTTTTCATTTCTAGTATTTACATTGGTTCTTTTTATGGTTCCTCTCTCTGCTGAAATCACTCAACTGTTTATGCATGTTATTCAACTTTTCTACTAAGTCCTTTAATATGCTTACTATATTTATTTTGAAATGCCTGTCTGTCTGATAATACCAACATCTGGGCCATCTTTGGGCATGCCGTGTAGACTGCTTTGGTCCTGATGAGGTGGTCATATTTTTCTCGATTTTTTTGTATGTCTCACAACTTTTTATTGTATACCAGAAACTGCACTGTAAAGAGCAATAAAAGTACCAGTTTCACTCATGGTGGAGTAGCCTTTACTGAAATAACCCTCATATAAGTATCAATTATAAACCCTGGGGAATATATGTAGATATTTGAAAACTATTTGAAGGCATTGGAGAGCAACCCAAATCAGGCATAAATGGAAGAAATTATATGTAGATCTATGTTTATAGGGGTTATTTTGGTGGGGGAGGGATATCAAGGATAGTCAGGAAAACCTGAAGATTTATTGGCCAGTGGTGAGGGAAGGCAGAATTTTAGCTGCAAGACCAGCTGGAAATTGAGAGGGGAATCCTTGAAATCTGTATTTAAATTCCACCTGAAATGCTTGGCTAATCCCTGAACTGTGGATGCATGGGAGAGACTCCAAGGAGCTCAGCAGAAAGAAACAGCTGTTAACAGTAAAATAAATAAGCAGAGATATCTGCATCTGCCAAGTGAAGAGGAGTTAGAGCTTGAGTCCTATCAGTATGAATTACTTTATAGATACCTTGGAATTTCCAAAATCCACCCTAACAAAGTAGAATGCTAAGCCACATGAGATATGTGGAGAAATAGAAAATGAAATCCATAGTTTAAAAGAAAAAAGGAAGAAAAATCAAGCAACAGAAACACCCTGAGATGAGCCAGATGTTGGAATTAGCAGGGAAAGGCCTCAAAACAGCTATGATAAAGATGTTCAATGACTTAAAGGAAAAAATGATCATCATGTATGAACAGATGGGGAATTTCAATGAAGAAATGAAAGCTATAAAAAAGGCATCAAATGGAGATAATAGAACAGAAAAGTATATTTATAATAAGCATCAATTTAATGGGCTTAACAATATACTGGAGTAGGCGGAATAAAAAATTCGGAAGGCATCAATAATAATTATTCAATCTGACAGAGAGAGGAAAAAAGTTTAAAAATGAACAGAGATTCAGTGGCCTGCAAGAAATAACTAATCAGCCTAATATACATTTAATTAGAGTAGAACAAGGAAGGGAAAGCAAGAATCATGCAGGAAAAAATATTTGAAGAGATGGTAGTAAAAATGCTCCCAAATTTGGTTAAAAAATTATAAATCCAAGTTCACTGAACTCCAAGCAGAATAAAATTTTCAAAAAACAGCAGAAGTACACATACATATGACAGTCAAAGTCCTAAAAACCAAAGATAAAGATAATATTATGAAATTAGTCACAAAAAGACATATATACAGGGGAGTGACACTATAAGTAACAGCTGACTTCTCACCAAAAACAAAAAAGGAAAGATGGTAATGGAATCAAATTTTTAAAATACTAAAACAAAAATAAAACTCAGAATTTTACATCCAAAGAAAATATCCTTCAAAAATTAACGGAAAAGAAAGACATTTTTAGATAAATAGAAGCTAAGACAATTTGTTTCCAGGAGATTTATACTACAGGAAATGTTAACAGGAATATTTTTAGTGTCAAGCGGATTGAAACAAGATTGCAACTTGAAACCACAGAAAGGAATAAAGACCATCTGAAATGGGCATAAATACATATATGTGTGTGTGTGTATAATATATAACAGATTGTATAGTTTCCCTCCTTAATTTATCTAAAAGGCATATGATTATTAAAGGCAAAAATTATAGCACTATATTATGGAACTTACAACATATGAAGATTTAATATATATGATAACAGCACAAAATTAAAGGTGGGAGAAATAACTGAATGGTTGCAAGGTTCTGATATTTGATGTGTATGTTAGCTGTAGGCAGACTGTGATCAATTAGAACATAGACTGTGTATATTGACTATGATCGATTAAGAACATATAATCTCTAGGGCAGCTAGAATAAGTACTGTAATATATAAAATACTGTAATAAATAAAAATTGTAACTAAATACTCAATAGATAAATTATAATTAAATAGTAAAAATTACAAACAAGCAATAAGCAGGTGGAATAAATAGAAAAATGGTAGCCTTAAATCCAACCTTAGCAAAAATTATATTAAATTCAAAAGTGTAACTACTCCAATTAAAAGGTAAAGACTAGCAGACGGAATAAATAAGTCCCAACTATAATTATCTATAAAAAGTGTATTTTAAATATAAAGAATCAAAAGTTAAAAGGGGAAGAAAAAGGAAAGGATATAATAAAGACTAGAAATCAATGAAATTGAGAATAACAGAAATATTTCAAAGTTGGTAGTTGGTTTTCTGAAAAATACTAATCAAGAAACAAAAAGAAAATACACAAACTACTGACAACAAGAATGGAAGAGAGGATATCACACACAAAAAAAATCCTATAGATATTAAAAGGATAATAATATTATTAATAGCTTTATTACAATGAAATCAACAACAGCCTAGATTTTAGAAAGGCCAAATTCTTTCAATATAATGAACCAAATGGAGACAAGAAGCAATATAACTTCTGAATATCCCATATCTATTAAAATATTGAAATCATTATAAATCATAATAAATCATAAATTATATCATAAATCATAAATATTGAAATCATTATAAATCATAAATAAAGCTTAAGGCACAGATGATTTTACTGGTGAACTCTGACTGGCTCCTCACTTTGGGCCACTGCAGCAGGCTTTATGATCCAGCCAGCTGGCTTTACAGTCCTTCAAAACCTAGGGAATCAAGAAGTTAAGAAATTCTTCTCAATAATATTAACAATATAAAAAATAGCTCAACATTTTGTGGGCTGGTTTCCTCAGAGCTTTGTGTTACAGTAGGATCCATAAATTTAGGGATTACATATATGAATCCCTGTGTGTATATGTACATGTGGGCACGTGCATATTGCTTCAATATGTGTGAAATGTTCCAGGAAAATGAAATCAGCCTCTTTAAGAAGTCAACTTTGAAACCGCTGAATGTCAACAAAGGTGGAAAAACTGGTGTTGAGTACATTTTACTGGCTGCTTGGTAATTCCAGCTGCTCTTTAGAGAGAAGGCTTTGGTAAAACCAATAGTCCAGAAAACCCTCCTTGATGGATAATGGATGCTTAAGAGAGTCCAGGAAGTGCACTGTATGGGGCAGTCACAATATGTCATCTTCCAGCCAAAATCTAGCTACATGGAACACAAAGTCAAGGTTCATTTCTGAAAAGGGACAGGGAAAAATAAAGACAAATCCTGAGCTAAGTGGAAGAAGTAAGGACACACATTTTTGCCCTCCTTTGACAAGTGTAGACAGTGTAACTGCTGAGTTGAGATGAAGGTTAGATTTAAGCTGATGAGGGTTTTAACACCAAAGTGGCCATAGAGGCCTGGAGTTGGGATTCACTTCATGAGCATGAGATTTTAAGACAGCATTCAAATAAGTGGCTGCTACCTTGTCCTGGAAGGGAAAACAGTTTGATTAAATAGCAATCATTTCACATTAGCTTGGCTCCTTTAAGCTGCTATGCCCTTCAGAGTAAAACATAAGGCCCACTTGAAGAGGGTGCTTTGACATTTATAAGTGAGTTTACACAACTGAAATGATTCAAAGAGTTTGTTAAAGTGAAGGGTAAAGAATTTTGAATCTTTCCTGATTTTTCTGAGCCGTTAGTCCCAGCATCAAATACAGGGCCTGTGCCATCAACTTCTTTATCACTTACTGATTATTTTCATTGGCGTGCAAGCAGGCCTGAGCATCTCTTTTAGAAGGAAGGAAGGAAGGAAGGAAGGAAGGAAGGAAGGAGGGAGGGAGGGACGGAGGGAGGGAGGGAGGGGAGGGGAGGGGGAGGGAGACAATTTTCCTTTTCACCATATCTCCTCCAGTTACTGCCCCATTTCTGTGTTCTTGATGGCAAAACACCTTTAAAGCCCTGACTAAACTCAGTGTCTGTGTTTCATCTTTCATTCTCTCTTCAACCAATTCCCATCAGACTTTTCATCCCCGTTGCTTCACTGAACCACTCTTGGAAAGGTTCTCATTCATCTCCATCTTTGCAAACCCAAAGGTCAGTACTTTGTCTTTGTCTCATACAACTTCCCAGCAGTCCTTGACACAGAGAACATTCTGCTCTTCTTCAAACTCCTTCACTAGGTTCTGGAACACCACATTCCTGATTTTCCATCCTGTGTCACTGGCTGTCGCTTCTCAGTGTCTTTACTGGTTCCTCACTTGGCTCAACCTCTATACTCTTTCCAACATGCTCTTATCCCATGGCTTCGAATCATGTATATGAACTGTTAAAAGACAAAATTACAAATCTAGTTTAAAGATCTTAACTGGCTTTTAGTCACGATTCTGGAATTGAACAGCTCTCCAAGTCAGAGCACATTCAAAGCACTCCAGTCTGCTGCGTGGTCAGACAGCATTTATGGACAGAAAATGGAAATGAGGTGCAGAAAACGGAAGTGAGGTATAGAGATAGCTCCACTGGTTGCAGCTCGGCGTTTGCCTTATTTGGACACAGTTTGAACAGGTGGTCGCCTGCGATTGACTGAAGCTCTGCTGTTGTGATTGGCTGAGACTTAGCTATTTATTACAAAAGTATACTCTTAAATTAGGCTTTCAGTTAGTTTACATACTAAATTAGTCTGCAGTTCCTTACATAAGGACTCATGTATGGAGGCGTCCTCAGGCCAAATTTAGTTTAATTTAACAGGACTGATGACTTCTAAATTTATCACCCACATCTGACTTCTTCCTTGAGCTGTAGACCAGGGCATTAGATTTTGTACTCTCCATCTTCACCTGTATGTCTATGAGCACCTCAAATTTAACTTGGACAAAAAACAACTATTAATATTTCCTCCCTCAACATGTTAAACTAGTTCCCTCCCCAGTATTCTTCATCTTAATACATAGTGCCATTATTTAGCCCGTTTCTGAGGCCCCCTCCTAATAGTCATCCTTGATTTCTCTCTTTTGTACTGTAAGTATCTTCCAAATATAAGAGTTTCTTACCATCTCCACTTCTAAAACCTTAGTCCTAGCCACCATCACCTCTCTCCTGGACCACGACAACAGCCTACTAACTTCTACTGTCGGTTCTTGCCCTGACAGCCAGAGTATTCTTTTAAAAATGCAAATCAGATTACATCATTCTCCTGCTTAAGACACTCCCATGGCCTCCTACTACAACTAAAATAACATTCAAACCCTTTGCCAGGATGTACGTAATTAGACCCCCATCTATCTCTCTGACCTTATCTCTTACCATGTCTCCTACCTCCCACTTTGCTGTAGCCCACTGGGCTTCTTTCTGTCCCTTTCATTCCTGCCTAAGGATCTTTGCATGTGCTATTTCATCTGTTCGGCTGGCCCTTCCTGCAGATCTTCACAGAGGGCTGCCCCTTCTCATCACCATTTAGGTCTCAGTTCAGTGTTCCTTCTCAGAGAGGCTTCCCCTGACCACCTGAGACAAAGCAACCTCCTTACTACTTCCTTCCAAACACTCTCCATTACATTCTACCATTTACTTTTCCTCACAGCACCAGCCCTTACCTGAAAATCTACTGTTTATTTTATTTTGTGTTATGGCTATTTCTTCCAACAGAATTAAGCCCCAAGACAGCAGAGAAAGTCTTGTGTATTGTTGTATGCCAAATTCCTAAAAATTACTGACGCATAGCAGGCATTCAATTGACACTTGCTGAATACATGAATTAAAGTTTTCAAACTTTAATGTGCATCAAAATCACCTAGAGAGCTTATTAAAACACAGGTTGCTGGACCCCCAAACCCAGAATTTCTGATTCATAGGTCTGGAGTGGCTCCTAAGACTTTGTATTTTTAACAAGTTCCCAGGTGATGGTCTGCAGACCACATCTTGAGAACCACTGAACTAGTATTTACTAATTGCCAAGTATCTTCTTAGCACTATGCCAGGACCGTGGGGATGAAAAAGGAGTAAACACCTGTGTCTGGCCCCCAGTAAGGTCACACTCAAAGCAGAAAAATAAATAGTATATGTATTTGGTGTGCACCAAAAACAAAAACAAAAACAAAAACAAAAAACAAACCCAAATCAATATATGTGAAGTGTCAAGTAGGCAGCACATATTACAAGATCTGTAAGATCTCACAAGGGGAAGATAAAATAAGAATAAATATCACATGACATTTATTAAGAGCTGCCTGTGTGCCTGCAACGTGCCAAGTACTTTATGTGGAAAACATCAGTTAATTCTCACCACAACCTTGTAGAAGTTATTTTTATCCCCGTTTTACAGATGACAAAAATGGGGCTCAGAAAGGTTAAGGAACTCCTTAGGAATTTTAACATCAGTGTGCATACCTTGGAGCCTAAGCTCTTGGCCAGACACTGTTTTGCCACTATGGGTGGGTTATGAGTTGAGAAGAATAAGGATGTAAAGTTATGTAGAATTAGAAGAGGAGGTGTGATGAGGCCAGCCCATGTTGCAGAACCAAGGTTTAAACCAGGCACCTGGCACTCTAGAGCAACTGTTCTACTGCCATGATGTCTCTTCTGATAAGCTCCTGAATAAACTGTTGGATCCTTAGCAATGATTTGTTAAGTGAAGCATTAATTAACATTTTTGAAAGAGGGTTGGGATGGAATGAGGTTGACAACATGATTTTTAAAAAGTGTCTTGAAATATCATTTGGCAGTGATTAGTCTGATAGAATATAGAAGAGGGAGATGAGTGTGGGGTGCCAGTTAGGAGATTATTTCAATAGTGTAGGTGAAAGGACATAGGGGACTATGGTAAGGATTTTAATAAGAATAAAGGAAGAATTGAATGTGAGAACTGATGGACTCTAGAAATGGAATCAGTCTGAGAGAGTTGGGCCTTCTTCCAAGTGCATGGATATTTTCCTTTCTTAGATTGATTCCATTTCCAGAGCCCATGCAGCAGTCTCCAGCAGTCTCAGGAACAGAGAAAGATGAGTCATAAGGTGCCCTTAAGTGGTTCATCTGTGTTAATCTAGACCACTGGTTCTCATCTGGAGGTGATTTTCCTCCTAGAGGACATTGGCAATGTCTACAGGCAATTTTTTTTGTCACAACTCAGAGGTGAGTGGTGTGGTGTAGGGATGGATACACAGGTATCTAGAGGCCAGGAATACAGTTCAACATCCTACAATGCATAGGGTGGCTCCCTAGAACAAAGAATTGCCCATCCCCAAATGTCAACAGTGCTGAGATTGAGAAACCCTGCTCTAGGCTGCACTGAGAAACTGCAAATCCGAGGCCCTCGGGACAAGCCAGGCATGGTGAAGGCATGTGTTTGATTTGTTTCATGGCATTGTTGGTGTTTTTAATTTAAAGCAACACTTAAAATCAGGAGAGGTCATATCAGAATGATGCAAATGTCAGGTTTCTCTTGGAAGATCTGCCAACCCTGTGCCCATATGGCACCAAGGCTACACTGGACTATAACTGACCCCATATTCCTTGGTTTGCCAGTCTATGCCATTTGCTGCCCAATTACTGAGAGCAATCTTCAGCTGCCATTTATCTTTGTTCTTATCTTTCTCAAGGTGGAAAAATACAGTCAATCTCTATTATTTGTGTATTCTGTATTTGCAAATTTGCAAACTTGCTAAAATTTATTTGTAATTTCCAAATCAATACTCACAGCACTTTCATGGTCATTCACAGAATGGCTAAAAAATGAGTTGTCCAATGTGTAACTTCATAGCTGAGGTTGATCAGGGTAATGCTCCTTGTTTCAGCTCTAATTCAATAAACAAGTGTACTTTTCATGGTATATTCAGTGTCATGTTTTTCATTTTGGTGCTTTTTGGTGGTGCATTTGCTGTTTAAATGGCCCCAAACACAATCCTTAAATGCTGTCTAGCATTCCTAAGCACAAGAAGGCTGCAATGCTTGGGGAGAAAATACATTCATTAGATAAGCATCGTTCAAGCATGAGTTATAGTGCGATGGCTGTGAGTTCAATGGTAATGAATGAACAATATATATTAAACAAGGTATCTTTAAACAGAAACATACATAAAACAAGTTTATGCATTGATTGGTTGACAAAAATTTTGTGACCAGAGGCTCACAGGAACCTAACCCTCTATTTCCCCTAGGAGCAATATTCAGTATTCATTAATTCAGTGTACTTGGTGACTTAATAGAACATAACTACAGGTTGAGTATTCATTATCTAAAATGCCTGGGACTGACTGGAAGTGTTTCAGATTTTTTTTTTTTTTTGGATTTTGGAATATTTGCATTATAATGGTTCAGCATCTCTAATCTGAAAATCTGAACTCTGAAATGCTTCAATGAGCATTATCTCTGAGTGTCATATTGGTGCTCACAAAGTTCCAGATTTTGTAGCATTTTGGATTAAGAATACTCAACCTGCACTGGGAATAACAGGGATTGACTGCATGTCTTTTACAGAAGTGGATAAACCAAAGATAGACTGAGGGCCACATATTATTAGAAAAATGGCACAGTGTATTTGTTTCTGAAGGTAAAAACTATTCCTGTTATTCCTGTGGACCAAATATGCACATCTTGCTTGTATCATCTGGCCCCTGTAGGCATTTGACTCACATTCCTAGACGTTTTCTTTCTTTCTTTCTTTTTTTGGTGGAGATGGGAAGCATCCAGAACCAAAATAGAAAATGATGAGTCAGAGATTCAGAGACTGGGGACTACCATATAAGATAATGTAAATGATCCTGGAAAAAGGAATACATTTACATTTCGGGGTTTTGGTGGACTGATGGGGACGACAAAATAAGAATCCTGTCACCTAAGAAAGTGGAGGCGGCCAGGCACAGGGCTCACATCTGTAATCCTAGCACTTTGAGGCCAGGGTGGGCGGATCACCTGAGGTCAGGAGTTCAAAACCAGCCCGGACAACATGGCAAAACCCTATCTCTACTAAAAATACAAAATTAGCCAGGCATGGTGGCACATGCCTGT
The DNA here is from genome assembly GCF_000001405.40 of Homo sapiens. NCBI lineage: Eukaryota > Metazoa > Chordata > Mammalia > Primates > Hominidae > Homo > Homo sapiens. The sequence continues at coordinate 51,071,255 of NC_000014.9, forward strand.
AATCCCAGCTACTCTGGAGGCTGAGGCAGGGGAATTGCTTGAACCCGGGAGGTGGAGGTTGTGCTGAGCCGAGACTGCGCCATTGTATTCCAGCCTGGGCAACAAGAGTGAAACTCCGTCTAAAAAAAAAAAGAAAAAAAAAAAAAAAAGACAAGACAAAAGAAAAGAAAAGAAAGTGGAGACAAATAGACTTCACTTGAAATGCCAACTCTGATACCTGGGTACCAGTTGCTCAGTGTGCTGTGATAAAAATTCTGAGCTGCAGCTGGGTATGGTGGTTTACACCTGTAATCCCACCACTTTGGGAGGCCAAGGTGGTAGGATGATCGCTTGAGCTCAGGAGTTCAGGGCCAGCCTGGGCAACACAGTGAGACTTTGTCTCTACTAAAAATAAAAAAAAAATTAACCAGGCGTGGTGGTGTTTGCCTGTAGTCCCAGCTACTCAGGAGGCTGAGGTGGGAGGATTGCTTGAGAGTGGGAGGTCAAGGCTGCAGTGAGCTGCAGTCACACCACTGCACTCCAGCCTGGGTGACAGAGTGAGCCCTGTCTCAAAAAATAAATAAATGAATAATTTTTAAAAAAGAATTCTGAGCTGTATTTGGGTCACACCTGGAGTCAGTGGGAAAAGTGCCATGACTGACAGTGCTGTTTGCCATGGGCCCAGAAGAGAGGGGTGGTGAGGTGCTACGCATTTGCCAATCCCGGACTCAGCAGCGTGAGGGAGCAGCATGAAGGAGCAGCACAAGGGAAGTAGAAGGCAGGGAAAGGAAACTTTCCTTTCTTCCTTCCTTCCCGGTGTTCTCTGGGCTGCCCATGCTGTGTGCAGCAAAAAGGCACACGTGGCAGGACTGGGCCACCTGGGCTTCAGGGAAATCTGCCAGAGCCTTCAGGAGGTTCCAGGAATAGCCTCAGTTCTTTCTGGAACATTCCAGGAAATGTATTTCTTTTTTTTCATAGGGAAACTTAACTCTCTCTCCTGAAATTGTAGTCTTAATACTTTATCTTATTATTTTACTACATTAAAAAAAACACTGAAGGAAAGGAAAGCAATTATGCTTCTATGAAAATCCAGCCATCCAACGAGAATTCCTAAACCTCTGAAATGTGAACTATCCTTTAAAGTAGCCTACTTTCTTGCATAGAATCAGTTATGGATTAACAGACTGCATCCAGGTATCTAAATATAAATTTTTAAAATAAGACAGCTTACACAATACATACGAGGAATTCAATTTTAGTGGATAAGGTTTTTAAAAAGAGACTTACCAATAAAAAACAAGTTTTTTTCTATTGAGAAAATGGAAAGGAAAAAGAATAATCACTCCTGGAAACTTTCTAAAATTCATGTTTAATATGAAATCACAATTACTTTCTTGAGGTTATTGAGTTTCAATTTATTACTTTTTTTTTTTTTACTTAGAGACTATTTGAATAGCTCTTACTTTCATTTAAGAAAGAATTGTTCTCTTTTGAAAATCTATTTGCATTCGTACTGTTTGCACTTAAGAACCTCTCTCCCTAAATTGCTTTATAATATTTCTAAGTGAAGCTCTGAAATATGCACAATATCTGACAATGATTTGATAGAGAGCAATGTACCGTGTAGGAGATGATTTGCACTGAGAAAAAAATTACAAGAGAAAGCAGAAGTGATAAACTGTTTCTGATTAGTACCTCTGGCTCTCAAGACAAAACCACAAGGAAAAGGCAGCTTATTTCAGAATTAATGTTTTATTTATTTTTTTTTTGGCAACTCAATGGAAAAGTGGGTAAATGACTTAGCAGACACCACATCAAAGATGATATTCAAATGACCAGAAAATATAAACACATGCTTAATACCATTAGTTATCACAACACTGTGATACCACTGTACACCCACCAGGATAGCTAAAATGAAAAGACAAATAATAGCAAGTGCTGGTGAGAATGAGGAGTACTACTGGGAGAGATGTACCATGGCACCACCATCATCTGGTAACTTTTGCAGGATATACTAACAGAGCATTTGTGTACCTGAGCACCCAGTGATTGCCCTCCTAGGGATACAACCAACAGAAATGCTTACATTTATGCACCAAAAGACAGGTGCTATAATGTTTATAGCTGCACTACTCTTAGTAGCTCAAACCTGGAAACTATCAAAAGGCTCACCAATGACAGAATGGATAAATTGTGAAACATTCATAAAAATGGAATACCATACAACAGTCAGAATGATCTAAAGCTATATGCAACAATATAAGTGGATCCAAAAAACATATCTTTGAGCAAGAGAAGCCATGCATAAGAGTGCATACTGTATGATGACATTTATATGAAATAGAAACATAGGCAAAGTTACCATGCTGCTAGAAGGTTATCCTTGCCAAGAGTGTGGTGTGGGCGCTCTGGACTGGAAGGGAGCATGCAGGGGGCTTCTGGAGGCTGATGATATCCTGATATTCTGTTCTTCTGATTTATTGCTAATTACACAGGTGTGATCAGTTTGTGGAAATTCATTGAAATGTACATTCATGATTTCTTCACTAAAAATTTCTGTAACATATCTTTTTTGTTGTTTTTTGCAGCTGCAGGCTTACATCATTTTAGAGATAATTTTAGAAAACTTGCAATTTGGCAGTTCCTCCCATAGGATATACAGCCAAAGAACTGACAACAAGCAGTGGTATGCTGGGGCTGGCTTGTACTGACTTCCAAACATCAAGGTCAGCAACCTCAGGTAGGTAGCCTGAAGGCAGCCATGGAAAATGCTACAAATCAGAGCTTTCCACGTTTGCCAGCACACCACTGAATAGCAACAGAGACAAAAACAAAACAATCACTGAATAATAGTAATGATCATAACAACGAAACCAAACATCTGCATTTAAAACTCTAATAGCTGGGTGCGGTGGCTCACGTCTGTAATCCCAGCACTTTAGGAGGCTGAGACAGGAGGATCACTTGAGCCCAGGAGTTCAAGACCAGCCTGGGCAACATAGCAAGACTCCGTCTCTACAAAAAAAAAGTAATGGAAAAAAATTCAAATTCAAATAATAAAAACAATGAAAATAACAGTATGTAAATAATGGTATGTAAAAATCTAACAATCACTTGAAATTGAAGAATTTGGCATGTAAAATGAATAATACTGTCTTCCCCCAAGAAGTTTAGCACCAAACTGGCTCTTGTCCTGAGATAAGGAATTCCAGGCCAGGCTTACATCGCAACTCAGTCCTCAAAAGCCCTCTCTTGCAGAATGAGAAGGCACAAGCATATTTACCCATTTTGTTTTCACCTTCCATCTCTCTCAATCAAATCTTACTTCTCATTTTAGGAAGTAAATAGTCCAAAATGGCCTTTTAATTACTCTTTGATCCTTCCACCCCACCCTGCCCTTTTCTTTCCTAGCAAGGAAATGACAATGAGTGTGGCCTATAGACAAGGGTAATTACAGATCCACCAGTGGGCTGTTCCGCCCAGGATAAGGGGGCAGAGCTCAAAGCTGGTCAGTGTGTGTTCTCCTCTCTCCACTTAGCTGTCATTCCACCCTGTGCTTTTCTACTTCCCTCTTACAAGGGGCCAACAGGGCTGTGGAGCCCCCAGGGCACTTCCAAGGCATAGGTAAAATGAGGGGAATGAAAGATGCCGCAACTACATGGTTCATCTCCTTTTGATCTCACAATGTTGAAGCCCCAATTGAGAAGCTTGAAAGAGGAGGGAATTTAAAGTGTCTCTTCACAAAGGCACAAGCAACAGGCAGCGGACATTTTTATCCAAAGAGACTCTTGTCAGGAACTGAGTCAGAGAAACATCAGTAAGTCTAGATCCCAATTAAATTTGCCGCTAACTGGGACCTTAGCTCTCATGTAATCCTGCATTCTTATTTTATACACGAGAAGCTAGAGGTGCAGAGGAGTTAAGTGGGTCGCCCAAGGAGGTAGGCACAGGATCCAAATAGGGACCTCAAATTGCATCTCCAAGTTTGTCTACCCTATTTAGCCACTGCTATTCTAGGTTCCTTGATGGAGCCCCACTCCCACGCCTACTCCACGTTAATGTTCTGAAATTGGGATGTACTTCATAATTATTTCATGTAATTCTTTTTCTTGTTTATTGTTTTTTTCTTTAAAAAAAATGTTTTAAAGCCTGTTAGTAACTCGTCGGTGTACTGGAATCTAGGTAATGTGGATTTGCAACATGTATTTACATTTGAAAATTATATACCAAAGATTTGTCTTTATTAAAAATATCTCTAGGACATTTACAATCCAATCTAGTTTACACAAAGTTTTCGGGAACTCATACCCACTGAGGGCTGCATTTCGGAAGCACTCCTGTGCAGCTTGTTGCTTGTCCACCATTTTTTCCTGATTTTTCCTGCTCTCCTTGAAGTTATGGGCTAAATTGTTTGCAGACTCCCAGAGGTGAGTGAGAGTCCGAAGGCCTTGAAATAAAATGGAATTAAAAATGGCAGCGGGGATGCCTGAGCTGCTCCACCTCTCAAAACTTCCCAAGGCGGGGAGTGGGTCTGATCGATCTGAATTTCTCATTGCTCTTGGCCACCTTCTGACTAACCCAACTTCTGCCTTTGTTTGGTGTAAAACCCACTGAATGCAAAAAAATCGTTGTGGGCTCTCTTGCCAGAGAACATACAACCTAAAAGGTGATTACACAGGAATTCAACAAATGTTTCATTAAATACACTTCTATTTATTATTTTAATTTTTTTTTCACTGCTATATTCCCAATACCTACAAGAGTACTGGAGCACCAATACAAATGGCTGAATGACCTTTGAATAATAAAAGATATTGTTATTAAATACCTGCAAATGCTGGGCAACTTTTCAAAGACAATCTCATTGATCCTGCTCTATAACTATAGGAGGTGGTGTGTTGCCTGTTTCACAGATGAGGAAACCGAGGTACAGATGGGATAAATAACTTACCAAAGACACACTCAAGAGGAAGAAGTTGAGATTTTCAGGCTCCAAAGCCTGGGTTCTTTCTCAGAATGTACTGGTCTCCCTTTTCCAAAGAATAATAGGTCCTCAAGCTGAGGGGTGACTCTAAGGGACTGTCAACCCCTTGCTAGAGATTTTGTCTCCCAGACCTCCTTTCCTCCATTCCTCCATTCCTGCTCTGTGAAAGGCACTGTGTCTTTGGCTGCTTGACTTTCCCTCGTTCCCAGGGGAGGGACCCACATGTGAGGGGAAGCAGCCATAAGCATTTCAGCCGTTCTTTCCATGCTTTAGGTACCCCTCTATCTGTATAGATACACAATCATAGTAAAAACCTGGGTTTATTACAAAAGGCTTTCTCATACATTCATTCTGTCATCCAGTCCTCATCACCACCCTGGATCTAGTCAGAAATTACTAGCGCCATTTAACATGTGCCAAAAACTCACATTAATTAGGTTATTCTGGCCAGGCTCTGTTTTAAGGGCTTTGTGTCTATCATTCCTTTCATCTTCGCAACAGTCCTTGGTGAATGGTCTGATTATCTCCATTTTCCAGATGAGAAAACTAAAGCACAGAGAGGTCAAATAACTAACCCAAGTTCACAGCCTACCACCGTCCTTCCCACTGCAAGATACAGGTCCTTATTCCTAACCCCTCAGTTGTGTTGCCTGAATAGCAGTAGACCCTGGAACAGATTCTAGTTTTCCTGACCCTATACTGCCCAATGCCATTTGGGCAGTCCCCACTATGGTTTTATTAGGAGAAGACCTCTTCAGACGCATCTAGTCCTCTGGCTCCAACTCTCATTTTAGCGCTTGCTATAAAAGGGCTTAACAGAGACTGGTTAAGCCCTTTCTGCCATGCTCATTCTATTTCCTGTTTCTCCTAGTTTATTGTCCATTAACTTGAATTTCTGTTGTGCATCTTGGGTTCTCCTAACTTATGTACAGTGTCAAAATGCTTGTCATCCTTTGCAGTTGGCCAACAAGCACTGATTTGTCTACAGTGTAATGGCATACATATTCAACTGCTTTTAGGAGCTGGGAGGATGCAGCCTCATGTTTCCCATAGGTGAGACAGTATAGGTGACACAGTGGCCAAGATAGGGTGTTTTAAGGTTTGAGGTAAGGCGACCATGAGCTGTCAAACTTAAGTCCTGGCCCTCAGTCTCATCTCCAATTCTGTTTTTTTTTTTTTTTTTTTTTTTTGAGACAGTGTCTTGCTCTGTTGTCCAGGCTGGAGTGCAGTGGCACAATCTCAGCTCACTGCAACCTCTGCCTCCTGGGTTCAAGCAATTCTCCTGCCTCAGACTCTCCAAGTAGCTGGGACTACAGGCCCACACCACCATGCCTGGCTAATTTTTGTATATTTACTAGAGATGGGGTTTCGCCATGTTGACCAGGCTTGTCTCAATCTCCTGTCCTCAGGTGATCTGCCTGCCTCGGCCTCCCAAAGTGCTGGGATTACAGGCATGAGTCACCACTCCCGGCTGTCCTAAACCAATTCTAATGAGTCTCCCTGTTAAATCAACATTCCTGGTGGAAAAGACACGGATATGAAATCACATCTCATAGCATAGTTCATATAGCAAGCCTTGTTTCAGCAACAGCTGCTCCATACCTTGGTTTCAATACATTATAAAAACCAGTTTTTCTCAGAGGCATCATGGAATTACAATAGTCACACACCATTATCTGTGTAACGATTATCCATTCTTCTTTCTGGGCATATAAAAGCGTTTTGGTTATGCAATCAAACTAGAAATCTCCCTCACTGTGTGAACGACCCAATTGAGCAACCAAGTAAACCTGAAGCTCTGTGCCTGCTGAACAGCTCATGGTCTTATCAGTGGTCTTATCAGATGAGCCAGTGGTCTCATCATCAGTATCCTGAACTTGAATCAACAACAGTAAGGGCCTCACTCAGCCTATGTCAGGCCTTGAGGTAGTTACAGTGAGGACGGAGCTCTAAACACAGATCTAAATTCTTTAACATGGTTGGGGAGATAAAAGAACAGTAGGACAGGAAGGAATGTAGTGGGTATATTGTGCCACTGATAAATATGATTTAATATCTAAAGAAAACTATGAGATATGAACAAATACTAAATGAAATTAATTTTCAAATCCAATATTTATACAAATTTTATAGTAACCTTTTCAGATATATGAATTAAATAATTTCTCTAAAAACACTCTTGGATTCACGATAGCCAAGATATGGAAACAACCTAAGTGTACACCAACAGACAAACAGATAAAGAAAATATGGTATGTATACATATATAAATACATATATACACAATGGAAGGTCATTCAGCCTTAAAAAAGAAGATCCTGCCACTTGCCACAACGTGGGTTATGCTAAGTAGATGAGGAAATTATGCTACGTGAAGTAAGCCAGACACAGAAAGAAAAATATTGTATGATATTTACTGTACAACATACAACGATATTGTATGATATTTTAAAGTATTACTTACGTGGAATCTAAAAAAGCCTAATATACAGAGATAGAGAATAAAATAGTGGTTACCATGGTGGGGAGAAAATGAAGGAGATGTAAGTCCAATAATTCAACGGAGGAGATACGTAGGATAAACAGGCCTGGAGATCGAATGTATAACATGAGGACTGTAGTTAATAATATTGTATTGTATTAGGGATTTTTGTTAAATAAGTAGATTTTAGCTGCTCTTGTCACATACAAAAAAGTAACTAAGTGAGATGATAGACATGTTAGTCTGCTTTACTATAGTAACCATTTTTCTATCTGTATCCCATAACATCATGTTGTAAACCTCAAATATGCACAATACAATTTATTTTAAAGTAAAATAAAATAAAATGCTCTTGATTAATTTTTGATGGTGCTTTCACAAAAATCTTTTGTACATATAGTTTCAGAAAACTTAATAATAGACACTAATCCAAAAGCCTTCATAATATGCAAATTAAATAATGTGAATGGAAAATTGATGACTTTGTTCTCGTAAAAGGGAGCAGAGGAATTTAGAGAGTGAAACTATAATAATAATTGAACTATTTGGCTCCACTCAGAAGAGAATAATTGGCCAATCTTTGGCTAGCCTCCAAATTGAGTAATAATCTCTGACCTACTAATTCACTCCTTCCCTGTTTTACAGATGGAATTCATAAATTATTCTTTACTTCCTGCCCTCAATGTAAGTAGAACTTCCAGGTTCTACTAAGTATTTGTCCTATTTCATTTCCATGGTGGCTATATGTCAATGGATTCTGTGTTTACATATAGTTTAATCATTTTATGGCATGTTTCAAAAGAAAAGATATTATGTGAGTGCATTTTTTATGTAGCCCAGATGTGTATGTAATCTTATTTTGACATTACAGGTTATTGAGCAAGTGCATTACAATAATCTATTGTTAGGATCAGAGCCAGCCCTAAAGCTGCTACACATGAGGTATAATTCAAGGAACTGTCAGCACTGGGATCTTCACTGGGAATGATGCCAGGGCTGGGCAAGTCAATGTCAGGCTGGAGGTAAAGGGTACACACACCAGGTGGACTAGGTAGAGAGACTTCCTCAGTTTGTGGTCAACGACCTAGAGCTAGATGAAAAGACTGTACACAGGTCAGAACAAGCCATAGAGATGACCAGGAGGGAAGGCACATACCTTGGAACCAAAGCCATGCTTGCAGACAGGAAGGCAGAAACTCTAGATACACAGGAGACTACAGAGGGAGAATGAAGGAGTAGAGAGTGCTAGTGGTAAGATGCCAAAAAAGCTAGCAAGTAGTGCAAATGAATGGGGAGAGGAGCATTTTGCCTCATCCCAGAAACTTCTTTTGTGCTTTTTGCTAGGGTAGGAGTCAACCAGACAGCCAATCCAAGGGGACAGTCACACTGCTATGTGTTTTCTGTGTGAGAGGCATAGCAAAACTAAACATCAACAATTTTTTTTTCTTTTCTAGACACATGTGGAAACTCCTACCAATAGATTGATCTTTGGGGCAAAGGTAATGTCTATCGAAAGCCAATGTTAAAAAAAAAAAGAATATATTACTTATAATGAGGGAACATTCATGTTATAGTATAGACATATATAACTTCCCCTTAAAGAGAGAAAACAATGTTAATGTAAACTTTGATAGTTGTAATGTGGAATATAGAAAGAAAATGTGATTATGGGTGTCTGAGGGCATGGAAGAGTCCCCAGAAGGGAGAATAGGTGTTTCAATTGAGTTTTATTGAACACACACACACACACACACACACACACACACACACACACACACGGAGAAACAACTAAAAAATGAGTCTTTGGATGTTCAGAATTCTTAATGTAAATAATAAAAAAAAGGGGTCTTGGCAATATGTACTGTGTCACTTGGGTGATTTAATGTTCTGGGATTTTTCTAACTTTGCAGAGGGTTGAGCAAATGATCTTCAAGATCCAGTGTCCCAATTCTATCCATTTATAACTCTCAACTGTAGTGGGTGGCCACCTTTTTGACACCTGGAAGTGACTTTTTTGAATACTGCCATGGTAACCCTTAGGAGCCAAAGATGACAAGAACCTTATGATATTATACTGAGGTAGACTCCGTTTCCAAAGCCAGAAGTGGAAGTTGGGTAAGGAGGAGGAGGAACAGCTGCTATATCCAGGGACCCTGATAAAGAAATGATTTCCTCCTGCTTTTGGACTTTTCCATGTTTCCTGTTTGTCAAAGCCAATCTAGATGGACTTTATCCAAGTTCTGTCTCAGAATTGGCTTATTTTGAGATATGATGCAAAGAATTTGCAGTAGGTCGTGATAGGCCAGTCTTGATAAGATTTCCTCCCACGCAGGTCTGTGTCTGCTTTTTTCCTCCTGTGAGTGTCTGAGAATTGAGAGGCTCACACCTATGTCTCTTCCATTTTAAAAGTGAATAAGTATCCAGCATAAATAACTCTTATAACTCAATAATAAAAGACAGACAACCCAATTAAATGAGAGCAAAGACTTTAAATAGACATTTCTCTTAAAAAATACATAAAATAGCCAATAAGCACATGAAAAGATTCTCAACATCACTAGTCATTAGGGAAATGCAAATCAAAACCACAAGACTTCACCTCACATCCACTAGAAAGACTATAATAAAAAGGACAGACGATTACAAGTGTTAGTGAGGATGTGGAGAAATTCGATCACTCATACACTGCTGGTGGGAATGTAAGATGGTATAGCTTCTTTGGAAAACAGCTGGACAGTTCCTCAAAATTTTAAACATGGAGTTAGCATGTGACTCAACAATTCCACTCCTAGGTATGTACTTCAGTGACTCCAATTTACCGACATCCCTAGGCGTCCTGCAATTCAATCCTATTCTGACACAAACTACCAGAGTTAGACTCCACAGCAGTAAAGGATCAGTCCCACAGGATTGCCCTCACTTCAGATTCCAGTTGCCAAGTCCTGGGTCCCCAGGCTACCTGAACTTCTTTCTGACTTGATTGCAACCTTGGATCATCCCCTTCTCACGTTTGATAATTCACTAGAATGACTCACAGAACTCAGGAGAACACTTTACTTATATTTACTGGTTTATTATGGAGGATACAACTCAGGAACAGCCAAATGGCAGAGACGCATGGAGTAAGGTACTAGGGGAAGGGTGGCGCTTCCACACCCTCTCTGTGTGCCACTCTCCCAGCACCTCCACGTGTTCTCTAACCTGGAAACTTTCCAAATCTTGTTGTTCAAGAGTTTTTATAGAACTCAATCTCCAGCCACCCTCCCTGCCCTGGGGGTCAGAGGTCAGTGGGTGGCACTGAAAGTTCCCACCCCTAGAGCTCACATTTGGTCTTTCCAGTGACCAAAAGATTCTCAACATCACTAGTCATTAGAGAAATGCAAGAGTTCACATTTGGACTTCACAGTGACCAGCTCCCATCCTGAGGGGACCTGGGGGCCCACCCTGAGTCACCTCTGGTCAAGACACTTCTAACTCAGGAAATCCCAAGGGTTTTAGGAGCTCTGAGCCAGGAACCACGGACAAAGACCAAATATATTTTTTACTATATCATGATACTCAAGGTAATTGAAAACATGTCCACATAAAAACTTGTATATGAATGTTCATAACAGCATTATTAGTAATAGCCAAAAAGTGGAAGTAACCCAAATGTCCATCAACTGATAAATGGATAAACAAAATGTGCTATATGCAATACAATAGGATATTAGTACAGGATAATTAGTCATAAAAAAGAATGATGTACTGAGGCATGCTACAAGGTGGATGAACTTTAAAAACATTATGCGAAGTAAAAGAAGACAGATGCAAAAGGCCACATATTTTATGATTCCATTTATATGAAATATCCTGATTACACAAATCCACAGAGTCAGAAAGTACACTACTGGTTGCCAGGAGTTGTGGGGTTTTAGTGGTGACTTAATAGTTGAGGTTTCTTTTTGGGATGATAAAAATATTCTGGAATTAGATTCTGTGCTGGTTGCACAACTCTGTGAATGAATCTAATTAAAACTATTGAATTACACACTTTAAAAAGGTAAATTTTATGGTATGTGAGTTACATCTCAAAAAAAAAGTGACTTGTTGTTCCCATATAAGAGCAAGCCACCTCAACTTTGTCAGGAGGAGTGTGACCAAAGCTATATGTAGGTTCTCTTCTGTGCAGTAATGGCAGGTATAGTGGTTAAGGCACAGAATACAGAGTCTGGCTCTTTAAGGGGAAAGCTTGGTCTTGGCACTTGTGAACTGTGACTTTGGGTTTCTTGGTTTCTTAGTCTCAGTTTCCTCATCTGTAAAATGAGAATAGTAATGGTTCTTGCCTCATGGAGTTGTGGGAATTCCCTCAGTTAACACATAGAAATTACTTAGATCAGTGCCTAGACCACTATGTACTTGGAATATAACAGATTCCCACATCTTGCTTCCTTTGATAGACTAGAACTCGATACTTTTCTCATGAAGTGAATCTTTGTCTAGTTTTCTAATACTTTTTGAAATATGTGTGGGGTTTAAGTAGTTTATTTGAAATCCTTAGTTTTTTAATTAATTAATTTATTTATTTAGAGACAGGGTCTCACTTTGTCACCCAGGCTGCATGCATTGGTGTAATCATGGCTCACTGTAATCTCGAACTCCTGGGCTCAAGTGACTCTCCTGCCTCAGGAGGATCCTCAGTAGCTCGGACTACAGGCATGCGCCACCATGCCCAGCTAATTAAAAAAAATTTTTTTTTTAGAGATCAGGTCTCAGTATGTTGCCCAGGCTGTTCTCAAACTCCTTCCGCCTCAGCCTCCCAAAGCACTGTGATTACAGGTGTGAGGTACCATGCCCAGCAGAGATCCTTAGTTTTAAAATACTTTGCAGCAGCATTCTTCACACGTCTGTGGAGTTAAGATGCTTGCATTCATTGGTTCCTATTCAAAAAGTAAGAGAAGGAAATCTTGGAGTTACAAAATGGAGAGAGATGGTGAATTCAGATCTGGGCATCCTGAATGTGAGGGAGTTGAGATACATATCCAAGTGGAGATGCCAGCGAGCTTTAGGGTTCAATGCAAAATGTTTGATTAGTGGCTATGACCTCAATAACAAAAAATGTGAACTTCTGACATTTTGAAATACATTTTAACCAAAATAGTATTTAGTGTGGTACAATGGACTTGAGAGTTAAACAGCGTTCAAGCCCTGCCTTTGTCAAGCTATATGATTCTAGGCCATCACTCAACCCCTTGAAAATAATAATAGCAATCTCAAAATGTTGTGTTAATGTCACATCAAATAATGAATGGCAAGTAAACAAGAATTGAGGGTATTCTAAATATTAGAAGCCTTCATTTTCTTTTTAGCTTGATAGTATTTAAAAATATATGGGAAATATTTATGTACTGATTTGACAATACCAACAGTTTTAGTAAGAGTCTTTATATCTAAATGTCAAGAGCTTACTATCAGTTCAAACTTTTCCACACTTTTTTTTTATATATATTTAGTGACCAGAGCAACCAGAAATCCATGTCCTAGTTCAGGTGTAAATATGCCATTTTTGAACCATTGTTTATCGAGCTTGGTGAGGCCAGTCTGGAAATTCAGTGTTCACACAAGTTCCTACATTCCATATTTCTTGATTCTTTAAGTAAAAAGTAGAGCAAATTCTATTTAATACTGAATAATGTTTTAGTTCCATCAATGATAGATTCACTTCCATAATGGCAGAAGGTAGCCGGATGACACAAGGTAGTGTGTAAACATCATTCAGCTTCATACTGCATTGATTATGTGCTGAAAGCTGTTTATCATATTTCCTTGCTAAGTCTTGGCTAGATGACTGATGGTCAATAAAATCAATAATAGCTGTTTGTTAAAAGCACCATAGATTTATCTGTGCCATGTTAGACTTACTAGATTGGATGAATGTCCAGTTTTACATTTGATTTTATGTGACTAATGCTCTTGGGATAACATTATTCCAAGATAATGGGACAGCATAAGTGACACCATTTTATTAGTTTTATGAATTGATGCACTTCATGATTGCATAAATATCAGCAGTGCTAGGTAATGGACTATATATATCTAGTAAAGTCAGCTGTTGATTTTTGTTTGCACTGATGAAAAGAAACTAAAGTACAGACAATCAAAAGAGGTAGATTATGTCATAGAGTAATTTGGCTTTGGATGAGCTGGGCTTACAGTTGAGCCTGTGTATATTTGACCATCCAAGATTTTGCCCTCTACAAAATCACAAAGCCTGTTATAAAGACCTGCTCTAGACAGAAAGTGTTTAATTCCCTATATTGCCATTTACTCCTCTCTGCAACCTGCTTTGTTCAGAGACTAATAATGCCTTAGACTGATAGACAGCGCAGGCCAGAACAGTGTTATTCTCTCAGGCTCTCCTGGAGCATGGGAGTAAGTGATGAATATTTGGTGCCACACAGTTACTTCTTAAAGTGCAGGCTGCAAGCAAAGTAAGAGTAAGAGGAGATGAGCAAAAACCTCAATAAAACTGACTGATGCTACCCAGCTAGAAAGTCAGTGTCACATGAATAAATCAGCGGTGGATGAGAATTAACCATCTACATGTACTCCTGACAGAAGGTGGCTATTCCCGCACCAAAGAATAATGTTTAGCATTCTATTTCCAAAGCCAGCTCTTTAAAAGGGACAGTTTCTTCTTTGATCAGAACTGTTAGTATAAAACACGCAGTTCTGCTTCTATGCAAGGCTATGAAAAACAGTTTTATTTGGCAGTGTTTAAATCCATTCTTAAACGATATCCTCCTCGGTTCACATATTCCTTTTTATATGGTGAAAGGTGGATCAGCTTTCTATTCTGAACTGGAATACGCATATTTTCTTTTAACCACATAGGCAAAAGGTACAAGAAAAAACTGAAAGTAAACAGATACTTGCTTACAGATTTAAACATGTTTTGTGTTTTCAAAAATGGACTTATAAATGTTTAGATGTGTAGAAATAAAGATACTTAAAATGCCTATGGATTTTTATTTTTAAAATCTACTTATTAGTTTATGGTTTTTTTGGTCTGTAATTATTAAAATCTACTTATTAGTTTATGGTTTTTATGTCTGTAAATTTTGGGATGCATTATTTTGTTAGAAGAGAGACAATGCTCCATGGTTGAGCTGGTAAAATCTTACTGTCTATTTGTTACTTAGTTCTGACAGAGAAGCAGGATGAACCCCATCTCTGTCAGGTAAGGTAATTATATAGGTAAGGTAATTAGGCCTATACCTCCGATGATCTGGTCTGTGGAATATTCAACATACTTGTCACCTCTTTCCTCATGCACCACAATTTCTTTTCTAAATTTATTTTGTCACAAGGAATCTTAGGAGAAAAATGACTCAATTTCTCAGTAATTTTCATATACGAGAACTAAAGGAGTCCAGCTATTTGTTATGTCATTGAAGTTTGTAAGTTCATAAAACTGTGCTTTATAGGTATGCTTCCTGGGCTTATCAGAAAGTAGAACAGAACAGCAGTTAAACATGTGAGTTGTAGAGTCAGACAGCCAGGATTCAAACTCTGACCCTGCCAATTACAACGGGTGTGACTTCATAATCTTCCTGTGTTCCAGTTTTCTCACAGGAAGATGTGTGGATTATGAAGATTAAATGAGAAAATGCTGTAAAAATCTTTAGAGCAGTGCCTGCATGTAGTAAGTGCCCAGTACATTTTAGCAAAAAGTATAAAATACAGGCTTTCAAATTTAATGATTACTGTCAGGCTAATTTGAGAAATTTAAAATACCGGGTTATATTGCTAGTTATTAGTCTTCCTCTACTGATTATTTTCTTCATTGAACCAACCTTTATCTAACTTCTACTAAGTACAGAAACGGAGTAAAAGAAGATAGATAAGAAACAGTCTATGGAATTGAGTTATTAGGGTTCAGTGGAAGATTTCTCACAGAAGCAATTATAATACAGTGGGAGGATGCTCAGGGTTAGAATACAGATATGGACGCTATGGAGGAGGGTGAGCTGAACAGGTGACAGGGCTGGGAAGAGAGTCTGGGACCAAACTGTGAAGAGGAAGGGGACTGAAATGACCAGATCTGTTTCAGACAATCAGGTACAAGCAGGAATTGAAACCACGGAGTGGATGAGTTTCTTGAGACAGGCGTGTTGAGGAGGGGGGAAAAGTAAATGATGTTTATTTATTCATGACTAGACACTCAAAAAAAGTTTTCTTGCTTTTGCAGCTTAAAATGAATCAGCCAAAATGAAGAAAACTCCCTCTCTACAGTTATTTAATAAAAAAGTGTCTGCAATTAAACACAGCTGGGGTGGGGGGAGGTGGCGGGCACTGCTGGTGCAGGTGTAACTCTGGTAGGTGGGGTAGCAGCATCAGGTTCCCGGTTGGCAGGCTGGTCTGGTCCACAGCTGTGGAGGCTGACTCATCTCAACTGGGTGTGGCCAGGTTAGTTGGTCTGGTGATCTGAAGGTTTGGTCTAAGAAACTGGGGGAGGGCAAGCGTAGTGGACAGGAAGGGAGGGGCTCTATGGAGAAAGTCAGAGGGTGTCAAGGAGAAGATAGCTAAGCAGGCAGATGGGATTGTGACTAGACCCATGGCCAACATGCTGCACTTTAGGCCTGGATAGTTTAAAAAGAAGGCAAAACCAGGGCCAAACAAAAGTGAAATGATGTCATGATGATTTCCCTGACACAGATGCAGTTAGAAAAAAGAAAACCTGCTGTTAGATATATTTTGCTTAGGTTTCTTGGGTAATCTCACTTGGAGTTAGGTCTCAGTTTAGGATAGGGGCCCAGTTTAGGGTTGTGAGAACACCCCAGGGGAATGATCTTGGCTTTGAGATGTCCTTTGGGCTGAATTAGATATGCTGCTTAACAAAACCTAGATGGTCTCTGATAGTGTAGGTACACTGTGGTGGCCATTTTATAGATAACTCTTGTTCTAAGGTTAAAAATTGACCCAAAATGTCAATATAAAAATATTAGCAAAACCTGGAATGCATTAAACAAGCATTTACTTCATAAGTTGTTATGCTATGTTGTCCCCAGAGCAATATTAAAGTTTTAAGCTTTTCATATTGTCTTTTTCTGCTCATCAAAAGTATCTTTAAAACAATCTATTTTTGTATACCACAGATTAATGAAAAACTCAATTAGACCAGTCATTTGGTATCATGTATACAAAACCTAAAAGTAGTCTAAAGTAGAATGAAGTGGTGGTTTTTAAAATTATATTACATTAATATTCCTCATGCCTAAAATCATTTTTTGAGTTATTTACAATAGAAAGGGGGACAACATGTATTCCAGTCCATACATATAAATACTACAAAACTTATGTTAATTATTTTTACCTCTTTGACTTTTAATGTTTAAAAAATAAAATAAATTTAACTTTTAACATTTGCTTTAAGAATTAATGCAAGATTTAAGATTTAAGGATAGGTTTGCTGCAGGCATAGTTTTAGGTATTCTAATCTACATAGACAAGAAATGAATAACAATTACTTACTAACTTATTCACTAATAACTACCTGAACTAGTGTTCTCCAAACTTGTGTGGCACTCTAACAGAGTTTCCAAAGTTAGACAAATTTGGAAAATGCTACATTGAATCAAGTGGCTTTGTTTGTTGCAGGATGTGTATACATAGGCATATTGATACAATATACAATGTGAACTACCTGCAGCCTGTTCAGAATGGAGAGTCTCAAACTTATTTAACTATGGAAAACTCGTGGGAGCAGAGTTTGAGAAATGCTGACCTAGAGTATAGATAAAACAAAAAGAATTGTGGAGTGCTCATACATATCTTCAGAGGTTTTCTTGCCTTTGAAAACAAACAAATCAATTATTGGCAGAAGTTCGATTTCAGGACCTCCCTGTCTGGCCTAATGTTCTTAAAAGTGTCATCACTACATACATGGAGTAATTTCGAGTTGGTAAAAAAAAAAAAAAATCTCTTCGGCCTCTTTGTGAAAAACCTCACAATAAAAATAACTGAAGAAAATAACCAAAAGGCTAATAAAAGCTACCTAGTGGTGAATGGGTAGATAACATTGAATATGATATGATTTCTGCTTCATTGAATCAAAAACCGCCCCTCTATTTGTATTTATGGCATCAGAATGCAGCCTTCTAAACACAATATTCTAAAGACAATATCTAGGATGAATAAAAATTAGAATCTTAAAGTATTTACATGTGTTAATTCATATGCTTTTGTAAGTCAGGACTTCTTGGTTGCAAGTGGCAGGAAACCAACACAAACAAGCTAAAGCAAAGAAAAAAAAAAAAAGACTCTCAGTGGACACTGACATGAATAAGTAAGAAATTAGATGCCATTATAATTCACTGAGATTCGAAGATTTGTTACTGGAGCATAGTCCAACCTGACTGATGCTGAGAGTGAACTTAGTTTCTAGCTTTATAGTTCCATTCTCCTTGTGAGTTGATTTTATTTCACTTCCCATGAAATCCTCTGAGATCACCTAAGTGGGTTTCTGATCCTTTCAATGAATAATCCCTGATAAAACTGATAAACAAATGATATTTATTTATAACTATTTGATTCTTAAACATTTATCTTGTTATAGGTTCTTCTATCCTTCTGTAGGCCAAAGTTAAGTTGTATGTGTATATACACTTTGAAAAGTCCACCAACTTGTTTAGGTGAGGAAAGTGCAATTTATCATACTGATGGTAAGGACAAATGTTCCCTGTACATTATTTTCATTACACAAGAACAGATGGCTGTGATAATTGTCTCTTACTTTATGCAAACTGTGATTTGACCTGAAACTCCAATTAATAGCATCTTTTCATGGCATATACAGGAGAAACAATTTCTGCTACTTCAAACTGGTAACAATATCTTTATTGGAGAATCTGAAAAAAACGGAGCCTTATCAGCTATTTCAGCTTACTTAGAGAAAAACAGAATACTTTTGTTTAATATATAAATCTTTGTATAGTATTCTTATTTCTTGAGCTTAATTCAACTGAATATTCTCTCTGGACCCATGAGGAAGAGTCTCACTCTTTTAGGCCACCTTTCAGAGCAGCTTTGGACTGTACCCTATGCTCTGAAAAGGATCCAGAAAAGTACCCCAAGTTGGGGGATGAGATTTTTACGCAGTAATTGTTGACTGGTGAGACATTGACTCTGTTTGACATGAATGTTTATGGTTGTGTTGAACTGAAATTAGTAAATTATAAACATTTAATTTACCTTATCAAAATCCTTTCACAATTGTAATTTTAACTCCCTTATATCTTTGTAGGTGGGAAGTACAGACAGGTGATGATACTTGCAAAAAGTTTCCTGCAAGTAAGTGGCAGCATTGGTTCTATAACCTGGATCTCCTGTTATCTAGTTCTTTCCATTATGCCTGGGTACAAAGAGGAATAACTGTCTTCTCTGTAACATTTTCCTTAATATCTGTAAAAATGTTTACATGGCACACAGAATGTTCTAATTGTACTAGAAGTAAATCAAAAGAAATGTAAAAACATGAACATATGCTGCCTGTTACATTTACCACAGGAATATATAGACTATATTGTGTTTACTGCTGACATATAGTTAACTGAATATCATTTTAGTGGCATTATATAACACATTTTGCTACATAAATATTTAATGAGATGCCACCATAAAGCTAAGCAGATATTTTTCTCCAGGATATTTTAGAATTGAAGGCATATTAACTGACAGTTTATTTTAAAATATTGTTTAAATTGCAAATTTTCATTTATAAAAACAAAGGTAAGAGAAAAATAACATTTGAGACAAGATTAAGAATGAATAGTGTTTAGAATAGAAAGGAAAAGAAAATCTTTGCTCAGTAGCATGAACACAGAATAATTGTTACAAATATGTTACTGATTCAGTGACTTCATTTTTTTATTTTGAGACAGTCTTGCATCGTCACCCAGGCTACAGTGCAGTGGTGAGATCCTGGCTCACTGCAACCTCTGCCTCCCAGGTTCAAGCAATTCTCCTGCCTCAGCCACCCAAGTAGCTGGAACTACAAGGCATGCACCACCATGCCCAGCTAATTTTTGATTTTTCAGTAGAAATGGAGTCTCAACATGCTGGTCAGGCTGGTCTTAAATCCTGGCCGCAAGAGATCTGACCGCCTCGGCCTCCCAAAGTGCTGGGATTACAGGCATAATCCAGTGCACCCAGCCCTGATTCAGTGACTATTGAAACCCCAGGAATTCAAGGATAATATCAGGATTTAGGAATGTGAACTGCTTAAAATCACAAAGTAATAGTAGTGGTTTCTATTGCCCATTTTAAAGTATCTACAAAATCACTTTTTTGGTGTTATAATTCTTTTAACAAGTACGTTGAATAAAGGAATATAGTTAAGTACTGGCACTAAATAAAAACTGCTACCAAATATTTGACTTATAAGACCATTATTATTATTATTATTATTCATGTGTTATTATTTTTCATGGAGTTTTGAAGACCAAAAATATCTGAAAAACATTTTAATCTGGCCAGTTGAAAACTAGTGAATTTCAACCAGATGTTTTTAATACCACTTTAAAAATAAACTGCAGCCATTTTATTATATCTTGAGTGTGTAAGATGATGATTTATGCCTGTGGGAAATACTTATCTGCAGGACTTGCTTTATCAGTAGAAATGACTAATATGATAGAATATGAATGACAACTTTTCAGGTCTAGTAATAACCTGTGTTGATAACTAACTGCCCAATTTTGGAAACCTAGTTAGTATAGTTCTTTGCTGTCCTATTTTTGCAGGGCATAGAAATTCTGGCCCATGGGCTTTTGTGGAGATAGAAGTACCATTAACTAAAACATA
The DNA here is from genome assembly GCF_000001405.40 of Homo sapiens. NCBI lineage: Eukaryota > Metazoa > Chordata > Mammalia > Primates > Hominidae > Homo > Homo sapiens. Next base: position 51,091,546 of record NC_000014.9, read on the forward strand.
AACTATATGAGAAAACTGGCTGCTAACACATTAACTTCCTTATTAAGTAAATAAGGTGGGGGAGTAATGTTTGTTGTTCATCTAACAGATGACAAGTGAATGTTAAAATCTGTCATCCTTCTGTCTTATTTTTTTTCTTGGCAGTTTAGTAATCCTCATATTGACTGAACAAAAATTATGTGTCCTTACTGTTTTGGAAAAAATGTGCAAAAGATCAGAGAATAAATGGTCTTCTAGCCTACTTATGTCATGTTTCAAGGGTTTTAACATTCTTTTGTGGCAGGTAGATATCTAAATCTCAACCCAGGCAGCACCAGTGTCTGTCTACTCATAATTTCTATTGCCAATAAAACAAATGATTTAACATTTCAAATTGACATGGGGCTTGACAGAGATTTAAAGGTTTCTTTTGGTCTTAATAGATCAAGGATAGGCTTGTCATAAAAAAAATAATAATGTTGTGGTTTACCCATCCTAATTACCTTGTGGCTCTAAATTCTTTTTCCTGACAGAGTGATTAATTTTTTAGTTCCAAGGATACTTTGTAGGGCAATTCAACATGGACTATAATTAGCAGTTTAAAAGTGAAATCAAAATATGAATAAAAAACTAGCTGTGAACTCAAGTTTTGAAAACTTTCAAAATTAAATGTCATTTTCAAAAATTTAAATTCGACTGTTCTGAAAACAGTGGTGTGTGCCCAGTTAGGCTTCAATTTGTGCTAAATGAAATCCCCATCAGTACTAATATGATTTAATAGGTTATATGTGAGAATAGAATGACTGTAAACATGGATCACATTCAACCGGGTTAAGGAGTTGAGAAAACTTTCACTGATTGCTGAAAATTAATGACATTTTTTTCTTGCTGTAAACAAAATATCAATGTTCCAGCCTTAACTCCACAGTTGGCCACTTGCAAAAGCTACCCTTTCTAGTCTCCAAGGAATTCTGGGAGACTCTGAGCAAGGCCACAGCTGAGGCCTGGACACTATCTTCACTGCTCCATCTCATCCTTGGGTATGCAACTCAGTGATGTAAAGAAAAGCTCCTTCCAACCATCCTGAATCCCTGCCCTGCACTCCACAGCCCCAACTAAATGGATCATTTAAAAAATGAAAAGCAAATTCATGCACATCTCCTCAAGAGTTGCTCCCTTCCTTCTAAGCAGTGTGGGCATATTATAAGGATCTTCTTCCTCATGAGGCTTATTTCGTTTATGTCTGTGTGTGTACAGGGAGCAATAGATAAATACAAAAAATAACATAATTAAAATATATAGCATGCCACACAGGGATAAATACTACTGAGGAAAATAAAGCTGAGAGGGAACTAGCGGGTGTCTGGGTGGGTGGCGCTGCAAAGATGATACCTGAGCAAAGAGCTGAAGGATGCAGGTAAGTGACCCATTCGGATCTCAGGTAACTGGGGAAGAGAGCTTCAGGCTGAATGAACACCAAATGCAAAGGCCCTGGAGTAGGGAGGTGCCTGGCGTCGTTTGAGGAACAGTAAGAAGCAGTGTGGCTGGAGCAGAGGGAGTAAGTGGGAGGCAATGAGGTCGAAGGGGCCAAAATGGAAGAGGTCATGTAGGACAGGCTGAGAAGCGTGGGAAAAATTGGAGGGTTTTGAGCAGAGGAGTGGCACGACAGAATATGTTGCTAAAGCCTCTTCGTGTCTAGCCATGGTGGAAATATCATCAAAAGAGACTGGAAAGATAAATCTGGTAACAGGTGTCCCAAAGTTTGCACATATAACTACTGAAAGAGGAAAGGGCTTGAATTCCGGAGAAGTGGGTGTGTGTATAGTTGGGAGGAGAAGGTTTCCCTAGGAGATGCACCTGTCTGGCTTCCAGGCCGCGACTGCGCAAACTCCGGTCCTGACACTCTAGTCTCAGGTCCCAACTCCGGAAGGGTTCAGGCCCAAGCCTGCACGTCGCGTTGCCATGGCGACCGCTGGCTGCCCTCTCCGCTCTGTCTTTTGAGCACGTGGCACCAGGACCCCGCGTTCTCTCCAGCTCGAGAGCCAGGTCTGGCCCAGAGCCGGGCTCATCAGTATTCCGCCTGCGGCGTCTCCCCGACCCTCCGCCGTGCCTCACCAGGTCCGCCTATCCAGCAGCGACAGACTCCCGCCGTCCGCGCGACCCCACCGCCCCCATCCCAGTCCCTCCCCGAGGGTTCGCAGCCCGCCCTGCCCTCGAGCGTGCCTAGCGGCCCTGGGCACTGGCGCGGCTCTACCCAGCTATGCAGTGCTTTCCCACACACTGGCCGCGGCCACTGGCTGCAGACCCGCCGCGGAAAGGGGGCGCCCTGAGTCCCGCTCGCAGGCAGCGCGCCCCGAGAGACCCGCTCTAAGGCATCCCCGCAACAACTCTGTGGGGGCATTCAACTCCCCCGTGCGCCGGTTAAGATTCCCCCATGCCTCCTGCAATGCACCAGACCAGGGAGGTAAACATCGAAGGCACCTGCATTGCGCCCCCACTGGGATGCGCTGTGCGCAAGAGACGGGGACCGTCTGCTGCAAAACCGGATGATCGGAGACGCAGGGAGTTAGGAGTGGGTTTTCTTAGGACTCACCTTATGTAGTTTCCACATGGCCCCCAGAGCCTTGACTTCGTGGCTGGAGTGTTTGCCCTCCTCCAAGCACTGGTAGCACACGGGCATCTTGCATTGCACGCAGTACATGCTGTGGTTCTCCAGCTCGTGGTCTGTGCAGGTGGAGACCTTGCGTGGGCTCAGCCTCCGGCTCACACGACCCTGGGCCGGGGGCACCAGGCGGTGCTTGGCTAGGGGCCCCCGGGGCGGGTGGCAGCGCAGGCGGCACGGATCGCAGTAGAAGACATCGCACTGTTCGCACATGACGGTGGCTTCCTTGGGCGCCTTCTCGCAGAGCTGGCACTTGAGGGCCGCGGCTTTGCTCTGCTGGTAGCGGTCAATTACCCCTTCCAGTACGCGATTCTTGGGGAAGCCGCGGAGCCCCCGGTCATCCAGGATGAGGCTGCGGTGACACTGGGGGCAGGTGATACAGGAGTTGCGGGGCACCGGGGCCAGGGCCGGTGACAAGTGGGTGGCCGGTGGCGGCATAGCCGGGGGAAACACGCGGACGCCGTTGGGGGACTTCTGGCACGGGGTAGTGGGGGCGCTGGCGAACCCCCCGTAGGAGCCATAGCCGCTGTCCGCCTCGCTGTATAGGCTCATCTTGTCCAGGTCCAGATAGTCATAGTCGGAGACCCCGGAGCCCGCGGCCCGATGGCTCTGGGGGGATTCAGACTCTGGGGTCTGCACCAGGATGTTGCGGGCGCACGCCTGACACAAATTGTGAGAGCAGGGCAGGATGATGGGCTCCCGATAGAAGGAGCCGCACACGGGGCATTTCAACTCCTCTTCCATCTCCTCCATGGGGACCGGTCTGGGAGGAGACAGCGACGGCTGCAGCGGGTGCCTGAGCTGGCGAGGTGGCCGACGGGCCCGTCTTGTCCAGCACCCTGGCCAGCGGCGGCGGCTGTGGTGGTGGTGCCTTCCCGCGCAGCACTGGCACGGACACCCAGAGAGGCGCTAGCTCTGTGAGCCGCAGCCGCGTAGCCGCCGCGCCGCGCGCCAGCCCGGACCGCCCCTACCTGCCCTCCTAGTCCCGCCCCGGCCCATGAGCAGCGGCCCATTGGGCGGGGGGCAAGAGATCGAAGCTCTCATTGGCCACCAGACCCGTCCGTCTCCTCGTCTCCGCAGGCCACAGGGGGTTCGGTAGAGTCTGAGGATAGGGCAGTCTTCGCTCGCGGCTGCAAGATCTCTGAAGGGGGCCGGCGTGCGGAGGCTAGGGGACCGGGAAGGAGGAGTTAGGCGGGATGATTCATCCTCGCCCGGCTTACTTCCGACCTCCGGTGCAGTCTCCCAGGAGCTGGGGGCGTGAGAAACCCCTCCCCGCAGCGAGTGGGCTGCCGGAGGGGGCTGGGGCTTCTCGCCAGCGTTTGCGTTTGGCTCCCAGCTCTGAGCTCCGCGCCCACCTACCGCGGGCGAGTGCTGCGCAGCACGGAGGACGCCCCTTCTCTTCCGCTGCTGGCAGCCTTCGCAGGCGTCTCACCCGGGCCTAGGCTTCTGCACGGCAGTGGGGCTTTTCTCCTTCTCCGTGAATCCGCTGACGCCGTGCCCTGGAGCTCCCCCATCCCGGGAGTCTGACGGCGCTGGCGCAAGCCCTGGCGACACTCTTGGCTTCTTTCATCCTGCGTCCCTCGTTTCCTAAAGAGCATGTATAAAGTCGATTTCCTAGTGTCGACATGAGATTCAACTGGGTAACCGATGGAAATGGTCAGCATTAGTCAGAATCTATGACCCCTTCGTTTCATGCTTTAAATTATAGCTCGGCCCAGAGGCCTCAGTGCCGTGGTGTGAACGTGCTTCCTTCCACGGATCCTTCTTCCTCCTCGCGGCCTCCCAAAGCACCTGGCTGAGCTTTTTCGAGGCCCGCTGGGCCTTTGGTTCGGTTGAGGCAAGAACAGTTTGTCTATTTCTGAGTGCCCGTAGTTTAGTAAAGCTCTGTAAATGAATCACTGTGTGACTGCGGAGTCTCAGTGTTTCACTCCAAACAGCATTATTCAACCCCACGTGCCCTGGGCATCTGCCATAGCTTACAGCATCGTGTGCCTTTCTGTTTCTTCCAACGAGGGGCATGGTGAGGCGGTGATTCTAGTGTTAGTCCCTGTACAAGGAGGGAGGGAGGGAGGGAAGAAGGGAAAGAGGGAGAGAGGGAGGAAGGAAGGGGGGGGGAAAGGAAAGGCGGAAGGAAGGGAAGAAAGGGAGGGAGGAAGAAGAAAAGGAAAGGAAAATCTTTGAGTCAAGTGACATTCTGAGGTAGTAACATTTGAAATAGTACATAGCCGGCTTTTGCTGAATGATTCATGAAGTAAAGGACAAAAACTCTTTGCAAGTTCTAGAAATATTCCAATTTTCCACCTTCCAGACAGGAGATAACTTGATTATATGCAGCTATGTTGATAATTTAAAAGTACTTTATTGTCCAGAAAAAAAATGGACATTTTATTACACTGCCCTTGTAGAAATTGTCCAATAAACTAGGTTATCTTTTCAACATCTTTAGTTGCAGTGAGAACAGTAGTTGATCATTGTGTGGGGGAATAAAGTCCCCATTGTTATTTAAAGCCATGTTAATCATAAATGTGACGTGATTTATTTTTAAGCTGGCTTTCAACTAGTTGAGACCAGAGCATCCAAAGGTATATGCACTCTGTTTACAGACATAGATAAAATTTCTTCAGGTATGGTTGGGACATTAGCTGCACTTGCAGGATACACTTAATTTATAGGTCCCAAGAGAAATTACTAATAATTATATTCAATATAGTATTAATTGAATTGTAATGAAAGTTAATTATTGAGAAAATATTAGAAAGGAGTGTCCTTTTATGGCTTTTGTATGCATTTGACCACAAGTCACAATATCTTGGACCAGCAAGGTGAGCAGCTGTTACACTTTGTATGAGTTTGAACTCTGCTTATAATAGTATATCATCTAAGAGATCTTATTAGCAGAAAGTTTATGCTTAGTTCAAAGTAAAGAAGAATTTTAGAGGATGTCTCATGGTGTAATGCAGTGTTGGGTTCGCAAAAAGAACAACACAGGTTTATAATATAGTCAATATAGAAAGATTTGGTCTATTATGAAGTCGCTTGAGATGATTTCATTGTTAGATCTGTTTGTTTAGGAATTAGCTAAATCAGTCAATCCTAGGAGAGCTCTTAAAATGACTCATTTGTTGAGAGTTCACCCTGTTCCAAACAGGGGATTTATTTATTTGTATACATTACTTGGTTAAATCCCTGTAATTACAAGAAGAGGTAGGCACAATTATTCCCATTTTACAGATAAATAAACTGAAGATAAGCAAAGACACTTAAGTACTCAAGGTCAAATATGGTGAGGCTGGGATTGGAACCCGGACACATATAAGTTTGTTCCTTTGTTCATTCATTCATTCATTCATTCATTCAACAAGTGCTGAGTTCTACTCTCTTCAAGCTCTGAATGTGATAAGTACCCAAAATGTTCTTTGTTAACTTCTATGATATTCTGCTCACCTTCTCTGAAAGTTTACTTTTTTTTTCCTTTTTTTTTTTTGAGACTGGAGTCTTGCTGTGTTCCCCAGGCTGGAGTGCAGTGGCACAATCTTGGCCCACTGCAACCTCCACCTCCCAGGTTTAAGTGTTTCTCGTGCCTCAGCCTCCTGAGTAGTTGGGACTACAGGTGTGCACCACCATGCCTGGCTAATTTTTACATTTTTTTTTTTTAGTAGAGACAGGGTTTCACTATGTTGGCCAGACTGGTCTCAAACTCCTGACCTCAAGTGATCCACCTGCCTCAGCCTCCCGAAGTGCTGGGATTACACGCATGAGCCAGCGCTCCCAGCCAAAAGTTTACTATTTTTCTTTGAATCCATTTCTTTAAAATATTCTTGAAGGCCTTTGAAGATTTTCCCCTCATGTTGCACTGTTTGGCCATAATGTGCTTTATAGCCCCCCAATGACTTATGTTTAAAAGGGAATAAAAATTGAAATGTAATTGGTAATATTATAGAAATATTATACTATTGAGGGGATATCTTCTGTCTTCCAGCTGGTGATCAGTCCATGCCCTGAAGCACAAGGATTGATAGCCCTGTAATTTCATCATTCCTGGGATGATTGCAGATGTTCTCTTTTGTGTAAAGTGCCTAATTATCCTTTGAAACTTACTATTCACCCAAATTATGTTCTTTAGCAATGAGAGCAATTACATTTAAAGTGCAACAACAGCTTTTGCATTTTTAAAAAAAGATAAATGTTTTTCTTTTTTTGATAAATGTTTTTCAATGAAAAATTGAGTTGCTTTCCTATTTGCTTTTGACTACAATGCTTGATTATTAACAAAACAGTCTCTGTGAGTCTAAAGAATGAACACAGAGAAGAAAGGTTTTTCTTTCCACATTCTCTCCTAGAGTAGTCTATCCTTAGTTGTGGGAGGGGGGTGGAAATCAGTGAAAGGAGCTGATCTTAGGCTCTAACATTTTAAGATTATCTGACATGTATATAAAAATATTTTATTAAGGTATTTGAATAAGGGTCTTGCTGCATGTGGTTTGTAAAAGTACATCACTTGAAAAGTGATAAATGTGATGTTTCTATTCTCAATAGAAATTCTGAAGAAACTTCTTTTATGGAATAATTTACCCCATTTAGTCTACTAATATTCAATTTTATACTTATAATTTTGTACTATTCTTTAATAACATTTATTGTTGATATCCTTTGGTAATTTAAATTATTTGATTATTATAGTGAATTATGAGCTTTTTCCCATTTAGTACTACTGGAAGATGGCCATATTCAAATTCTGTAGTATTTCTTATTGTAAGTAATATATTACTGATGCTTTGGGAAGGGTAGACTGGAGAATCGGAGAAAATGAAGATTTAATGAATCCTATATGGAGGTAAGAGAGCTAGAGGATAAATCCAGAAGACCTAACTTGTGAATAATAGGAATCTCAGAATGAGGAAATAACACAGGTGGAGGGAAAACCATAGTTGGAAAACATTTCTCTGAACCAAAAAAATATATAAAATTACAGATTGAAAGGATTTTAGAATTATAGATGACATTAATGAAAAAAGACCCAGTTATATACAGACACAATTCTTAACTCAGAAGAAAAAAAAAAGATCATTTTACAAGCTCCCAGAAAGAAAGAACAACTTAATTGTAAAGAAAAAAGAATCAGATTGGCATTGGACTGCTTTCTACAACCTTGCAGGTGAAAATAATGTGAAACAAATTCTACAGCCTACTAAAACTGAAAGAAGTCACCCTGTCATAGTCCGTTTTTGCTGCTATAACAGAATACCACAGACTGGATAATTTATAAGAAACAGAAATATATTGGCTCATGGTTCTGGAGGCTGGGAAGGCCCAAATCAAGACACTGGCATCTGGTGAGGGCCTTCTTGTTGCATCATCCCATGGTGGAAGGGCAGAGAGAGGGCAAGATAGAGGGCAAGAGGGAGCTGAACTTCTCCTTTTATAAGAAACCCACTCCCGCGATAAGAAACCTATTCCCATGGTAATGGCATTAATCCATCCATGAAGGTGGTGCCCCTGTGACCTAAACACTTCTTAAAGGTCCCAACTCCTGACACCTTCTCACTGGGGATCAAGTTTCTAACACATGAACTTTCGGGGACGCAGTCAAACCATAGCACAGCTTAAATATTTTATAGCCTGCCAAAAGATCATTTGCTTGTCTGGTCAAAGAAGAATATTTGCAAGAATTTAAAGAATAGAGCATTCACACATTCCATCTGAGAAAAATACTTAAGAAGACTTTTAAATAACAAATAAATCTTAACAGAGTCCCCAGAATGGGTTAGGAGCGAGTGGGGACCTGAAAGCATCCTAAGGACTTGATACTGGGGAGAAAGAAGAAATGAGAAAGGAAAGGTGGGAAATAAAATGTTTCTGTTGGAGGGATTATTTGGTATACTTTTTTCTTACATAATATTAAAACATTACATGTATTATTAGGCCTGGGAAAGGAATATAACTATTTATTCCGTGGAAAGTAAAATAGAACTTGCAAATTAACACACATGGGGAAAGTATTCTGTGAAACTCTATGACGACGATTTTTAAAACATAAAGGAAAGGGATACTTTCTGACAAAAATATATTAATTGAATCAATCCCTCAAAGTAGAAAGATTGAGTAGACCAACCTCCATAAAAGGGATTTGAAAGATAATTTCAGATTTGTCATTAATAAGGAGAGGATGGTTACACCGATGAGTTCTAGTTAAATTTTTTAAAATAAGCAACTTTAATGGTATTGAAATAATCAAAACTAAAGAAAAATATGGACTATTTCCCAGTCTATGAAGCCATCATAACTTTAATAACAAAACATGATTATATAGTTAATAGAGAACACAATAAATAAAAAACTATGGCCCAAAAACTAAGTGTTAGATGTAAAAGTGCTAAATAGGATGTCAGCAAATAGATTTCAGATTTGTATAACAAGATTAACAAACTATGACCAAGTAGGGTTTTTCCTACGACTGCAAATATAGTTGAGTATCAGGAAAACTATCAACAGAATTTATTACATGACAAATTAAAGGGGAAGAATTCCCTCTTTTGGCCACATGGGAGTAATCTTCCGTCCATCAATGACTAAAAAGCAGGAATAACTATAAGAAACAACCATTGTCAGACACTGGCAGGAAGTGTAGGGCTTTAATTCCTGGGAGAAGCCAACAAAGAGATGAGCCCTACCATCAGCCAGGATTTCTACCAGATGACAATTTCCAGGCTTTGGAACACAGAAGAGGAACCCAAACGAAGCTCACCAGTCTCCCCTAGTTGAAGAGACAGAGAATTTTGGGAAAGCCAAGAGAGCTAGAATTTGCAGAGAGTGAAGAGATAAACAGAGTTTCAGGTATCTGTGTGGGGATTTGCTTGGACTTTTGACTAAACACAATATGTGCATGTATAGGGTGAACCTCCACCAGACTGGACAGTAACAACTTCTGAGGAAAGAGCATTTATTGGAATTGTAATACCAACAATTCTAAGAGCACACACAGAACCAGGAATCATTCATATTCCCTTCAGCCAGAATGAAGAGAACGCACTGAATGTACAAAAATCAACTGTATCTCTATGTACTAACCATGCACAATGAGCAGTTGATATTAAAACTACCATTTACATTAAGAAAATTAACTCTACAAAATATGTGCAAGATCGAGGCACTGAAAACTATAAAACATTCCAGAGATAAATTAAAGATGACCTCAGTAAGTGAAAAGATATACTATATTCAAAAAATGGAAAGATATACATCTGAGCCCCTGTCGGGTCCCCATCCTAGCAGTGTGAATCTTCTCCCAAGGGGACCCTGAGGTAGGGGCATGAAGCATTCCTAGACTGGGGAGTCCCACACGTGCCCCGGAGACAGCTGTAGCAAACAAGCTGCCCTCCCCATTCCTGACAGCTTGGGCCTCAAGGATGGCCAGGGGCCACCTGCCAGTCCAAGGCAGCTCCATGTTGGAAGCAAAATAGATGGAGGTGAAAGTGGAATGTGAGAGGGGCTGCAGCTCACGCCTTCCTCTTCAAGTGGGATGGAGGCAGGGGGGTCAGCCCTCCTCCTTGTCTCTCACCCACACAGGCCCCCCACCTCTCCTTCAATAAGCAGAAAAATATGCTATATTCAATAAATTGAAATATATACTTAGACTGAATATGGCTAAAATGGTAATTTCCTCCAGATTGATCTATATAGATTCAATATGCTTCCAGTAAAAATTTCAGAAGGTTTGTTTTTTGGTAGAAATTGATAAATTGATTCTAAAATGTACATGAATATGCAAAGAAGCTAGAACAGCTAAAACTGTTTTGAAAAAAAGATAATACTTGAAAGAGTCATACTAACTGATTTTAAAACTTATTATGAAGCTGTAGTAATTAAGGTATTGTGTTAGTGACTTAAGGATTGACATATAGATCAATGAAAAAGAATAGAATCCAGAGATAGACTCACACATCTATAATCAATTAATTGTATGTAAAGATTCTAAAGCTGTATGGAAACAGCTATTAAAGTAAAAAATATACCCACTTTTCAACTCACCAATTCCATTGCTAGAAAACTACATTATAAAAAACATCAATATGTAAGAATACTTGTAGAAAGATGTTTATATTGTCCCCAAACTAGAAAAAAAACAACTTCCAGTGATAGTGTCATCATTGAATAGATTATATTGCATCCATGCCATGGACTATGATAAATCCATTAAAAATAATTAATTCATTAGCATTTGATTTAGAGGGATTTCCATCAAATATTGTTATTGGGAAAAATAAGATACATAGGAGGGTACATAAGATAATTTCACTTTTGTCAGGCTGACAGTGCCCCTCCTTAAAACACCTCTATGTACATATGTTTACATATGATTATATGAAGATGTAGAAATTTATTAAAGCACGCTCACCAGGTCGTAAACCGTGGTTACCTGGAAAAATCGGGGTGAATTATAGGTGGAGATGGAGGGGGTAGAGTATAAGCCGTTAAAAAGGTACCAATTTTATTTTACTTCCCCAGCATATGGGATATTTTACTTATGTAAACTAAGTTTATGAGTGACTGTATGTTCCTCTCTCTCTCTCTCTCTCTCTCACACACACACACACACACACACACACACACACACACACACACACACGTCTATTTTAAAGAAAAATACCTAGAGTATGCTGCTGCTGTTGTGTGCTTAGTTCTGTATATCCATTAGGTCTATTTGGTCTATAATGTTAAATCCACTATTTTCTAACTGATATTCTTTCTGGTGTTCTATTCATCACTGATAGTGGAGTTATTGAAGTCCCCTACTACTATTGTATTGCTACTTGTCCCTTCAGAACTCCCAGTGTTTGCAGTGTGTATTTTGGTGCTCTAATGCTGTGAGAACTGACCTTTTTATCCTTATAAAAATATTTTTGTTTATTGTGAGTTTGTGAATAATATTTGTGAATAAATATTTCTTTGTATATTGTGAGTTTTTGACTTAAAGTCTATTTTGTGTCATATAAGGATAGCCAGCCTGCTTTTTTTGGTTTATGACTTTCATTGAATAGATTTTTCCTTCCATTCACTATTAGCCTATGTGTGTCCTTAAGTCTAAAATGGGTCTCGTGTAGGCAACGTATAGTTGAGTTTTGATTTATATTCATTTAGCCACTCTATGTCTTTTGATTGAGGAATTTAATACATTTACATTTCAAGTAATTATTGATAGGGGAGAACATACTATTGCCATTTTGTTAATACTTTTTTGAGTTGTAATTATTTTCTCCTTTTCCTTTCTTGCTGTTTTCTTTTTTGTTTCATTGATTGTTTTGTAGTGATATATTTTAATTTCTTTCCCTTTTTCTTTTGTGTATCTTCTATATGTATTTTCTTTGTGGTTACTATAGGCTTACATAAAACATCTTATATTCTTTTTTTCTTTTTACTCTTCTAATTCAGTAATTTCAAATAACCTGTCTTTACACTGATAATTTCTTCTGCTTGAACAAGCCTGCTGTTGGACCAGTGTAGTGATTTTTTTCAACTTAGTTATTGTACTCTTCTGCTGCAAAATTTTAGTTTCATTCATTCTCTCTCTCTCTCTGAAAGTTTATACCTCTTTGTTGATATTTTCATTTTGTTTATACATTGTTTAACTGATTTCATTCAATTGTGTTCTGTTTAAGCTACCTTATTTAATACAGCTATTTTGAATTCTTTGTCACATAATTTATAGCTCTCTACTTCCCTATGGTCAGTTTCTGGACATTAATTTAGTTCCTTTATTTGGGCCATATTTCTCTGTTTCTTCATATGCTTGTGATTTTTTAAAATTTTTTTTATTTTTTCAGACAGAGTCTTGCTCTATCACCCAGGCTGGAGTGCTGTGGCATGATCTCGGCTCACTGCACCCTCCGCCTCCCAGGTTCAAGCAATTCTCCTGCCTCAGCCTCCTGAGTAGCTGGGATTAAAGGCACCTGCCACCACACCTGGCTAATTTTTGTATTTTTTAGTAGAGATCGGGTTTCATCATATGGGCCAGGCTGGTCTCAAACTTCTGACCTCAAGTGCTCTGCCCACCTCAGCCTCCCAAAGTGCTGGGATTACAGGCGTGAGCCACTATGCCTGGCTGCTTGTGATTTTTTTTTTTTTGAGACTTGGGAATTTAAAAAGCCAGCTACTTCTCTTTACCTTTTTTGAGTACCTTCAAGAGAAGGGGAGATCATCACCAATCAGCCTGCATCAGAATTCTGAGGGCCTCTCAATCTTTTTCTGGAGATGTGTCTTCTCTAGCCTTGTGCATATAATTTCCCAGTTAGAGAGGTTTATGAATTTCTTTTTCAGGAGCTTGTAGTCTCTTGCTATCTCTGGTGCCTGTCTGTTGTACTGAAGGTTATTGGTGCTGCAACAAGTTGCTAAGCTCTCCTTTGCTCTCTGTAGCTCCCAGGCATCCAAAGTATGCTATTTCTTTCACCACTCTGAGCCAGGTGAGACAGAAACCAGTCCCTCAGGCAGCCCCCACACCCTCTGCAAGCTGGAAAATTAGATGCATGTTGCACCCTTCTCTTTCAAACCAAGAACTGAGCCTCATCTCCTGATAGCACTGAGCTGTGCTGGCTTCTGACTGTGGTGCTGCAGATTCTCTCATGCTGCAGCAAAGGAAGCCACTTTTATTCTCTGAGTTCTATTTTATTCTCTGAGCTTCTAGGTATCCAGAGTATGCAGGTTTCATCAGGACTAAGTTAGGCAAGAAGGAAACCAGTCTCTTGACCAGCTTCTGAAAAGCTGGAACATTGCATGCATGTTCCACTCCCATCTTCTCTTTCTCTCCTGAGGAGAAACCACAAATTGGACACTTTCTCCCAGCTGTGCTGGGCTATGTCAAATTGGGTGAGGGGTAATTGAAGGTAGAAGGCAACGGCTTACCTTCATTTCAATGCAGCTGTTCTCAGCTTTGTGCTCACCTGGGGTACTTTGACTTCTTAACCAGTTCCTGGAGTTCCTGTAAAGACATTTTGGACTGGACATTCTTGTTAAGTCTCTTAACAAGGGAGTTACAACTGGAGCCTCCTACTCTACCGTCTTGCTGATATCACCCTTTTTTTTTTTTTTTTCCAAGACAGAGTCTCGCTCTGTCACCCAGGCTGGAGTGCAGTGGTGCGATCTGGGCTCACTGCAACCTCCGCCTCCCGGATTCAAGCTATTCTTCTGCCTCAGCCTCCTGAGCAGCTGGGACTACAGGTGCCCGCCACCACGCCTGGCTAATTTTTGTATTTTTAGTCGAGACGGGGTTTCACCATATTGGCCAGGCTGGTCTCGAACACCTGACCTTGTGATCCGCCTGCCTCAGCCTCCCAAAGTGCTGGGATTATAGGCATGAGCCACTGCACCCAGCCCACCCTTCCATTTTTAAATACAATTCAGTTTATTGTATTTCTAGCATGTATAATATAATTTTCCATTTTAAACTTTAAAAAGATTTCTGGACATCACAGGATATATAACAGGAGTGCCTGTGTTCATTCAGGACTGTATAATATATAGAAAATATTCCTATTCATTATCTAACCTGTTACAATGTGGGAGGTAATCAACGCAGGCATCTTAGTTTTACAGGTGCAAAACTCTCATGACTTCTGTAAGGTTACATAGTAACAAGCAGAGCCAGGTCCAAGCCAGGACTTTTGACATGTAGTCGGGTTCTCTTTCCACTGCACTGAGCTAGCAGAAAGGCAAGAATAATTTTTTATTTTTTTTTTGAAACGGAGTCTCACTCTGTCGCCAGGCTGGAGTGCAGTGGCACGATGTCGGCTTACTGCAACCTCCGCCTCCCAGGTTCAGGCGATTCTCGTGCCTCAGCCTCCCAAGTAGGTGGGACTACAGGCGCCTGCCATCACGCCCGCCTAATTTTTTGTATTTTTAGTAGAGACAAGGTTTCACCGTGTTAGCCAGGATGGTCTCAATCTCCTGACCTCGTGATCCGCCCACCTCGGCCTCCCAAAGTGCTGGGATTACAGACGTGAGCCACCGTGCCCGGCCTAAAATTATTATTTTTTAATGGTAAAAAAAAGTTAATGAGAGAAAGAATAAGGTAAGAGAATTTATAAATATCTCAGACTTGAATATAAAGATTTATTTATTTATTTATTTATTATTTTTTTGAGCTGGAGGTCTTGCTCTGTCACCCAGGCTGGAGTGCAGTGGCACAATACCAGCTCACTGCAGCCTCAACCTCCTAGGCTCAAGGGATCCCACTTCAGCCTCCCACATAGCTAAGACTACAGGCATTTGACACCAGGCCTAGCTAATTCTTTGTATTTTTTGTAGAGACGAGGTATCCTTATGTTGCCCAGGCTGGTCTCAAATTCCTAGGCTCAAGTCATCTTCTTGCCTTGGCCTTCCAAAATCCTAGGATTACAGGCATGAGCCTAAAGATCTTCAATGGACTGATTCTTTCAACTTGACCATTCCTTAAACAGGGAAAGCACCAATTGTGCTTCTAAAACAAGATTTCTCATAATCATATGAGCTGTATAATCTTGTGCAAGTCCTGTACCTTTTGGGTCTAAAGTTTCCAAGTCTTAAGAGTACCTAAATGGTTCCTCAGGTCCCTTGAAGCTTTGTCAATCTCTGACTTTAGTACGCACATTGTATTTCTGGGAATAAGGAGGAAGAGGAGGAGGAGAAGAAGGAAAATGAAGGAATGAAGAGGGAGGAGGAGGAGAAGGAACAAGAGGAGAAAGAGAATCTGCTCTGTAGTCTCCAAGGAAAAAATGTTCAGATTATTTTTCCTCTGGCCTCATGAGAATGAGGATGGGCTCTGGGGTCCACGCAGTGCTTGAAACATCTTGGGTACATTCTTGCACAGATGAATGGTCAGATTTACTTGCTAAGTGACATCTAAATAGGATAAAATAGAGCTCAAGCTCATTCAGGAGAGGAAAATTGCTAAAATATGGCTATAGTATTACTAGCCATTTTATTATTACTTTCTGTTCTTTGCTATAAATTTGTATTCAACTTGTCAAGCAGTGAATATCTATTTATGATTAAAAATAAAACCCAAGTTTAATGTAATAAAATATTAGCTTGATAATGCAAGCAGATAAAAAAATTAAAATACTTTTGGTATGGTACCTAATTTTTCACTAACACTTATATATTGGATCTTATTTGGTCCTCACTATCCTGGCAGTAAGTGACATTAAAGAAATGGAGGCTCTGACAAGTTACATAGTGTGTTCAGGGTCATGCAGACAACAGTGGAGTAGGCAAATCAAATTTGTAAGATAATTTTTGTTGTCATATTTTTTAGAAGTGGCATTCTACTATGTAACATTTTCTCAGCTTCAGTAATATTTATAGGGTAGTTATATAGTAAAATGAAATGCCAAATTGTATGAGATGGCTAATATTTACTGTTCCATATTTCTCTTCCATGATGCCACTAATGAACATTATACTAGAATGGCTTTATGTAGATTTTTGGATAGTTTCATTTCATTGCTGGTTTTGGAACTCCTAGCTTTTTAAATTTTACTAACCTTATAATTTTACTTCTGATGAGAACCTGAATGAGAATGATCATTTTTCTTGCCCCAAATCCACAATTTAAATCTCTTTGAGTTGCTGACAATCATGCCTTAATTAATTCACTGCTGAATTATTTTATACCACCTCACAAATTTGGCTGTACATTTGGTTCTTCACTGTGACTCTCAATTCTCCTTGAATAACTCCTTGCACAGTATAGGTAATAAATAATTATTTATGGGTCAAACTAACATCCTCTTTTATATTCTTACAGATTCAAATTAACCGCAACATGAGGCTTTTATGCAAGTTTCTTTGTGGTTTTGAAAATAGCTGGTTCTCTAAAAGAGCAGTTCAAAACACCCAAGTAAAGATAATATGGCCTTAATTTTTTAAAATAATACAATTCAACTTAAAAATACTTACTGCTCACTTTTTAATTATGAGACATATAATGAAGCCATCCCTGCCCTGTCAGAATTGCTTTATTAGAGAGTATAAGACAAGCCATTTATGATCAGAGTATAAGACCACGAGTGCCAGGAAAGGGGTCCAGAGTGGGGCAGGGGGTCAGAAGAGGGAAAGCAGCACATGTGGAGGAGGTTCAGAAGTCTTCATGGGTAGGATTCAAAAGAAGGAGCTGGGGAAGGGAAAAATGTCTAGTAGGGCATGCAGTAAGCAGAGAAACTACAGCTTGGGGCTTTTGACCATGTAATGTAGTAAAGGGGCATCAGCCTTGAGTTATTATTTTTGTCATATATGGCATGAGATCATAGGGATGGTAGAAGCAGCTGGACTTCAGGGCAGAAACATGTCCGTGAATTTTAGCATCCTCTGACAGACTTGGAGTAACTCCTTGCTAACTAGTGAAAATCTGATATTCTCCAGGATCTAAAGAGGGAAAAGGGGCTGGATGCAGTGGCTCACACCTGTACTTTCAGCACTTTGGGAGGCCAAGGCAGGAGGATCACCTGAGGCCAGGAGTTCAAGATCAGCCTGGAAAACACAGGGAGACTCCATCTCTATAAAGAATAATAATAATAAAATTGTCCAAGTATAGGTGGCACATGCTTGTGGTCCTAGCTACTCGGGAGGCTGAGCCAAGACGATCACCTGAGCTCAGGAGGTTGGGGCTACAGTGAACTGTGATCGCACCACTGCACTCCAGCCTGGGTGACAGAGCAAGATCCTGTCTCAAACAAAAACCAACCACAAAAAAAAAAAACACATGAAAACAGGAACAAAAATAAACAGGAAAAAATGATCTTTAACAGTATGCTTTTTCATTACTAAAACAATATACATTAATTGTTTAAAAAGACAAACAATTTAGAATCAAGAACTAAAGTATTTTCACTTTTTTGGTACTATTCTCTTTTGGTGAAGAGGGCAGCTGAGGCGGGGCCAGATAGCATCTATTCAGATTACTCAAATATTGCAGTCTTTGTTTGAGATCCTCCATTCCAGTTGCCACGTGTAGTGAAAAAAGCATCAATACTGATATCTGGTAGATCTGGATGTAAATCCACTGACTAGCCACGTGAACATAGGTATAAATTTCATGAGGATTTTGTTTCGTTTGCTGCTATATTCCCAGTAACTAGAACAGTGCCAGGAACTTAACAAGTACTTCATAAATATTTGTTGAGTGAATTAATGGTGCTTTATGAACCTTCATTTTATTATTAATAAGGTGGGAAACATCCCCAATTCGAAGATTTGTATTGAGGAATTAAACAAGAAAATTATTGGGGAAAGCATCCAACACAGTTCATTTCACATACCAAGTTTCTAAAAACATGACTTTCTTTCCATCCTCAGATAAAGATTACACTTAACTATATATTTCAACAATTAATTCCTTTTTTGTTTTTACGACTAATGTGTTAGTCTGTTTGCATTGCTATAAAGGAATATCTGAGACTGGGTTATTTATAAAGAAAAGAGGTTTACTTTGGCTTATTCTTCTGCAGGCTGTACAGGAAGCGTGGCACCAGCATCTGCTCCTGGTGAGGGCCTCAGGAATCTTCCAGTCATGGCAGAAGGCAAAGGGGGAGCAGACACATCACATGGTGACAGTGGGAGCAAAAGAGGCATGAGGAGGAGCAAGAGACAGGGGAGGAGGAGCCAGGCTCCTTTAACAACCAGCTCTCACATGAACTAATAGAGTGAGAACTCATTACCATGGGGAGGGCACCAAGCCATTCGTGAGGAATCCACTCCCATGACCCAAACGCCTTCCACCAGGCTCCACCTCCAGCATTGGGTATCACATTTCAACATGAGATTTGGAGGAGACAAATATCCAAACCATAACATTTAGTATCTGATTTAGTATCTGTAGAGCTAAGAACATGATGTTTTTAAAACATGGCTTGGGAAAACAAACCAGTATTGGCTTTGATGCTTTCTTTTTTTTTTTTTTTTTTTTTTTTGAGACAGAGTCTTGCTCTGTCACCCAGGCTGGAGTGCAGTGGTGTGATCTTGGCTCACTGCAACCTCTGCGTCCCTAGATCAAGCGATTCTCCTGCCTCAGCCTCCCAAGCAGCTGGGATTACAGGCTTGCACCACCACGCCTGGCTAATTTTTGTATTTTTAGTAGAGATGGGGTTTCACCATGTTGGTCAGGCTGGTCTCAAACTCCTGACCTCATGATCAGCCTGACTTGGCCTCCCAAAGTGCTGGGATTACAGGTGTGAGCCACCGTGCCCGGCCAGCTTTGATGCTTTTTGCTAGCTCAGCTGAAGCCTGCCCTGTGTGAAATGGAGACAGGGCACGGAATGAATGGTGGGATGATGCAGTGATGCGCTCCTTGGTGTTTCTCTGGGAACACTAATGGGTTCACCTGTTTTCAATGACTTAACCAACAAATTCAGTTTACAAAGTGAAAACAGAATAGTTGAACAGGACTTGTCCATAGATATAGCTCAAGTTAGAAATCTAAGTCACATAAAGGCTAGCTTCCTTTATTCAATGTAGGTAAATTTCCTATACTGATAATTCCATAGAATTTTATAAAAATTCAGTCCAGGCCAGAATGGTTGCTCATGCCTATAATCCCAGTGCTTTGAGAGGCTGAGAAGGGAGGATCACTTGAGGCCAGGAATTTGAGACCAGCATGAGCAACACAGTGAGAGGTTTTCTCTAAAAAAAAAAGAAAAGAAAAGAAAAGAAAAATTAGCTGGGCCTGGTGGCATACACCTGTAATTCCACCTACTTGGAAGGCTGAGACTGGACAATCGCTTGAGCCCAAGAGTTTGAGGTTGCAGTAAGCTATGATCATGTCACTACATGCCAGCCTAAGTGACAGACTGACACCCTGAATATTAAGAAAATTCAATCCAACAAAATGTGTGCCAAGAACTATGCTAGATGCTAGGGATACAAAGGTGAATAAGAAATTTCATTTCTTATTTCATTTCAGAAATTTCATTCTGTTTTTAGATTCAGAATAGGATTTGCAAGTGACAAAGAAGATAGTGCACTGCCTCATGCCGGTCACTTGGCTTTTGAGACTAGCTTAGCTATGACATGCAAAGTGGTTGCTCTTAGGCTCATAACTAAATAGGCCTCTAAGTAGTAGAGGTTGGCTCAAACTAAAAAAAAAAATCTCCACCAGAAATACCATTTGACCCAGCAATCCCATTACTGGTTATATACCCAAAAAATTATAAATCATTCTACAATAAAGACACATGCACACGTATGTTTTATGTTTACTGCAGCACTATTTACAATGACAAAGACTTGGAACCAACCCAAATGCCCATGAATGATAGACTGAATAAAGAAAGTGTGGCACATACACACCATGGAATACTATGCAGCCACAAAAAAGAATGAGGTCATGTCCTTTGCAGGGACATGGATGAAGCTGGAAGCCATCATTCTCAGCAAACTAACACAGGAACAGAAAACCAAACACCACATGTTCTCACTCATAAGTGGGAGTTGAACAATGAGAACACATGGACACAGAGAGGGGAACATCACACACCGAGTCTTGTCAGGGGATAGGGGGCAAGGAGAGGGAGAGCATTAGGACAAATACCTAATGCATGCGGGGCTTAAAATCTAGGTGATGGGTTGATAGGTGCAGAACACCATGGCACATATATACCTATGTAAGAAACCTGCACATTCTGCACATGTATCCCGGAACTTAAAGTAAAATTAAAGAACAAAAACAAAAACAAAATTGGCAATGACCAATAAAAGCATTTCCTCTTTGAATAAATAAATAAATAAATAAATAAAATCGCCAACCACTGTCATATCTTAGATAGCCAGTATAACCTCTGACCCTAGAGAAAGAGAAAAGTCCTGCCTCATTGCAAGACCTACCACCATTCCCATTCAGAGATGATTGGTAGGAGTGTGTCCTTTCTTCTCCCCAGAGATTGACCGGGGAAACATCCATTCCTTTTAGGAGTGAGTCCACATCAGTCAGAGCTTTTAGACAGTCCAGATAGTTGATAGTACCTTTCCTAAAGTCTGGCTTATTCAGTTTTACAATACTTTTCAAAGACAGTACAGACTGGGGCTAAACTTAGTTTAAAATTTTCTTCTACTTATAACGGCAGACAAAGACCCAATACATTATGGAACAGAACACTGACCATCTCAACTGGAAATTTGTGGATTGTAGTTAACAATGAACAGGTACAGTTTTCCACCAAACAATAGGTGAGAATTTCTTTAGTCAGGCGATTTTCACTAAACAAAAGAAAGCTGATTTATTGATATTACCACTGCTAAGGACAAAATCCTTTCCCTTTTAAATGACACTTACCCCCATGCAGGTTTCCCCATCACCTGCTGCAGGGACTGATGAAGGCTCACATTATGAGTATCTGTGATTTGTCAGTGACTGTGGCCACTGACAGTGTAGACCTGAGTTACATTTTGGTATCTTCTTTGTCTCTTCGTCTGTTAATAAGTATCTACTAAATGCTTATAGGGAACAATGCTGCTTTTTCTATTTGCTGCTTTTAATTTCATTTTTAATCTCTGCTTTTATTCTTTTATTTACTATTCTTGGGGAATTGTGTGATTAAGCTAATCATAAATATATGGTCTAGTATGTTCTTTTGTGTATACCATGTATAGATCTGTTCGTGAGAGCATATGAAGATTTTATCAGGTTCTGCAAGTGACATCACAAAACATTCATGGAAGCTAGCAAGCCAGTAGTATTAATCCAAATTCTTATGTGAACCACTAGGAAAAAAACTGGGAGGATTAAAACATTATCAGCTTTTGTCTTCTTTTATCAGTACAGATTAAAATAATTTTAAAAAGAAAAACACACTGATTTGTTGATAAAATTGACTGATAAATTACAATGTGACGAAAGGAGAGACAGTCAGTATACTCAATTCAGTGATGTTGGGAATCACTGCATCAAAGACTATGGGTGTACACTTGCAAACCAAGTTTACCTGTGATTAGCTAAGGAGCCTAGGGAGTGAGGTCATCTTAACAGTCAGGAAAGCTTCTTAGAGATTGAAGGATGTAATACAAAGGAACCAAGTGTGGTCCTGTCTTCCACTCCCATCATTTACCATGAGATGTAAATGTCAAGAGGCTCAGCTGAATGAACTAATTGATTTGTCATTAGTTATGAAAATCGGAAAACAAATACTGACATCTTTGTTGGGTTCAGAGATTTCGTGAGCAAAAATATATATGCAACCAAGATTTAGTTATATCATTTATAAAAACCACACATCAGCCTTTACTCTCTCCTGCTGAACAATGGGGTGATGTCCAACGGGAGCTAAGGGAACATGTCATGGTGGTCATTCCTGTTCGGATGCAGATGTTGAGAAATGGTTTTCTGTAAGTCTCCTGTAAATAACCATTTACTACAGAGAATTTCACTTCAAAGGCAATTATCTTGTTTATATTCTTTTTGAAGAGGTCATTAATTACAAAATCAGTCTAGAAAAATCAAACCTTTGTCTAATTTTCTTTTGTTAGACTACATCTCCAAAGATTCTAATGCATATTCATTAAATTCATCATTGGGTCAATTCTAGATTTGGGGAGATGTTGAATTATCAGGCTAATGATAACTTTTTTTTAAGAGAGATGGTCTTTCTCTGTAGCCCAGGCTGGTATGCGGCATGACTATAGGCAAGGGCCACCAGACCCACTAATTTTACTAATTTTTGTAAAGATGGGGTCTAGCTATGTTGCCCAGGCTGGTCTTTAACTCCTGGAATCAAGCAATCCTCCTGCCTCAGCCTCCCAAAGTGCTGGGATTAGAGGAATGAGCCACTGTGCTTGGCCTAATGATATATTCTTAATAGCTATGCTCCAGAAACTCCTAGAGGCCTGATAGGAGAATAGGAGCCAGTTTTCCCCTCCTCTAAGCCTCTTTGCTCAAGATTCTTTGATCTGTGGCACCATGCTAGCAGCTGTATTACAAAGGATGTAGGCAAGGGGGAGATCTTGAGAAGAGGAGGCATGGTGGGCTCTGAGTACCAGAGAGTGGAGGAAAGGGCCTGGAAAGAGGGACAACATGTGCAGAATAGAATATACAGCTACAGAATGGGTAACATTATGGACTCAAGATTAATGAATGGAGACATCTCTTGCCAGAGTTGGGAGCGACAAAGAACAGACAGCTCATTGCCACTGGGAAGGAATGGCCAGGTATAGGCTGTCTATGCACATCAATGATGTGACTCAGAAGGAAAGGTGTATCCAGTTTTATATTTTGATGTGTGCCTGGCTGGTTCAACTTCAGCTTTATGTCCATTTGTTGATAAAACCATGAGAAAAGTCTTAAAACATGCAGTGGATGTTAATGTACTCACTTCTAAAATTCCAGAGCCCAGAGGCCAAAGCTGTTCTGTTCCTGCTTCCTGGGGCGGGGGGTGGGGTGGGGTGCAAAATAAGGGAACATGACATATTTATAATATATTTATAATGATTGTGTATAATGCCTAGTGGGTTATTAGCTTTGAGTAATCCATTTCATAATGTTTTCGTAAAACAGTGGGATAGGAGAAATAGTGTAAGTTTTAGTGATGTATTCCCTTCCCAAGTTGAAAGTTTTGGTTGCTAGAGAAATGATTTATTAGTAAAAGTAATTTAAATATCAAAATTCAAAGTGTTTATTTGAAATTTAATGTACCTGACCTGAAGCCATAATTATTAGACACCGTTTCTCCAAGTTAAGACATTTACCTGAGAACCTATGTTTAACAGCCTTTCCTAGAAAATTAATTAGAAACAAACTACTTCCTTATTAGTGTGAATGGTTTAATAAGCTATTTTTAAATTATAATCATTCATAGTTCAATAAGTTTAAAATTCTTTTGTTGGTGCAGGCATTTTCTCACAGATTAGACTATTCTCTGCCTCTTTTATTGTATGATGGGCTTTGCTTCTATTCTTTCAGTATTCTTGTCTACATTCTGGATACCAAGGCCATACCTGTAGCTTTTGATAGCACCTGTATAGGAACTAAGTGCCCCTTAGGAGTAAAAAGCCATCAGCGAATTTGTTCATAACAGTCATTTGTTAATAAATATCTTTTAGTTTCTATCATGTGAAAATAAGTGATGGTACAGAAGTACTGATTTCACCCATTTGTATCCAGTTAAAATGCTAACATAATAGTAATAGCAGTAGTAATGATGGTACTTTATGAAGAGCTAAGTGCCAGGTACAATGCAGGCACTGTGCTAACCAATAACGTGCATTGCCTCATTTAATCCTCACAGCCTCCTCATGAGGTAGACTTTATTGTTTCCATTTATAGTTCAGGAAACTGAAGTTCAGATAGTTAACTGCCTGAGATCTCACAGTTACTAAATGGAAGAGTTGGGATTCTAATGTTAAGTTTAACGACTTGTTTTAGTTGGCTAAGGCTGCCATAACAAAGTACCAAAAACTGGGTTCTTAAACAACAGAAACTTATTTCCTTGCAGTCCTAGAGACTAGAAGTTCAAGATCAAAGTATCAGCAGGCTGGGTTTTTTCTGAGGCCTCTCTCCTTGGCTTGTACATGGCCATCTTCTCCCTGTGTCTTCACATGAGCTTTCTTCTGTGCCTGTGTATGTCCTGATCTACTCTTCTTATGATGACACCACTCATTTTGGATCAGGGCCCACCCTAATGAATTCATTTAAACTTAATTATCTCTTTAAAGACTTTATTCCCAAATACAGTCACATTCTGCAGTACAGAAGGTTAGGGCTTCAACATATCAATCTGGGGAGAACACAGTTCAACCCATAAAAGTCCTTAAACCATGAAGTCTGTGTATTACCACTAAGAGGAAATATCAAGTCAGCTAGACATTTCCATTCTGGTATAAATTAGTTTTTCCCCAACTAATTTCCTGCAGGAAGATTTGGATGGTGAAACTTATAGAGAAACTTGGGGGCTCTGGGTCCTTTAGGGAATGAAGAAAAGCCACCAAAAGTGGGAACAAGGACAGAAACTAGAAGGACAGCATCTCCTAATTTGCTGTTTTGGGTAGGACCAAACTTCTGCAATTAAATTAAACACAGCATCATTTTCTAATTTTGTTTCTATATTTAATCTTTCTAGCTTCTTCTCATTTTTGTTCTGAAAGCATCATTGCTCTCCAACCAAGCTGGCAGGCTCCTCATCTCTTGGAAAAGGTCCTGAACAAATCCCATTGTAACTTGTGAAATAGGACCAAAAAAAGAGAAACTAATAATCTGCTAGATTCTCCACCATTTAAAAAATTATTAAAAATTATAGACATCCATTAATATAGATTGGAATCCAGAAATCATTCGTGGGTATCTGGAATGTTTAATAAGAATTCACAGGAAGCCAATCAACATCAGGGATGGTTTTTCCTCGTGAACTCCCAATTTCCATCATAGGTATTTCATCTAAAGGAATATATCAGAAAGTAAACCAGAGCACTGCTCACATCCTGCCTTCCAAGAGTTCTTATTTCTATAACCTTTTGGGAGCCAAAGCTAATGAAGAAAGCAGGGCCTTCCTTCTACCCTCATCTATCAAGAGCCAGATTCTCCCATTACTTTTTCTCTTCCTACGCCAGTGAGTTTGTCCATGGGGCATACTGCTGAATTTGCCACTTGTCTAGAGTCAAAATTAACTACCAATTTACTTTTGGACACTCAGCTCAATGTGAATAATCCTGTTTGACAGCCTGTTAAGTGCCTTCTGAGTCAGGAAGGGCTAGTACATTTCAGTTTGCACACCAACTCCAAATGATTGATGGGTAGTGACTGTCTAGGTAAGGGCAGTGTTGAGAAGGTTGTGAGGCCATTTTTTTTTAAAGAAAAAAAATGCCATAATCAATTAGTGAGGTCTACCATGGGAGAGGGACTAGTGGCACAAATATAAATGATCTTTCATCAGTAATAAATTCAAAGCTGCAATTCATAGTGAGCTTACCCTGTGCCAGGCACTGGGCCAAGCCTGGTACATGCATTATTTCAGCGAATGTTCACAACTTTCCAGGGTAAGAGTTACATATCTCTATTGCAAGGATAAAGAAACTTGGGCACAGTGGGTTTAAATAAGCAGCTCAAGGTTGTCTGCCTAGTAAGATTCAGAGCAGGGCAATCATTATATAGATTCTTGGAAAAAATGCACTGAATATGTGAATTAGGATTTGAGCTGAGGCTGCTGCAAGCAAGGCTACAGTGCTGGTATCACTGTGAGACTGCAGGGCATCACCAAGGACCCAGGAGGGGAACTTCCTTAGATGTGCCCTCAATATAGCCTTCCTAACTTGGAGCTGGCAGGCTTGTCTTCTCATAATTGAGTCCGCAGATACTTACTGAGCATCTACACTGTGCCAAGCATCCAGAATGTGGCAAGCACAATAGGGTTCCCTGTTCTTGAGGAGCTTATGCTCAAGTTGAGAGAGGCAGACAATAAACACATAAACAAATAAGATCACTTCAGGCCTAGATAAATGCTGCAGAGTTGCTTAAAGAGGGTTACTGGATGGGACCATGTGAGAAGAACTACTTTAGCCAGGGATGAAGAGCTCTCTGAGAAAGGGATCTGAAAGGTGAGAAGAAGGCAGTGTGGGGAAAATATGAGGCAGTGTGGGGAAAATATGAGACAGACAGAAGGAGGAGCAAATGCAAAGACTCTGACACATTAGGACCTTGTCATGTTTGCAGGAAAAGGCTCGGTTATTGGCCATTCTCTCACTGTTACTTGAAGACTAAAAAGCATGGCCATGCTTCAGTGATTGTCTGAATTTCAGTGCCCCTGCACAAACTACTTGGTGGGGAAAATAGAATAAAGTGATCTTCCTTCTGTTTTTCTTTTCTCTCTTCCGCCCTGTAAATGTTTATGTCAGTAAGTCAGTAAGGAGCCACACACATGCCCAAACCTTCAGCATTTTGAAGAATTAATTTGCTTAGGGAAGAATATGAACTTACAGCATGTCTTGTAGAGAATATCTGTTGATAATATACATAATAGTCACACATCAAACAAACTAGTATTAGGGAGAATCCTTTCATTAACACAATCTAGAGAGTTTATCTTTGAACACTAGGAATAGGTTAGAAAACTCAAGAAAAAGTAAAATCACTTTCATGAGTTTTGATACAATCATCATATATTTCCCACAGAGTGGACTCTCCTTGTTCTAATCACATGATCCTTTGGGACAGGTGTTGTGAGGAGGACACCTCAGAATAAGGGGTATCATGCCATGACACTGTTTTTTTTTTTCTCGGAGCTTTTTCTGACATTGATTTGAGATTGGTTTTCATTAGTTTATGTAATATTTTAAATGAAAATAATGTGCATGCATTTCATGGTTATTACAGTATAAATAGGACAACTATTAGCTAAAAGCCTGAATTAACCTTTGCAAAGTGGCCCAACAAAGCTTCCTCCTGAGACAAAACCTCTGGCATCGCTGTCTCACATATCTACACTTATTTAATAAACATTTATCAAGTACACCCAAAAAGTGCCAAATTCTATGAAAGGTAAATAAAAAGCAGATAAATCATTGTTTCTACCCTTGAGAAACTTGTATTTCATTGGGGATAAATATTTGAAAGAGCTAAAGAACAAAGCTAGAGCAATTCAGAAAAAATAATAGGTAACTAAGATTTGCACAGAGCATCATAGATCATTTTCATATGCCTTTCTTTGTTTCACTTGCACAATGGTCTTTTGAGATAGTTACTGATATTATCCCCATTTCCCAGATGAAGAAACTGAAGCTTAGAGAGGTAAAATACACAAAACAACTAGTAAAGGCCAGGAGCAGGCACTGTAGTAGTTAAGAGCAAGGGCTCTGGGGTTAGACAGACTGAATTAGTTTTACAAACTTGGGTAAGTTTTTTACCCTCAGGCTCAGTTTCCCCATTTTAAAGGATAATAATGGTATTCACTTTCTCCACTGTTGTATTGAATGAGAAATCTATTGAAGATGCCTAGCACAGGGCTGGGACCACAGCATCCACTCAGTGAATGCAGCCCTTGTTATGAGGAAGTGGCAGAGCCAAGACTGGATTCCAGCATCTCTGCTGTCCAAACACAAGACCCTGCATGTCATGTGGACCCTAGCACTCTCTGCTTAGCTTAAAAATGTGGCTCAACCACTTACAAGCATGACCATGGGCAAGTTCCTTAATGGCTCTGTGTCTCTGTTTCCTCATTTGGGAAATGGGGATGATACACTTGCTACCTCACAGGCTATGTAAAGATAGAGTGCTTTACTACACATAGAGCACTTAGAACAGTGCTTGGCCACATTAAGCTCCCTAAAGAACTTTACCATCAAGGATCAAAGATGCAGGTGGGGTGTGTTTAGGAAGGCTTCTTTCAGGCAGAGCTTGTCACTTATATCCTGATGGAACAAATGCCAACAGGAATTGAATCGGCACACCCTGCTGATCATTACCCTTACACAGTCGGGGGAGGCATCATGGCTAGATTTTGAAAAGCTACCTCCACCACCTCTCTTGCACCTGTCAAAGCTGCAGGGGCTGCTCAGCAACACATGAGAAATCCAATTTGCAATAAAATCATTTTTTCCAAATACATCTGTCTACACTTGAAAGCAGCAAAACACATTTGAGAATTTGCAATCCTGCATAGAGGATATGAACTTGTCAACTTGTTCTGTCAACAGGCTTGATGTCTGAGCATTGTTGTCATCACAGAACCGCTTGTTATCTGCCAAGCTTGATTGTTTCCCTTTCAAGTGGGAATTGGAAGGTTCTCTAACAGGAGAAGAAAGCTTTACAAGCCCTGGATATAATGCAAAGCCACAGCCCTTGACTTTGTAAAGTGGAAGGTTTAGTCTCTGTGTGCTCTTAGCTACGTTTTGCTCCATGGCCCTGAGAACCTTCCCCTTTTCCCTCTTCCCCTCCCCTTCACTTTTTATTCCCTTTCTCCCCTTCTATGAACCAGCATCTCTAATGGGGGCAGGAATAGGTCAGCTTTGTTTGCCACTCTGGAAACATTCATTAAATAAAGTTACCATTTAGACTTTGTTTATCAGGTGCTTACTACATACATGACCTTGTTTAGTCCTCAAACAAGCCCTTAGAGGATTTGAACATGGCTTACTTGATGAGACAGCCAGGAATTTGAAGCATGATACTTCCTCTGAGTATGTGCAAAGAGTTTGTCTTTCTTGCCTGTCAGTCAAGGGAACTTTGGTTTTTGCCATAGGGGACTGTATTTTAATTGTATTACTTACATTTTTGACAATTAAAAAGGGTGAAACATAAGAAAGTTGTAGATTAAATTTAAAAAGATGAGGAAATAATCCTAGCTCCAGAAATTAAATTAGTTGAATCTTGTTGAGTTTATAAGTGTCATTCCAATAGGTTTCATTAAAATCCAACTAGGAAAGCAGAAGTGAACAGATCTCTAGCTTTGGAGTCAGATTCCATGTGGGGCCAAATTCTGATTCCATACATGGCCTTGGGCAAGTAATTTACTATCTTTAAGAGAGAGCAAGCCTGGTGGCTCATGCCTTTAATCCCAGCACTTTGGGAAGCCAAGGCAAGAGGATGGCTTGAGCCCAGGAGTTCAGGCCAGCCTGGATAACATAATAAGACCCTATCTCTTTAAAAACACACACACACAAAACTCTCTCTCTCTCTTTCTCTCAAAGCCCCTTGATTTTCTTGACTATAAAACAGGAATGATAATACCTCAATTATAGAGTGGTCAGCTAACATATATAAAGCACTTGGTTCACGGTTAGTACTAAATTAGTCTATATTTTCCTCTCTTTAAGTTGTACCTCTCTTTAGCAGATATAGAAGGAGGAGTTTCTCAGCAACTTGAAGAAACACAACATAATGCAGTTTTATTATAAAAGAAACAACAGTCTTGCCATGTCCTCCCCAGACAAGTTTTAAAAAAACCTATTAAAAAATTGAGACAGAGGAGACTAGGAAGGCAAAAATATATATATTTAATAGTGACATTCTGCCATTAAGAAACGTGATTTTTGGCTGTCATTATAGCCTTTTTCAGTTTTGGTGGGAAACATTGCCAAATAAGAAAAAATTCCATATATGGCCTTGGGCAAGTGAAATGAATAGAATTTTTCAACTTCTTAGAGGAAGCTCCTTTGACATGCAGTATAATTGCCAGAGGAAGTGAGTGCATGTTTTGAATACTGGTAATGACCCTAGTAGAACCAGGTCAGACCTAAAGAAAGCAATTTGAGCTTCGATCAGTTTGCTCCAGAGGATTCTAGTTTCTTGTTCAACTGATGGTGTTTAGTGCTAAGGTGGACTATTTATCGTAGCAAATAAATGATGCAGATTCAGGCATTTTTTGTTGCTTTGTTAGAAATAAACTGGCCATACTCACAAACCATTTGTTGGTATCCTAAATATCATAAAAAGTTACTTGGGAATGTTGCTTTTTTCCATAGACTGGCTTTGGGAATAGTTATTCTGAAAACTACTCTCTTAAAGTTGTTTAATTATTGGCACAGGTATAAGTGAAATAGCAATTAATTTCCTGGTGGAAACAGAACCAAACTTCAAGACAAAGAAACATTTAATAAAAGCTCAAGAACTATTTTTCTTTCTTTAGAGTACTGTTTAGCCCTTCTTCTTGGCAACTTCTGCCTTGTCAATTTTAGTAGTAACACATGGAGAAATTATCAAGTTCCATCCATTAGGTAAATGTGATTTATCCTTTGGTTTTTAACCAAATGGCTTGGTGGTTTTCACAAAGGGAGATGTTTTGTTTGTGTTAAATGACTAATGGTACAATTTGTTTTACATTATCAAAAAAAAAAAAAAAAAGGAGAGAAACTGACTTAAGAACTTGTTTGGAAAGGATTATTGAAGAAGTAATCCATCTTCACAGAATGGAGTGCCTGAAGCATGTGAAAGAAAGTCCTAATCATTCTCCCTTTGTTTTGGGAAATTAAAGACTATTTTTTAAAAAACAAAACAAAACAAAAAAAACAGAATACAAGGAAAAGACGGTTTCTAGACAGGGCAGTAAGCAGAAAGAAAAGCTGATGGATGTAAAAATTAAGGATTTAAAATAATAATGTTTGCATCCTTTCCTTTTGTCACATCTTTCTTCCACAGGCTTTTAAAATGTAAAAGTGAGGACAGTGGGTTACATTAATTTGTGTTTATAGCATTGTAAAAATGACTGAAATTTTTTCAAGATGAAAACAAAGCCATATTCATCTTGATCTGAACAGCTCCTGCTGTTTTTTCTTTTTTTAAATTGTCTTACCACTGGTAATTGATGGTGGGGCCACATCTTTTTCCTGTACTTGAAACCAGTTCTGTGTCAATTGAGGTCCTGAGTCACCGATGAAACTAGGATAGGATGGAAGAAAAAGAAAAAGCCAAAACTGGTGACCTTAGGAAATCCTCTCCAAAGGTTTTTCTCTTTATTTTGCTCATAATCACTATCCTCTTGATTCTCACACTATTGAAAATAATGTAACTTGACTTAAAAACACCCAAAAATTTCCAACCACTAAATTCAATCATCTCATAAAACATGTAATATTTGAATCCTTTATTCTTCGAAGGGATACATATATGTATGTACATATACAGTCAGCCCTTTGTATCCATGGGCTCTGCATCCATAAATTCAACCAACCACAGAACATAAGTATTTGGGGAAAAAAAATTACACAAAGTTTGAAAAAGCTAAACTTGAATTTACAATGCACTGAGTACTACATTGAATCCAGGCAAGTGAGGTGATATGTAGGCATTGTATTAGGTATTATAAGTAATCTGGATATTACTTAAAGTATACAGGAAGGTGTGCAATAGGTTACATGCAAATACTATGCCACTTTATATAAGGGACTTGGGCATCCTCAGGTTTTGGTATTCACAAGGGTCCTGGAACCAATCTCCCATGGAAAATGAGGAATGATTGTGAGTGTGTGTGTGTGTGTGTGTGTGTGTGTATTTGGCTCTCTGTTGCAAATAATGGAGGTAGATGAAAGAAGACTAAAATAAACAACTAAATTCTTGCTTTTTAAATCTAGGTTTATAGAAGATATAATAATTAAATTACCATAAGGACAGTAGAATATCCGGAACTTAACAGCAGATTATATTTTTAAAATATTTTAAAAGATAGATAGTGAATGTCATTTAATAAGCTCAAGTAGCTTGGAAATAAATACATTTTTTAAAAAGGTAAATTGGAAGTTATATCAGTTAGTTATTGCTGCATAGCAAACAACTCCAAAATATAGTAGCCTAAAACAACAACCATTTATTATTTCCCATAAATCTACATATCAGTTGGGTGGGTCCTGCTGATCTTCACTGGGTTTGGCTGGGCAGTGTTTTGATCTTAGCTGGGGCTTACGCACTGGCTTGACAATTAGCTGGAAGTTTGCTGATCTATTAATGGCTTCAGCTAGGATGACTGGACTCCACTCCACGTATCTCATTCTCCAGAAGGCTTGCCTAGGCATGTTTTTGTGGCAATCACATGGTGGTCATAGAGAGCAAGTAGAAATGTGCAAACTCTTCCTTCAAGCCAGTGTGTGTGTGTGTGTGTGTGTGTGTGTGTGTGTGTGTATGAAATTTGCTACTTTCCTCCTGGCCAAAACAGGCTACACAGCCAAGCCCAGATTCAAATTGGGTAGGAACTACAAAGTTTCTAGGCAGTTACAAGGCCAATAATGCAATCAATCTACCACTGCAGGGTAGTTGGAGTGAGTGAAAATTGATATGGTGGGGAATACCTTAGCATCTACTAAAGAAATCATCATGAATATATGGAATGTCCTGAGAAGGCTTCCCAAAGGAAGAAAATGAAGGGAAGACCATTTCAGGTGGGAGAAAGATAAATTAGGGGAATAAGTCATTTTACTGGAGGTATAATCACTTATGTAACCAATTTCCAATTGATGGACATGTAGGTTGTTCTAAATTTTCTCCATTATAATCAATGCTGATCTATGCATCTAGCTAGCTAGTTTGCATATAAGATATATGAAATATTTGTACACACACACACAGATACATCACGCGCCCATGATACGCAAATATAAATTCTTAGAAATGGAATTGCTAATTCAAGTAGCTCGTAAAATTTTATAGATGTTGTCAAATTGCCATCTAAACAGACCATACAAATTTATACTTCTACCAACAGTATATGAGACTTGTTTTCCTTATATTTACATTGGATTTTTATCAAACTTTTTAAACTTTGCCAGTCTAATAGGTAAGAAGTAGTGCTTGCGATTTTTATAAATATCTCTTCAGTTATAAGGGAGGTTAAACTATAATATTTTTGGCCCGGCATGGTGGATCATGCCTGTAATCCCAGCATTTTGGGAGGCTGAGGTGGGTGGATTGCTTGAGCTCAGGAGTTGGAGACCAGCCTGGACAACACAGCAAAATCCCGTCTCTCCAAAAAATACAAAAATTAGCCAGCAATGGTGGCATGTGCTTGAAGTCCCAGCTACTAGGGAGGCTGAGGTGGGAGGATGGCTTGAGCCCAGGAGGTGGACATTGCAGTTAGCGGAGATGGCGCCACTGCACTCCAGCCTGGGTGACAGGGCCAGACCCTGACTCAAAATAAATAAATAAATAAAATAAAAATAAACTATAGGCCGGGCACGGTGGCTCACGCCTGTAATCCCAGCACTTTGGGAGGCCGAGGCAGGCGGATCACGAGGTCAGGAGATCGAGACCATCCTGGCTAACACGGTGAAACTTCGTCTCTACTAAAAAATACAAAAAATGAGCCGGGCGTGGTGGCAGGCGCGCCTGTAGTCCCAGCTACTCGGGAGGCTGAGGCAGGAGAATGGCGTGAACCCGGGAGGCGGAGCTTGCAGTGAGCCCAGATCGCACCACTGCACTCCAGCCTGGGTGACAGAGCGAGACTCCGTCTCAAAAAACAAACAAACAAACAAACAAAAAAGTGTAATATTTTCACATATAGAGGACATCTGTTTCTTATGAATTGTCAGCTCATCTCTTCACTCATCCTTTAAAAAAATTAAGCCTAACTTTTACAGTTGTTTTGACTTTTATTTTTTAATCTATTTTTTATTTCAATAGGTTTTTTGGGGAACAGTGGTGTTTGGTTATAGGAATAAGTTCTTTAGTGGTGATTTCTGAGATTTTGGTGCACCCATCACCTAAGCAGTGTGCACTGTACCCAATGTATAGTCTTTTATCCCTCACTTCCCTCCTACCTTTTCCCCCAAGTCCCCCAAATCCATTGTATCATTCTAACGGCTTTGCGTTCTCATAGCTTAGCTCCCAGTTACGAGTGAGAACACACGATGTTTGGTTTTCCATTCCTGAGTTACTTCATTTAGAATAATAGTCTCTAATTCCACCAGGTTGCTGCAAATGCCATTATTTCATTCCTTTCTATGGCTGAGTAGTATTCCGCGGTACATATAGACCACACTTTCTTTATTCACTAGTTGATTGATGGGCATTTGGGCTGGTTCCACATTTTTGCAATTGCAAATTGTGCTGCTATAAACATGCATGTGCAAATATCTTTTTTGTATAATGACTTCTTTTGCTCTGGGTAGATACCTAGTAGTGTGATTCTTGGATCAAATGATAGATCTACTTTTAGTTCTTTAAGGAACCTCCACACTGTTTTCCATATTGGTTGTACTAGTTTTACATTCCCATCAACAGTGTAAAAGTGTTCCCTTTTCACGACATCCATGCCAATATCTATTTAAAAAAATTTTTTTTATTATGGCCATTTTTGCGGGAGTGGGGTGGTATCACCTTGTGGTTTTAATTTGCATTTCCCTGATCACTAGTGATGTTCAGCATTTTTCTATATGCTTGTTGGCCATTTGTGTATCTTTTAAGAATTGTCTATTCATGTCTGTAGCCCACTTTTTGATGGGATTGTTTTTTTCTTGCTGAATTATTTGAGTTCTTTGTAGATTCTGGATATTAGTCCTTTATCAGATGTATAGATTGTGAAGATTTTCCCCCACTCTGTGGGTTGTCTGTTAACTCTGTTGATTATTTCTTTTGCTATGCAGAAGCTTTTTAGTTTAATTATGTCCCATCTATTTATCTTTGTTTTCATTGCAGTTGCTGTTGGGTTCTTGGTCATGAAATCCTTGCCTAAGCCAATGTCTAGAAGGGTTTTTCTGAGGTTATCTTCTAGAATTCTTATGGTTTTAGACCTTAGGTTTAAGTCTTTGATCCATTTTGTGTTGATTTTAAGGTGAGAGGTGAGGATCCAGTTTCCTTCTCCTACATGTGGCTAACCATTTATCCCAGCACCATTTGTTGAATAGGGTGTCCTCTCCCCACTTTATGTTTTTGTTTGCTTGTTTGAAGATCAGTTGGCTGTAAGTATTTGGGTTTATTTCTGGGCTCTCTATTCTGTTCCATTGGTCTATGTGCCTATTTTTATACCAGTACCATGCTGTTTTGGTGACTATAGTCTTACAGTACAGTTTGAAGTCAGGTAATGTAATGCTTCCAGATTTGTTCTTTTTGCCTAGTTTTGCTTTGGCTTTGCAGCTCTTTTTTGGTTCCATATGAATTTTAGGATTGTTTTTTGTAGTTCTGTGAAGACTGATAGTGGTATTTTGATGGGAATTGCACTGAATTGGTAGATTGCTTTTGGCAGTATGGTCATTTTCACAATACTGATTCTACCCATCCATGAGCATGGGATGTGTTTCCTTTTGGTTGTGTTGTC